>NC_000001.11:123481326-123807352 GCF_000001405.40 Homo sapiens | reverse complement strand
GGAAGTTTCTGAGAATTCTTCTGTCTAGCAGAATATGAAGAAATCCCGTTTCCAACGAAGGCCTCAAAGAGGTCTGAATATCCACTGGCAGACTTTAAAAACAGAGTGTTTCCTAACTGCTCTATGAACAGAAAGTTTAAACTCTGTGAGTTGAACGAACACATCACAACGCAGTTTGTGGGAATGATTCTGTCTAGTTTTGAAACGAAGATATTTCCTTTTCTGGCGTTGACCTTAAACCGCTTGAAATCTACACTTGCAAATTGCACAAATAGAGTGTTTCAAATCTGCTCTGTCTAAGGGAACGTTCAACTCTGTGAGTTGAATGCACACAACACAAGGAAGTTACTGGGAATTCTTCTGTCTAGCCTTACATGAAAAAAACCCGTTTCCAACGAAGGCCTCTAAGTGGTCAAATTATCCACGTGCAGACTTTACACAGTGTTTCCAAACTGCTGAATGAAAAGAAAAGTTAAACTCTGAGAGTTGAACGCACACATCGCAGAGCAGTTTCTGAGAATGATTCTGTCTAGTTTTGAAACGAAGATATTTCCTTTTCTGCCTTTGGCCTCAAAGCGCTTGAAATCTCCACTTGCAAATTCCACAAAAAGAGTGTTTCAAATCTGCTCTGTGTAAATGAAAGTTCAACTCTGTGAGTTGAACACACACATCACAAGGAAGTTACTGGGAATTCTTCTGTCTAGCCTTATATGAAAAAAACACGTATCCAACGAAGGCCTCAAAGAGGTCTGAATATCCACTTGGAGACTTTACAAACAGAGTGTTTCCTAACTGCTCTATGAAAAGAAAGGTTAAACTCTGTGAGTTGAACGCACACATCACAAAGGAGTTTCTGAGAATCATTCTGTCAATTTTCTATAGGAAGATATTTACTATTCTACCATTGACCTCAAAGCGGCTGAATTCTCCACTTGCAAATTCCACAAAAAGAGTGTTTCAAGTCTGCTCTGTGTAAAGGATCGTTTAACTCTGTGAGTTGAATACTCACAATACAAGGAAGTTACTGAGAATTCTTCTGTCTAGCAGAATATGAAGAAATCCCGTTTGCAACGAAGGCCACAAGATGTCAGAATATCCACTTACAGACTTTACAAACAGAGTGTTTCCTAACTGCTCTATGAACAGAAAGGTTAAACTCTGTGAGTTGAACGAACACATCACAACGCAGCTTGTGGGAATGATTCTGTCTAGTTTTGAAACGAAGATATTTCCTTTTCTGCCATTGACCTTAAAGCGCTTGAAATCTACACTTGCAAATTGCACAAATAGAGTGTTTCAAATCTGCTCTGTCTAAGGGAACGTTCAACTCTGTGAGTTGAATGCACACAACACAAGGAAGTTACTGGGAATTCTTCTGTCTAGCCTTACATGAAAAAAACCCGTTTCCAACGAAGGCCTCTAAGTGGTCAAAATATCCACGTGCAGACTTTACAAACAGAGTGTTTCCAAACCGCTGAATGAAAAGAGAAGTTAAACTCTGAGAGTTGAACGCACACATCACGCAGCAGTTTCTGAGAATGATTCTGTCTAGTTTTTATACGAAGATATTTCCTTTTCTGCCTTTGGCCTCAAAGCGCTTGAAATCTCCACTTGCAAATTCCACAAAAAGAGTGTTTCAAATCTGCTCTGTGTAAATGAAAGTTCAACTCTGTGAGTTGAACACACACAACACAAGGAAGTTGCTGGGAATTCTTCTGTCTAGCAGAATATGAAGAAATCCCGTTTCCAACGAAGGACTCAAAGAGGTCTGAATATCCACTTGCAGACTTTACAAACAGAGTGTTTCCTAACTGCTCTATGAAAAGAAAGGTTAAACTCTGTCAGTTGAACGCAAACATCACAAAGGAGTTTCTGAGAATCATTCTGTCTTGTTTCTATAGGAAGATATTTCCTATTCTACCATTGACCTCAAAGCGGCTGAAATCTCCACTTGCAAATTCCACAAAAAGCGTGTTTCAAGTCTGCTCTCTGTAAAGGATCGTTCAACTCTGTGAGTTGAATACACACAACACAAGGAAGTTACTGAGAATTATTCTGTCTAGCAGAATATGAAGAAATCCCGTTTCCAACGGAGGCCACAAGATGTCAGAATATCCACTTACAGAATTTACCAACAGAGTGTTTCCTAACTGCTCTATGAAAAGAAAGGTTAAACTCTGTGAGTTGAACGAACACATCACAACGCAGTTTGTGGGAATGATTCTGACTAGTTTTTATACGAAGATATTTCCTTTTCTGCCATTGACCTTAAAACGCTTGAAATCTACAGTTGCAAATTGCACAAATAGAGTATTTCAAATCTGCTCTGTCTAACGGAACGTTCAACTCTGTGAGTTGAATGCACACAACACAAGGAAGTTACTGGGAATTCTCCTGTCTAGCCTTACATGAAAAAAACCCGTTTCCAACGAAGGCCTCCAAGTGCTCAAAATATCCACATGCAGACTTTACAAACAGAGTGTTTCCAAACTGCTGAATGAAAAGAAAAGTTAAACTCTGAGAGTTGAACGCACACATCACAGAGCAGTTTCTGAGAATGATTCTGTCTAGTTTTTCTACGAAGATATTTCCTTTTCTACTATTGACCTCAAAGCGGCTGAAATCTCCACTTGCAAATTCCACAAAAAGAGTGTTTCAAGTCTGCTCTGTGTAAAGGATCGTTTAACTGTGAGTTGAATACACACAAAACAAGGAAGTTACTGAGAATTCTTCTGTCTCAGCAGAATATGAAGAAATCCCGTTTCCAACGAAGGCCTCAAAGAGGTCTGAATATCCACTTGCAGACTTTACAAACAGAGTGTTTCCTAACTGCTCTATGAAAAGAAAGGTTAAACTCTGTGAGTTGAACTCACACATCACAAAGGAGTTTCTGAGAATCATTCTGTCTAGTTTTTATATGAAGATATTTCCTTTTCTACCATTGACCTCAAAGCGGCTGAAATCTCCACTTGCAAATTCCACAAAAAGAATTTCTCAAGTCTGCTCTGTGTAAACGATCGTTCAACTCTATGAGTTGAATACACACAACACAAGGAAGTTTCTGAGAATTCTTCTGTCTAGCAGAATATGAAGAAATCCCGTTTCCAACGAAGGCCACAAGATGTCAGAATATCCACTTACAGATTTTACCAACAGAGTGTTTCCTAACTGCTCTATGAAAAGAAAGGTTAAACTCTGTGAGTTGAACGAACACATCACAACGCAGTTTGTGGGAATGATTCTGTCTAGTTTTTATACGAAGATATTTCCTTTTCTACCATTGACCTCAAAGAGGCTGAAATCACCACTTGCCAATTGCACAAAAAGAGCGTTTCAAATCTGCTCTGTCTAAGGGAACGTTCAACTCTGTGAGTTGAATGTACACAACACAAGGAAGTTCCTGGGAATTCTTCTGTCTAGCATAATATGAAGAAATCCTGTTTCCAACGAAGGCCTCAAAGAGGTCTGAATATCCACTTGCACACTTTACAAACAGAGTGTTTCCTAACTGCTCTATGAAAAGAAAAGTTAAACTCTGTGAGTTGACCGCACACATCACAAAGGAGTTTATGAGAATCATTCTGTCTAGTCTTTATACGAAGATATTTCCTTTTCTACCATTGACCTCAAAGCGGTTGAAATCTCCACTTGCAAATTCCACAAAAAGAGTGTTTCAAGTCTGCTCTGTGTAAAGGATCGTTCAACTCTGTGAGTTGAATACACACAACACAAGGAAGTTACTGAGAATTCTTCTGTCTAGCATAGTATGGAGAAATCCCGTTTCCAATGAAGGCCTCAAAGAGGTCTGAATATCCACTTGCAGAGTTTACAAACAGAGTGTTTCCTAACTGCTCTATGAAAAGAAAGGTTAAACTCTGTGAGTTGAACGCACACATCACAAAGAAGTTTCTGAGAATCATTTTGTCTAGTTTCTATAAGAAGATATTTCCTATTCTACCATTGACCTCAAAGCGGCTGAAATCTCCACTTGCAAATTCGACAAAAAGAGTGTTTCAAGCCTGTTCGCTGTAAAGGATCCTTCAACTCTGTGAGTTGAATACACACAACACAAGGAAGTTACTGAGAATTATTCTGTCTAGCAGAATATGAAGAAATCCCATTTCCAACGAAGGCCTCAAGGAGGTCTGAATATCCACTTGCAGACTTTACAAACAGAGTGTTTCCTAACTGCTCTATGAACAGAAAGGTTAAACTCTGTGAGTTGAACGAACACATCACAACGCAGTTTGTGGGAATGATTCTGTCTAGTTTTTATACGAAGATATTTCCTTTTCTACCATTGACCTCAAAGCGGCTGAAATCACCACTAGCCAATTGCACAAAAAGAGTGTTTCAAATCTGCTCTATCTAAGGGAACGTTCAACTCTGTGAGTTGAATGTACACAAAACAAGGGAAGTTACTGGGAATTCTTCTGTCTAGCCTTACAGGAAAAAAACCCGTTTCCAACGAAGGCCTCTAAGTGGTCAAAATATCCACGTGCAGACTTTACAAACAGAGTGTTTCCAAACTGCTGAATGAAAAGAAAAGTTGAACTCTGAGAGTTGAACGCACACATCACAAAGGAGTTTCTGAGAATCATTCTGTCTAGTTTTTATACGAAGATATTTCCTTTTCTACCTTTGACTTCAAAGCGGCTGAAATCTCCACTTGCAAATTCCACAAAAAGAGTGTTACAAGTCTGCTCTGTGTAAATGAAATTTCAACTCTGTGAGTTGAACACACACAACACAAGGAAGTTACTGGGAATTCTTCTGTCTAGCATCATATGAAGAAATCCCGTTTCCAACGAAGGCCTCAAAAGGTCTGAATATCCACTTGCAGACTTTATAAACAGAGTGTTTCCTAACCGCTCTATGAAAAGAATGGTTAAACTCTGTGAGTTGAATGAACACATCACAACGCAGTTTGTGGGAATGATTCTGTCTAGTTTTGAAACGAAAATATTTCCTTTTCTGCCATTGACCTTAAAGCGCTTGAAATCTACACTTGCAAATTGCACAAATAGAGTGTTTCAAATCTGCTCTGTCAAAGGGAACGTTCATCTCTGTGAGTTGACTGCACACAACACAAGGAAGTTACTGGGAATTCTTCTGTCTAGCCTTACAGGAATAAAACCCGTTTCCAACGAAGGCCTCTAAGTGGTCAAAATATCCACGTGCAGACTTTACAAAGAGAGTGTTTCCAAACTGCTGAATGAAAAGAAAAATTAAACTCTGAGAGTTGAACGCACACATCGCAGAGCAGTTTCTGAGAATGATTCTGTCTAGTTTTTATACGAAGATATTTCCTTTTCTACCATTGACCTCAAAGCGGCTGAAATCTCCACTTGCAAATTCCATAAAAAGAGTGTTTCAAGTCTGCTCTGTGTAAAGGATCGTTCAACTCTGTGAGTTGAATACACACAACACAAGGAAGATTCTGAGAATTCTTCTGTCTAGCAGAATATGAAGAAATCCCGTTTCCAACGGAGGCCACAAGATGTCAGAATATCCACTTACATAATTTACCAACAGAGTGTTTCCTAACTGCTCTATGAAAAGAAAGATTAAACTCTGTGAGTTGAACGAACACATCACAACGCAGTTTGTGGGAATGATTCTGTCTAATTTTGAAACGAAGATATTTCCTTTTCTGCCTTTGGCCTCAAAGCGCTTGACATCTCCACTTGCAAATTCCTCAAAAAGAGTGTTTCAAATCTGCTCTGTGTAAATGAAAGTTCAACTCTGTGAGTTGAACACACACAACACAAGGAAGTTACTGGGAATTCTTCTGTCTAGCAGAATATGAAGAAATCCCGTTTCCAACGAAGTCCTCAAAGAGGTCTGAATATCCACTTGCAGACTTTACAAACAGAGTGTTTCCTAACTGCTCTATGAAAAGAAAGGTTAAACTCTGTGAGTTGAACAAACACATCACAAAGGACTTTCTGAGAATCATTCTGTCTAGTTTCTATAGGAAGATATTTCCTATTCTACCATTGACCTCAAAGCGGCTGAAATCTCCACTTGCAAATTCCACAAAAAGAGTGTTTCAAGTCTGCTCTGTGTAAAGGATCGTTCAACTCTGTGAGTTCAATACACACAACACAAGGAAGTTACTGAGAATTCTTCTGTCTAGCAGAATATGAAGAAATCCCGTTTCCAACGAAGGCCACAAGATGTCAGGATATCCACTTACAGACTTTACAAACAGAGTGTTTCCTAACTGCTCTATGAACAGAAAGGTTAAACTCTGTGAGTTGAACGAACACATCACAACGCAGTTTGTGGGAATGATTCTGTCTAGTTTTAAAACGAAGATATTTCCTTTTCTGCCATTGACCTTAAAGCGCTTGAAATCTACACTTGCAAATTGCACAAATAGAGTGTTTCAAGTCTGCTCTGTGTAAAGGATCGTTCAACTCTGTGAGTTGAATACACACAACACAAGGTAGTTACTGAGAATTCTTCTGTCTAGCCTTACATGAAAAAAACCCGTTTCCAACGAAGGCCTATAAGTGGTCAAAATATCCACGTGCAGACTTTACAAACAGAGTGTTTCCAAACCGCTGAATGAAAAGAAAAGTTAAACTCTGAGAGTTGAACGCACACATCACGCAGCAGTTTCTGAGAATGATTCTGTCTAGTTTTGAAACGAAGATATTTCCTTTTCTGCCTTTGGCCTCAAAGCGCTTGAAATCTCCACTTGCAAATTCCACAAAAAGAGTGTTTCAAATCTGCTCTGGGTAAATGAAAGTTCAACTCTGTGAGTTGAACACACACAACACAAGAAGTTACTGGGAATTCTTCTGTCTTGCATAATATGAAGAAATCCCGTTTCAAACGAAGGCCTCAAGGAGGTCTGAATATCCACTTGCAGACTTTACAAACAGAGTGTTTCCTAACTGCTCTATGAAAAGAAAGGTTAAACTCTGTGAGTTGAACGCACACATCACAAAGGAGTTTCTGAGAATCATTCTGTCTAGTTTTTCTACGAAGATATTTCCTTTTCTACTATTGACCTCAAAGCGGCTGAAATCTCCACTTGCAAATTCCACAAAAAGAGTGTTTCAAGTCTGCTCTGTGTAAAGGATCGTTCAACTCTGTGAGTTGAATACACACAACACAAGGGAAGTTACTGAGAATTCTTCTGTCTAGCAGAATATGAAGAAATCCCGTTTCCAACGAAGGCCTCAAAGAGGTCTGAATATCCACTTGCAGACTTTCCAAACAGAGTGTTTACTAACTGCTCTATGAAAAGAAAGGTTAAACTCTGTGAGTTGAACGCACACATCACAAAGGAGTTTATGAGAATCATTCTGTCTAGTTTTGAAACGAAGATATTTCCTTTTCTGCCATTGACCTTAAAGCGCTTGAAATCTCCACTTGCCAATTGCACAAAAAGAGTGTTTCAAATCTGCTCGGTCTAAGGGAACGTCTCAACTCTGTGAGTTGAATGTACACAACACAAGGAAGTTACTGGGAATTCTTCTGTCTAGCCTTACATGAAAAAAACCCGTTTCCAACGAAGGCCTCTATGTGGTCAAATTATCCACGTGCAGACTTTCCAAACAGAGTGTTTCCAAACTGCTGAATGAAAAGAAAAGTTAAACTCTAAGAGTTGAACGCACACATCGCAGAGCAGTTTCTGAGAATGATTCTGTCTAGTTTTTATACGAAGATATTTCCTTTTCTGCCTTTGGCCCCAAAGCGCTTGAAATCTCCACTTGCAAATTCCACAAAAACAGTGTTTCAAATCTGCTCTCTCTAAACGAAAGTTCAACTCTGTCAGTTGAATACACACAACACAAGGAAGTTACTGAGAATTCTTCTGTCTAGCATAATATGAAGAAATCCCGTTTCCAACGAAGGCCTCAAAGGGATCTGAATATCCACTTGCAGACTTTATAAACAGATTGTTTACTAACTGCTCTATGAAAAGAAAGGTTCAACTCTGTGAGTTGAACACACACATCACAAAGGAGTTTCTGAGAATCATTCTGTCTAGTCTTTATACGAAGATAGTTTCCTTTTCTACCATTGACCTCAAGCGGCTGAAATCTCCACTTGCAAATTCCACAAAAAGAGTGTTTCAAGTCTGCTCTCTGTAAAGCGTCGTTCAACTCTGTGAGTTGAATACACACAACACAAGGAAGTTACTGAGAATTCTTCTGTCTAGCCTTACAGGAAAAAAACCCGTTTCCAACGAAGGCCTCTAAGTGGTCAAAATATCCACGTGCAGACTTTACAAACAGAGTGTTTCCACACTGCTGAATGAAAAGAAAAGTTAAACTCTGAGAGTTGAATGCACACATCGCAGAGCAGTTTCTGAGAATGATTCTGTCTAGCCTTACAGGAAAAAAACCCGTTTCCAACGAAGGCCTCTAAGTGGTCAAAATATCCACGTGCAGACTTTACAAACAGAGTGTTTCCAAACTGCTGAATGAGAAGAAAAGTTAAACTCTGAGAGTTGAACGCACACATCGCAGAGCAGTTTCTGAGAATGATTCTGTCTAGTTTTTCTACGAAGATATTTCCTTTTCTACTATTGACCTCAAAGCGGCTGAAATCTCCACTTGCAAATTCCACAAAAAGAGTGTTTCACGTCTGCTCTGTGTAAAGGATCGTTCAACTCTGTGAGTTGAATACACACAACACAAGGAAGTTACTGAGAATTCTTCTGTCTACCATAATATGAAGAAATCCCGTTTCCAACGAAGGCCTCAAAGAGGTCTGAATATCCACTTGCAGACTTTACAAACAGAGTGTTTCCTAACTGCTCTATGAAAAGAAAAGTTAAACTCTGTGAGTTGAACGCACACATCACAAAGGAGTTTCTGAGAATCATTCTGTCTAGTCTTTATACGAAGATATTTCCTTTTCTACCATTGACCTCAAAGCGGCTGAAATCTCCACTTGCAAATTCCACAAAAAGAGTGTTTCAAGTCTGCTCTGTGTAAAGGATCGTTCAACTCTGTGAGTTGAATACACACTACACAAGGAAGTTACTGAGAATTCTTCTGACTAGCAGAATATGAAGAAATCCCGTTTCCAACGAAGGCCACAAGATGTCAGAATATCCACTTACAGAATTTACAAACAGACTGTTTCCTAACTGCTCTATGAAAAGAAAGGTTAAACTCTGTGAGTTGAACGAACACATCACAACGCAGTTTGTGGGAATGATTCTGTCTAGTTTTGAAACGAAGATATTTCCTTTTCTGCCATTGACCTTAAAGCGCTTGAAATCTCCACTTGCCAATTGCACAAAAAGAGTGTTTCAAATCTGCTCTGTCTAAGGGAACGTTCAACTCTGTGAGTTGAATGAACACAACACAAGGAAGTTACTGGGAATTCTTCTGTCTAGCCTTACATGAAGAAAACCCGTTTCCAAAGAAGGCTTCTAAGTGGTCAAAATATCCACGTGCAGACTTTACAAACAGAGTGTTTCCAAACCGCTGAATGAAAAGAAAAGTTAAACTCTGAGAGTTGAATGCACACATCACGCAGCAGATTCTGAGAATGATTCTGTCTAGTTTATTATACGAAGATATTTCCTTTTCAACCATTGACCTCAAAGCGGGCTGAAATCTCCACTTGCAAATTCCACAAAAAGAGTGTTTCAAGTCTGCTCTGTGTAAAGGATCGTTCAACTCTGTGAGTTGAATACACACAACACAAGGAAGTTACTGAGAATTCTTCTGTCTAGCAGAATATGAAGAAATCCCTTTTCCAACGAAGGCCTCAAGGAGGTCTGAATATCCACTTGCAGACTTTACAAACAGAGTGTTTCCTAACTGCTCTATGAAAAGAAAGGTTAAACTCTGTGAGTTGAACGCACACATCACAAAGGAGTTTATGAGAATCATTCAGTCTATTTTTTATAGGAAGATATTTCCTTTTCTACCTTTGACTTCAAAGCGGCTGAAATCTCCACTTGCAAATTCCACAAAAAGAGTGTTACAAGTCTGCTCTGTGTAAAGGATCGTTCAACTCTGTGAGTTGAATACACACAACACAAGGAAGTTACTGAGAATTCTTCTGTCTAGCATAGTATGAAGAAATCCCATTTCCAACGAAGGCCTCAAAGAGATCTGAATATCCACTTGCAGACTTTACAAACAGAGTGTTTCCTAACTGCTCTATGAAAAGAAAGGTTAAACTCTGTGAGTTGAACGCACACATCACAAAGAAGTTTCTGAGAATCATTCTGTCTAGTTTTGAAACGAAGATATTTCCTTTTCTGCCATTGACCTTAAAGCGCTTGAAATCTCCACTTGCCAATTGCACAAAAAGAGTGTTTCAAATCTGCTCTGTCTAAGGGAACGTTCAACTCTGTGAGTTGAACCGTACACAACACAAGGAAGTTACTGGGAATTCTTCTGTCTAGCCTTACAGGAAAAAACCCGTTTCCAACAAAGGCCTCTAAGTGGTCAAAATATCCACGTGCAGACTTTACAAACAGAGTGTTTCCAAACTGCTGAATGAAAAGAAAAGTTAAACTCTGAGAGTTGAACGCACACATCGCAGAGCAGTTTCTGAGAATGATTCTGTCTAGTTTTTATACGAAGATATTTCCTTTTCTGCCTTTGGCCTCAAAGCGCTTGAAATCTCCATTTGCAAATTCCACAAAAAGAGTGTTTCAAATCTGCTCTGTGTAAATGAAAGTTCAGCTCTGTGAGTTGAATACACACAACACAAGGGAAGTTACTGAGAATTCTTCTGTCTAGCATAGTATGAAGAAATCCCGTTTCCAACGAAGGCCTCAAAGACGTCTGAATATCCACTTGCAGAGTTCACAAACAGAGTGTTTCCTAACTGCTCTATGAAAAGAAAGGTTAAACTCTGTGAGTTGAACGCACACATCACAATGAAGTTTCTGAGAATCATTCTGTCTAGTTTTTATACGAAGATATTTCCTTTTCTACCATTGACCTCAAAGCGGCTGAAATCTCCCCTTGCAAATTCCACAAAAAGAGTGTTTCAAGTCTGCTCTGTGTAAAGGATCGTTCAACTCTGTGAGTTGAATACACACAACACAAGGAAGTTACTGAGAATTCTTCGGTCTAGCAGAATATGAAGAAATCCCGTTTCCAACGAAGGCCTCAAGGAGGTCTGAATATCCACTTGCAGACTTTACAAACAGAGTGTTTCCTAACTGCTCTATGAACAGAAAGGTTAAACTCTGTGAGTTGAACGAACACATCACAACGCAGTTTGTGGGAATGATTCTGTCTAGTTTTGAAACGAAGATATTTCCTTTTCTGCCATTGACCTCAAAGCGCATGAAATCTACACTTGCAAATTGCACAAATAGAGTGTTTCAAATCTGGTCTGTCTAAGGGAACTTTCAACTCTGTGAGTTGAATGCACACAACACAAGGAAGTTACTGGGAATTCTTCTGTCTAGCCTTACATGAAAAAAACCCGTTTCCAACGAAGGCCCCTAAGTGGTCAAAATTTCCACGTGCAGACTTTACAAACAGAGTGTTTCCAAACCGCTGAATGAAAAGAAAAGTTAAATTCTGAGAGTTGAACGCACACATCACAAAGGAGTTTGCTGAGAATGATTCTGTCTAGTTTTTATAAGAAGATATTTCGTTTTCTGCCTTTGGCCCCAAAGCGCTTGAAATCTCCACTTGCAAATTCCACAAAAACAGTGTTTCAAATCTGCTCTCTCTAAATGAAAGTTCAACTCTGTCAGTTGAATACACACAACACAAGGAAGTTACTGAGAATTCTTCTGTCTAGCCTTATATGAAAAAAACCCGTTTCCAACGAAGGCCTCAAAGAGGTCTGAATATCCACTTGCAGACTTTACAAACAGAGTGTTTCCTAACTGCTCTATGAAAAGAAAGGTTAAACTCTGTGAGTTGAACGCACACATCACAAAGGAATTTCTGAGAATCTTTCTGTCTAGTTTTTATACGAAGATATTTCCTTTTCTACCATGGACCTCAAAGCGGCTGAAATCTCCACTTGCAAATTCCACAAATAGAGTGTTTCATATCTGCTCTTTGTAAACCATCGTTCAACTCTGTGAGTTGAATACACACAACACAAGGAAGATTCTGAGATTTCTTCTGTCAAGCAGAATATGAAGAAATCCCGTTTGCAACGAAGGCCACAAGATGTCAGAATATCCACATACAGAATTTACAAACAGACTGTTTCCTAACTGCTCTATGAAAAGAAAGGTTAAACTCTGTGAGTTGAACGAACACATCACAACGCAGTTTGTGGGAATGATTCTGTCTAGTTTTGAAACGAAGATATTTCCTTTTCTGCCATTGACCTTAAAGCACTTGAAATCTCCACTTGCCAATTGCACAAAAAGAGTGTTTCAAATCTGCTCTGTCTAAGGGAACGTTCAACTCTGTGAGTTGAATGTACACAACACAAGGAAGTTACTGGGAATTCTTCTGTCTAGCCTTACATGAAAAAACCCGTTTCCAACGAAGGCCTCTAAGTGGTCAAATTATCCACGTGCAGACTTTACAAACAGAGTGTTTCCAAACTGCTGAATGAAAAGAAAAGTTAAACTCTGAGAGTTGAACGCACACATCGCAGAGCAGTTTCTGAGAATGATTCTGTCTAGTTTTGAAACGAAGATATTTCCTTTTCTGCCTTGGGCCTCAAAGCGCTTGAAATCTCCACTTGCAAATTCCACAAAAAGAGTGTTTCAAATCTGCTCTGTGTAAATGAAAGTTCAACTCTGTGAGTCGAACACACACAACACAAGGAAGTTACTGGGAATTCTTCTGTCTAGCCTTATATGAAAAAAACCCGTTTCCAACGAAGGCCTCAAAGAGGTCTGAATATCCACTTGCAGACTTTACAAACAGAGTGTTTCCTAACTGCTCTATGAAAAGAAAGGTTAAACTCTGTGAGTTGAACGCACACTTCACAAAGGAGTTTCTGAGAATCATTCTGTCTAGTTTCTATAGGAAGATATTTCCTATTCCACCATTGACCTCAAAGCGGCAGAAATCTCCACTTGCAAATTCCACAAAAAGAGTGTTTCATGATTGCTCTGTGTAAACGATCGTTCAACTCTGTGAGTTGAATACACACAACACAAGGAAGTTACTGAGAATTCTTCTGTCTAGCAGAATATGAAGAAATCCCGTTTCCAACGAAGGCCACTAGATGTCAGAATATCCACTTACAGAATTGACAAACAGACTGTTTCCTAACTGCTCTATGAAAAGAAAGTTTAAACTCTGTGAGTTGAACGAACACATCACAACGCAGTTTGTGGGAATGATTCTGTCTAGTTTTGAAACGAAGATATTTCCTTTTCTGCCGTTGACCTTAAAGAGCTTGAAAACTACACTTGCAAATTGCACAAATAGAGTGTTTCAAATCTGCTCTGTCTAAGGGAACGTTCAACTCTGTGAGTTGAATGCACACAACACAAGGAAGTTACTGGGAATTCTTCTGTCTAGCCTTACATGAAAAAAACACGTTTCCAACGAAGGCCTCTAAGTGGTCAAAATTTCCACGTGCAGACTTTACAAACAGAGTGTTTCCAAACCGCTGAATGAAAAGAAAAGTTAAACTCTGAGAGTTGAATGCACACATCACGCAGCAGTTTCTGAGAATGATTCTGTCTAGTTTTTATACGAAGATATATCCTTTTCTGCCTTTGGCCCCAAAGCGCTTAAAATCTCCACTTGCAAATTCCACAAAAACAGTGTTTCAAATCTGCTCTCTCTAAATGAAAGTTCAACTCTGTCAGTTGAATACACACAACACAAGGAAGTTACTGAGAATTCTTGTGTCTAGCATAATATGAAGAAATCCCGTTTCCAACGAAGGCCTCAAGGAGGTCTGAATATCCACTTGCAGACTTTACAAACAGAGTGTTTCCTAACTGCTCTATGAAAAGAAAGGTTAAACTCTGTGAGTTAAACGCAGACATCACAAAGGAGTTTCTGAGAATCACTCTGTCTAGTCTTTATACGAAGATATTTGCTTTTCTACCATTGACCTCAAAGCGGCTGAAATCTCCACTTGCAAATTCCACAAAAAGAGAGTTTCAAGTCTGCTCTGTGTAAAGGATCATTCAACTCTGTGAGTTGAATAAACACAACACAAGGAAGTTACTGAGAATTCTTCTGTCTAGGAGAATATGAAGAAAACCCGTTTCCAACGAAGGCCACAAGATGTCAGAATATCCACTTACAGAATTGACAAACAGACTGTTTCCTAACTGCTCTATGAAAAGAAAGGTTAAACTCTGTGAGTTGAACGAACACATCACAACGCAGTTTGTGGGAATGATTCTGACTAGTTTTTATACGAAGATATTTCCTTTTCTGCCATTGACCTTAAAGCGCTTGAAATCTACACTTGCAAATTGCACAAATAGAGTGTTTCAAATCTGCTCTGTCTAAGGGAACGTTCAACTCTGTGAGTTGAATGCACACAACACAAGGAAGTTACTGGGAATTCTTCTGTCTAGCCTTACAGGAAAAAAACCCGTTTCCAACGAAGGCCTCTAAGTGGTCAAAATATCCACGTGCAGACTTTACAAACAGAGTGTTTCCAAACTGCTGAATGAAAAGAAAAGTTAAACTCTGAGAGTTGAACGCACACATCGCAGAGCAGTTTCTGAGAATCATTCTGTCTAGTTTTTATACGAAGATATTTCCTTTTCTGCCTTTGGCCCCAAAGCGCTTGAAATCACCACTTGCAAATTCCACAAAAACAGTGTTTCAAATCTGCTCTCTCTAAATGAAAGTTCAACTCTGTCAGTTGAATACACACAACACAAGGAAGTTACTGAGAATTCTTCTGTCTAGCAGAATATGAAGAAATCCCGTTTCCAACGAAGGCCTCAAAGAGGTCTGAATATCCACTTGCAGACTTTACAAACAGAGTGTTTCCTAACTGCTCTATGAAAAGAAATGTTAAACTCTGTGAGTTGAACGCACACATCACAAAGGATTTTCTGAGAATCATTCTGTCTAGTTTCTATAGGAAGATATTTCCTATTCTACCATTGACCTCAAAGCGGCTGAAATCTCCACTTGCAAATTCCACAAAAAGAGTGTTTCAAGTCTGCTCTGTGTAAAGGATCGTTCAACTCTGTGAGTTGAATACACACAACACAAGGTAAGTTACTGAGAATTATTCTGTCTAGCAGAATATGAAGAAATCCCGTTTCCAACGAAGGCCACAAGATGTCAGAATACCCACTTACAGACTTTACAAACAGAGTGTTTCCTAACTGCTCTATGAACAGAAAGGTTAAACTCTGTGAGTTGAACGAACACATCACAACGCAGTTTGTGGGAATGATTCTGTGTAGTTTTGAAACGAAGATATTTCCTTTTCTGCCATTGACCACAAAGCGCTTGAAATCTCCACTTGCCAATTGCACAAAAAGAGTGTTTCAAATCTGCTCTGTCTAAGGGAACGTTCAACTCTGTGAGTTGAATGTACACAACACAAGGAAGTTACTGGGAATTCTTCTGTCTAGCCTTACATGAAAAAATCCCGTTTCCAACGAAGGCCTCTAAGTGGTCAAAATTTCCACGTGCAGACTTTACAAACAGAGTGTTTCCAAACCGCTGAATGAAAAGAAAAGTTAAACTCTGAGAGTTGAACGCACACATCACGCAGCAGTTTCTGAGAATGATTCTGTCTAGTTTTTATACGAAGATATTTCCTTTTCTGCCTTTGGCCTCAAAGCGCTTGAAATCTCCACTTGCAAATTCCACAAAAAGAGTGTTTCAAATCTGCTCTTTGTAAATCAAAGTTCAACTCTGTGAGTTGAACACACACAACACAAGGAAGTTACTGGGAATTCTTCTGTCTAGCATAATATGAAGAAATCCTGTTTCCAACGAAGGCCTCAAGGAGGTCTGAATATCCACTTGCAGACTTTACAAACAGAGTGTTTCCTAACTGCTCTATGAACAGAAAGGTTAAACTCTGTGAGTTGAACGCACACATCACAAAGGAGTTTCTGAGAATCATTCTGTCTAGTTTCTATAGGAAGATATTTCCTATTCTACCATTGACCTCAAAGCGGCTGAAATCTCCACTTGCAAATTCCACAAAAAGAGTGTTTCAAGTCTGCTCTCTGTAAAAGATCGTTCAACTCTGTGAGTTGAATACACACAACGCAAGGAAGTTACTGAGAATTCTTCTGTCTAGCACAGTATGAAGAAATCCCGTTTCCAACGAAGGCCTCAAAGAGGTCTGAATAACCACTTGCAGAGTTTACAAAAACAGTGTTTCCTAACTGCTCTATGAAAAGAAAGGTTAAACTCTGTGAGTTGAACGCACACATCACAATGAAGTTTCTGAGAATCATTCTGTCTAGTTTTGAAACGAAGATATTTCCTTTTCTGCCATTGACTTTAAAGCGCTTGAAATCTCCACTTGCCAATTGCACAAAAAGAGTATTTCAAATCTGCTCTCTCTAAGGGAACGTTCAACTCTGTGAGTTGAATGTACACAACACAAGGAAGTTACTGGGAATTCTTCTGTCTAGCCTTACATGAAAAAAACCCGTTTCCAACGCAGGCCTCTAAGTGGTCAAAATATCCACGTGCAGACTTTACAAACAGAGTGTTTCCAAACTGCTGAAAGAAAAGAAAAGTTAAACTCTGAGAGTTGAACGCACACATCACAGAGCAGTTTCTGAGAATGATTCTGTCTAGTTTTTATAGGAAGATATTTCCTATTCTACCATTGACCTCAAAGCGGCAGAAATCTCCACTTGCAAATTCCACAAAAAGAGTGTTTCAAGTCTGCTCTGTGTAAAGGATCGTTCAACTCTGTCAGTTGAATACACACAACACAAGGAAGTTACTGAGAATTCTTCTGTCTAGCAGAATATGAAGAAATCCCGTTTCCAACGAAAGCCTCAAAGATGTCTGAATATCCACTTGCAGAATTTACAAACAGAGTGTTTCCTAACTGCTCTATGAAAAGAAAGGTTAAACTCTGTGAGTTGAACGCACACATCACAAAGGAGTTTCTGAGAATCATTCTGTCTAGTTTCTATAGGAAGATATTTCCTATTCTACCATTGACCTCAAAGCGGCTGAAATCTCCACTTGCAAATTCCACAAAAAGAGTGTTTCAAGTCTGCTCTGTGTAAAGGATCGTTCAACTCTGTGAGTTGAATACACACAACACAGGGAAGTTACTGAGAATTCTTCGGTCTAGCAGAATATGAAGAAATCCCGTTTCCAACGAAGGCCTCAAGGAGGTCTGAATATCCACTTGCAGACTTTACAAACAGAGTGTTTCCTAACTGTTGTATGAACAGAAAGGTTAAACTCTGTGAGTTGAACGAACACATCACAACGCAGTTTGTGGGAATGATTCTGTCTAGTTTTGAAACGAAGATATTCCCTTTTCTGCCGTTGACCTTAAAGCGCTTGAAATCTACACTTGCAAATTGCACAAATAGAGTGTTTCAAATCTGCTCTGTCTAAGGGAACGTTCAACTCTGTGAGTTGAATGCACACAACACAAGGAAGTTACTGGGAATTCTTCTGTCTACCCTTACATGAAAAAAACCCGTTTCCAACGAAGGCCTCTAAGTGGTCAAAATATCCACGTGCAGACTTTACAAACAGAGTGTTTCCAAACTGCTGAATGAAAAGAAAAGTTAAACTCTGAGAGTTGAACGTACACATCACAGAGCATTTTCTGAGAATGATTCTGTCTAGTTTTTATACGAAGATATTTCCTTTTCTGCCTTTGGCCTCAAAGCGCTTGAAATCTCCACTTGCAAATTCCACAAAAAGAGTGTTTCGAATCTGCTCTGTGTAAATCAAAGTTCAACTCTGTGAGTTGAACACACACAACACAAGGAAGTTACTGGGAATTCTTCTGTCTATCAGAATATGAAGAAATCCCGTTTCCAAAGAAGGCCTCAAGGAGGTCTGAATATCCACTTGCAGACTTTACAAACAGAGTGTTTCCTAACTGCTCTATGAAAAGAAAGGTTAAACTCTGTGAGTTGAATGCACACATCACAAAGGAGTTTATGAGAATCACTCTGTCTAGTTTCTATAGGAAGATATTTCCTATTCTACCATTGACCTCAAAGCGGCAGAAATCTCCACTTGCAAATTCCACAAAAAGAGTGTTTCAAGTCTGCTCTGTGTAAAGGATCGTTCAACTCTGTGAGTTGAATAAACACAACACAAGGAAGTTACTGAGAATTCTTCTGTCTAGCAGAATATGAAGAAATCCCTTTTCCAACGAAGGCCACAAGATGTCAGAATATCCACTTACAGACTTTACAAACACAGTGTTTCCTAACTGCTCTATGAACAGAAAGGTTAAACTCTGTGAGTTGAACGAACACATCACAACGCAGTTTGTGGGAATGATTCTGTCTAGTTTTGAAACGAAGATATTTCCTTTTCTGCCATTGAACATAAAGCGCTTGAAATCTACACTTGCAAATTGCACAAATAGAGTGTTTCAAATCTGCTCTGTCTAAGGGAACGTTCAACTCTGTGAGTTGAATACACACAACACAAGGAAGTTACTGGGAATTCTTCTCTCTAGCCTTACATGAAAAAAACCCGTTTCCAACGAAGGCCTCTAAGTGGTCAAATTATCCACGTGCAGACTTTACAAACAGAGTGTTTCCAAACTGCTGAATGAAAAGAAAAGTTAAACTCTGAGAGTTGAACGCACACATCACAGAGCAGTTTCTGAGAATGATTCTGTCTAGTTTTTATACGAAGATATTTCCTTTTCTGCCTTTGGCCACAAAGCGCTTGAAATCTCCACTTGCAAATTCCACAAAAAGAGTGTTTCAAATCTGCTCTGTGTAAATCAAAGTTCAACTCTGTGAGTTGAACACACACAACACAAGGAAAGTTACTGGGAATTCTTCTGTCTAGCATAATATGAAGAAATCCCGTTTCCAACGAAGGCCTCAAAGGGGTCTGAATATCCACATGCAGACTGTATAAACAGAGTGTTTACTAACTTCTCTATGAAAAGAAAAGTTAAACTCTGTGTGTTGAACGCACACATCACAAAGGAGTTTCTGAGAATCATTCTGTCTAGCCTTTATACGAAGATATTTCCTTTTCTACCATTGACCTCAAAGCGGCTGAAATCTCCACTTGCAAATTCCACAAAAAGAGTGTTTCAAGTCTGCTCTCTGTAAAGGATCCTTCAACTCTGTGAGTTGAATACACACAACACAAGGAAGTTACTGAGAATTCTTCTGTCTAGCAGAATATGAAGAAATCCCGTTTCCAACGAAGACCACAAGATGTCAGAATATCCACTTACAGAATTGACAAACAGACTGTTTCCTAACTGCTCTATGAAAAGAAAGGTTAAACTCTGTGAGTTGAACGAACACATCACAACGCAGTTTGTGGGAATGATTCTGTCTAGTTTTGAAACGAAGATATTTCCTTTTCTGCCATTGACCTTAAAGCGCTTGAAATCTACACTTGCAAATTGCACAAATAGAGTGTTTCAAATCTGCTCTGTCTAAGAGAACGTTCAACTCTGTGAGTTGAATGCACCCCACACAAGGAAGTTACTGGGAATTCTTCTGTCTAGCCTTACATGAAAAAAAACCCGTTTCCAATGAAGGCCTCTAAGTGGTCAAAATATCCACGTGCAGACTTTACAAACAGAGTGTTTCCAAACCGATGAATGAAAAGAAAAGTTAAACTCTGAGAGTTGAACGCACACATCACGCAGCAGTTTCTGAGAATGATTCTGTCTAGTTTTTATACGAAGATATTTCCTTTTCTGTCTTTGGCCTCAAAGCGCTTGAAATCTCCTCTTGCAAATTCCACAAAAAGAGTGTTTCAAATCTGCTCTGTGTAAATGAAAGTTCAACTCTGTGAGTTGAACACACACAACACAAGGAAAGTTACTGGGAATTCTTCTGTCTACCTGAACATGAAGAAATCCCGCTTCCAACGAAGGCCTCAAGGAGGTCTGAATATCCACTTGCAGACTTTACAAACAGAGTGTTTCTAACTGCTCTATGAAAAGAAAGGTTAAACTCTGTGAGTTGAACGCACACATCACAAAGGAGTTTCTGAGAATCATTCTGTCTAGTTTTTATAGGAAGATATTTCCTTTTCTACCATTGACCTCAAAGCGGCTGAAATCTCCACTTGCAAATTCCACAAAAAGAGTGTTTCAAGTCTGCTCTGTGTAAAGGATCGTTCAACTGTGTGAGTTGAATACACACAACACGCGGAAGTTACTGAGAATTCTTCTGTCTAGCAGAATATGAAGAAATCCCGTTTCCAACGAAGGCCACAAGATGTCAGAATATCCACTTACAGACTTTACAAACAGAGTGTTTCCTAACTGCTCTATGAAAAGAAAGGTTAAACTCTGTGAGTTGAACGCACACATTACAACGCAGTTTGTGGGAATGATTCTGTCTAGTTTTGAAACGAAGATATTTCCTTTTCTGCCATTGACCTTAAAGCGCTTGAAATCTACACTTGCAAATTGCACAAATAGAGTGTTTCAAATCTGCTCTGTCTAAGGGAACGTTCAACTCTGTGAGTTGAATGCACACAACACAAGGAAGTTACTGGGAACTCTTCTGTCTAGCCTTACAGGAAAAAAACCCGTTTCCAACGAAGGCCTCTAAGTGGTCAAGTTATCCACATGCAGACTTTACAAACAGAGTGTTTCCAAACTGCTGAATGAAAAGAAAAGTTAAACTCTGAGAGTTGAACGCACACATCGCAGAGCAGTTTCTGAGAATGATTCTGTCTAGTTTTTATACGAAGATATTTCCTTTTCTGCCTTTGGCCTCAAAGCGCTTGAAATCTCCATTTGCAAATTCCACAAAAAGAGTGTTTCAAATCTGCTCTGTGTAAATGAAAGTTCAACTCTGTGAGTTGAACACACACAACACAAGGAAGTTACCGGGAATTCTTCTCTGTAGCAGAATATGAAGAAATCCCGTTTCCAACGAAGGCCTCAAGGAGGTCTGAATATCCACTTGCAGACGTTACAAACAGAGTGTTTCCTAACTGCTCTATGAAAAGAAAGGTTAAACTCTGTGAGTTGAACGCACACATCACAAAGGAGTTTCTGAGAATCATTCTGTCTAGTTTCTATAGGGAAGATATTTCCTATTCTACCATTGAACTCAAAGCGGCTGAAATCTCCACTTGCAAATTCCACAAAAAGAGTGTTTCAAGTCTGCTCTGTGTAAAGGATCGTTCAACTCTGTGAGTTGAATACACACAACACAAGGAAGTTACTGAGAATTCTTCTGTCTAGCCTTATATGAAAAAAACCCGTTTCCAGCGAAGGCCTCAAAGAGGGCTGAATATCCACTTGCAGACTTTACAAGCAGAGTGTTTCCTAACTGCTCTATGAAAAGAAAGGTTAAACTCTGTGAGTTGAACGCACACATCACAAAGGAGTTTCTGAGAATCATTCTGTGTAGTTTTTATAGGAAGATATTTCCTTTTCTACCTTTGACTTCAAAGCGGCTGAAATCTCCACTTGCAAATTCCACAAAAAGAGTTTTACAAGTCTGCTCTGTGTAAAGGATCGTTCAACTCTGTGAGTTGAATACACACCACACAAGGAAGTTACTGAGAATTCTTCTGTCCAGCCTTACATGAAAAAAACCCGTTTCCAACGAAGGCCTCTAAGTGGTCAAATTATCCACGTGCAGACTTTACAAACAGAGTGTTTCCAAACTGCTGAATGAAAAGCAAAGTTAAACTCTGAGAGTTGAACACACACATCGCACAGCAGTTTCTGAGAATGATTATCTGTCTAGCTTTTTATACGAAGATATTTCCTTTTCTGCCTTTGGCCTCAAAGCGCTTGAAATCTCCATTTGCAAATTCCACAAAAAGAGTGTTTCAAATCTGCTCTGTGTAAATGAAAGTTCAACTCTGTGAGTTGAACACACACAACACAAGGAAGTTACTGGGAATTCTTCTGTCTAGCCTTACATGAAAAAAACCCGTTTCCAACGAAGACCTCTAAGTGGTCAAATTATCCACGTGCAGACTTTACAAACAGAGTGTTTCCAAACTGCTGAATGAAAAGATAAGTTAAACTCTGAGAGTTGAACGCACACATCGCAGAGCAGTTTCTGAGAATGATTCTGTCTAGTTTTTATACGAAGATATTTCCTTTTCTGCCTTTGGCCTCAAAGCGCTTGAAATCTCCACTTGCGAATTCCACAAAAAGAGTGTTTCAAATCTGCTCTGTGTAAATGAAAGTTCAACTCTGTGAGTTGAACACACACAACACAAGGAAGTTACTGGGAATTCTTCTGTCTAGCAGAATAAGAAGAAATCCCGTTTCCAACGAAGGCCTCAAGGAGGTCTGAATATCCACTTGCAGACTTTACAAACAGAGTGTTTCCTAACTGCTCTATGAAAAGAAAGGTGAAACTCTGTGAGTTGAATGCACACATCAGAAAGGAGTTTATGAGAATCATTCTGTCTAGTTTTTCTACGAAGATATTTCCTTTTCTACTATTGACCTCAAAGCGGCTGAAATCTCCACTTGCAAATTCTACAAATAGAGTGTTTCAAGTCTGCTCTGTGTAAAGGATCGTTCAACTCTGTGTGTTGAATACACACAACACAAGGAAGTTACTGAGAATTATTCTCTCTAGCCTTATATGAAAAAAACCCGTTTCCAACGAAGGCCTCAAAGAGGTCTGAATATCCACTTGCAGACTTTACAAACAGAGTGTTTCCTAACTGCTCTATGAAAAGAAATGTTAAACTCTGTGAGTTGAACACACACATCACAAAGGAGTTTCTGAGAATCATTCTGTCTACTTTCTATAGGAAGATATTTCCTATTCTACCATTGACCTCAAAGCGGCTGAAATCTCCACTTGCAAATTCCACAAAAGGAGTGTTTCAAGTCTGCTCTGTGTAAAGGATCGTTCAACTCTGTGAGTTGAAAACACACAACACAAGGAAGTTACTGAGAATTCTTCTGTCTAGCAGAATATGAAGAAATCCCGTTTCCAACGAAGGCCACAAGATGTCATAATATCCACTTACAGAATTTACAAACAGACTGTTTCCTAACTGCTCTATGAAAAGAAAGGTTAAACTCTGTGAGTTGAACGAACACATCACAACGCAGTTTGTGGGAATGATTCTGTCTAGTTTTGAAACGAAGATATTTCCTTTTCTGCCATTGACCTTAAAGCGCTTGAAATCTCCACTTGCCAATTGCACAAAAAGAGTGTTTCACATCTGCTCTGTCTAAGGGAACGTTCAACTCTGTGAGTTGAATGTACTCAACACAAGGAAGTTACTGGGAATTCTACTGTCTAGCCTTACAGGAAAAAAACCCGTTTCCAACGAAGGCCTCTAAGTGGTCAAAATATCCACGTGCAGACTTTACAAACAGAGTGTTTCCAAACTGCTGAATGAAAAGAAAAGTTAAACTCTGAGAGTTGAACGCACACATCGCAGAGCAGTTTCTGAGAATGATTCTGTCTAGTTTCTATAGGAAGATATTTCCTATTCTACCATTGACCTCAAAGCGGCTGAAATCTCCACTTGCAAATTCCACAAGAAGAGTGTTTCAAGTCTGCTCTGTGTAAAGGATCGTTCAACTCTGTGAGTTGAATACACACAATACAAGGAAGTTACTGAGAATTCTTCTGTCTAGCATAATATGAAGAAATCCCGTTTCCAACGAAGGCCTCAAGGAGGTCTGAATATCCACTTGCAGACTTTACAAACAGAGTGTTTCCTAACTGCTCTATGAAAAGAAAGGTTAAAGTCTGTGAGTTGAACGCACACATCACAAAGGAGTTTCTGACAATCATTCTGTCTAGTTTCTATAGGAAGATATTCCCTATTCTACCATTGACCTCAAAGCGGCTGAAATCTCCACTTGCAAATTCCACAAAAAGAGTGTTTCAAGTCTGCTCTGTGTAAAGGATCGTTGAACTCTGTGAGTTGAATACACACAACACAAGGAAGTTACTGAGAATTCTTCTGTCTAGCACAGTATGAAGAAATCCCGTTTCCAACGAAGGCCTCAAAGAGGTCTGAATATCCACTTGCAGACTTTACAAACAGAGTGTTTCCTAACTGCTCTATGAAAAGAAATGTTAAACTCTGTGAGTTGAACGCACACGTCACAATGAAGTTTCTGAGAATCATTCTGTCTAGTTTTTATACGAAGATATTTCCTTTTCTACCATTGACCTCAAAGCGGCTGAAATCACCACTTGCCAATTGCACAAAAAGAGTGTTTCAAATCTGCTCTGTCTAAGGGAACGTTCAACTCTGTGAGTTGAATGTACACAACACAAGGAAGTTACTGGGAATTCTTCTGTCTAGCCTTACATGAAAAAAACCCGTTTCCAACGAAGGCCTCTAAGGGGTCAAAATATCCACGTGCAGTCTTTACAAACAGAGTGTTTCCAAACCGCTGAATGAAAAGAAAAGTTAAACTCTGAGAGTTGAACGCACACATCACGCAGCAGTTTCTGAGAATGATTCTGTCTAGTTTTTATACGAAGATATTTCCTTTTCTGCCTTTGGCCCCAAAGCGCTTGAAATCTCCACTTGCAAATTCCACAAAAACAGTGTTTCAAATCTGCTCTCTCTAAATGAAAGTTCAACTCTGTCAGTTGAATACACACAGCACAAGGAAGTTACTGAGAATTCTTCTGTCTAGCAGAATATGAAGAAATCCCGCTTCCAACGAAGGCCTCAAAGAAGTCTGAATATCCACTTGCAGACTATACAAACAGAGTGTTTCCCAACTGCTCTATGAAAAGAAAGGTTGAACTCTGTGAGTTGAACGCACACATCACAAAGGAGTTTCTGAGAATCATTCTGTCTAGTTTCTATACGAAGATATTTCATTTTCTACCATTAACCTCAATGAGGCTGAAATCTCCCCTTGCAAATTCCACAAAAAGAGTGTTTCAAGTCTGCCCTGTGTAAAGGATCGTTCAACTCTGTGAGTTGAATGCACACAACACAAGGAAGTTACTGAGAATTCTTTTGTCTAGCAGAATATGAAGAAATCCCGTTTCCAACGAAGGCCTCAAAGAGGTCTGAATATCCACTTGCAGACTTTACAAACAGAGTGTTTCCTAACTGCTCTATGAAAAGAAAGGTTAAACTCTGTGAGTTGAACGCACACATCACAAAGGAGTTTATGAGAATCATTCTGTCTAGTTTTGAAACCAAGATATTTCCTTTTCTGCCGTTGACCTAAAAGAGCTTGAAAACTACACTTGCAAATTGCACAAATAGAGTGTTTCAAATCTGCTCTGTCTAGGGGAACGTTCAACTCTGTGAGTTGAATGCACACAACACAAGGAAGTTACTGGGAATTCTTCTGTCTAGCCTTACATGAAAAAAACCCGTTTCCAATGAAGGCCTCTAAGTGGTCAAATTATCCACGTGCAGACTTTACAAACAGAGTGTTTCCAAACTGCTGAATGAAAAGAAAAGTTAAACTCTGAGAGTTGAACGCACACATCACAGAGCAGTTTCTGAGAATGATTCTGTCTAGTTTTTATACGAAGATATTTCCTTTTCTGCCTTTGGCCTCAACGCGCTTGAAATGTCCACTTGCAAATTCCACAAAAAGAGTGTTTCAAATCTGCTCTGTCTAAATGAAAGTTCAACTCTGTCAGTTGAATACACACAACACAAGGAGGTTACTGAGGATTCTTCTTGTCTAGCATAGTATGAAGAAATCCCGTTTCCAACGAAGGCCTCAAAGAGGTCTGAATATCCACTTGCAGAGTTTACAAACAGAGTGTTTCCTAACTGCTCTATGAAAAGAAAGGTTAAACTCTGTGAGTTGAACGCACACATCACAAAGAAGTTTCTGAGAATCATTCTGTCTAGTTTCTATAGGAAGATATTTCCTATTCTACCATTGACCTCAAAGCGGCTGAAATCTCCACTTGCAAATTCCACAAAAAGAGTGTTTCAAGACTGCTCTGTGTAAAGGATCGTTCAACTCTGTGAGTTGAATACACACAACACAAGGAAGTTACTGAGAATTCTTCTGTCTAGCAGAATATGAACAAATCCCGTTTCCAACGAAGGCCACAAGATGTCAGAATATCCACTTACAGAATTTAAAAACAGACTGTTTCCTAACTGCTCTATGAAAAGAAAGGTTAAACTCTGTGAGTTGAACGAACACATCACAACGCAGTTTGTGGGAATGATTCTGTCTAGTTTTGAAACTAAGATATTTCCTTTTCTGCCATTGACCTTAAAGCGCTTGACATCTCCACTTGCAAATTCCACAAAAAGAGTGTTTCAAATCTGCTCTGTGTAAATGAAAGTTCAACTCTGTGAGTTGAACACACACAACACAAGGAAGTTACTGGGAATTCTTCTGTCTAGCCTTACAGGAAAAAAACCCGTTTCCAACGAAGGCCTCTAAGTGGTCAAAATATCCACGTGCAGACTTTACAAACAGAGTGTTTCCAAACTGCTGAATGAAAAGAAAAGTTAAACTCTGAGAGTTGAACTCACACATCGCAGAGCAGTTTCTGAGAATGATTCTGTCTAGTTTTGAAACGAAGATATTTCCTTTTCTGCCTTTGGCCTCAAAGCGCTTGAAATCTCCACTTGCAAATTCCACAAAAAGAGTGTTTCAAATCTGCTCTGTGTAAATGAAAGTTCAACTCTGTGAGTTGAACACACACAACACAAGGAAGTTAGTGGGAATTCTTCTGTCTAGCAGAATATGAAGAAACCCCGTTTCCAACGAAGGCCTCAAAGGGGTCTGAATATCCACTTGCAGACTTTATAAACAGAGTGTTTACTAACTGCTCTATGAAAAGAAAGGTTAAACTCTGTGAGTTGAACACACACATCACAAAGGAGTTTCTGAGAATCATTCTGTCTAGTTTTTATACGAAGATATTTCCTTTTCTACCGTTGACCTCAAAGCGGCTGAAATCTCCACTTGCAAATTCCAATAAAAAGAGTGTTTCTAATCTGCTCTGTGTGAAGGATCGTTCAACTCTGTGAGTTGAATGCACACAACACAAGGAAGTTACTGGGAATTCTTCTGTCTAGGAGAATATGAAGAAATCCCGTTTCCAACGAAGGCCACAAGATGTCAGAATATCCACTTACAGAATTGACAAACAGACTGTTTCCTAACTGCTCTATGAAAAGAAAGGTTAAACTCTGTGACTTGAACGAACACATCACAACGCAGTTTGTGGGAATGATTCTGTCTAGTTTTGAAACGAAGATATTTCCTTTTCTGCCGTTGACCTTAAAGAGCTTGAAAACTACACTTGCAAATTGCACAAATAGAGTGTTTCAAATCTGCTCTGTCTAAGGGAACGTTCAACTCTGTGAGTTGAATGCACACAACACAAGGAAGTCACTGGGAATTCTTCTGTCTAGCCTTACATGAAAAAAACCCGTTTCCAACGAAGGCCTCTAAGTGGTCAAAATATCCACGTGCAGACTTTACAAACAGAGTGTTTCCAAACTGCTGAATGAAAAGAAATGTTAAACTCTGAGAGTTGAACGCACACATCACAGAGCAGTTTCTGAGAATGATTCTGTCTAGTTTTTATACGAAGATATTTCCTTTTCTGCCTTTGGCCCCAAAGCGCTTGAAATCTCCACTTGCAAATTCCACAAAAACAGTGTTACAAATCTGCTCTCTCTAAATGAAAGTTCAACTCTGTCAGTTGAATACACACAACACAAGGAAGTTACTGAGAATTCTTCTGTCTAGCAAAATATGAAGAAATCCCGTTTCCAACGAAGGCCTCCAAGGGGTCTGAATATCCACTTGCAGACTTTATAAACAGAGTGTTTACTAACTGCTCTATGAAAAGAAAGGTTAAACTCTGTGAGTTGAACACACACATCACAAAGGAGTTTCTGAGAATCATTCTGTCTAGTTTCTATGGGAAGATATTTCCTATTCTACCATTGACCTCAAAGCGGCTGAAATCTCCACTTGCAAATTCCACAAAAAGAGTGTTTCAAGTCTGCTCTCTGTAAAGGATCGTTCAACTCTGTGAGTTGAATACACACAACACAGGGGAAGTTACTGAGAATTCTTCTGTCTACCAGAATATGAAGAAATCCCGTTTCCAACGAAGGTCTCAAAGAGGTCTGAATTTCCACTTGCAGACTTTACAAACAGAGTGTTTCCTAACTGCTCTATGAAAAGAAAGGTTAAACTCTGTGAGTTGAACGCACACATCACAAAGGAGTTTCTGAGAATCATTCTGTCTAGTTTCTATACGAAGATATTTCCTTTTCTACCATTGACCTCAAAGCGGCTGAAATCTCCACTTGCAAATTCCACAAAAAGAGTGTTTCAAGTCCGCTCTGTGTAAAGGATTGTTCAACTCTGTGAGTTCAATACACACAACACAATGAAGTTTCTGAGAATTCTTCTGTCTAGCCTTACATGAAAAAAACCCGTTTCCAACGAAGGCCTCTAAGTGGTCAAATTATCCACGTGCAGACTTTACAAACAGAGTGTTTCCAAACTGCTGAATGAAAAGCAAAGTTAAACTCTGAGAGTTGAACGCACACATCGCAGAGCAGTTTCTGAGAATGATTCTGTCTAGTTTTTACACGAAGATATTTCCTTTTCTGCCTTTGGCCCCAAAGCGCTTGAAATCTCCACTTGCAAATTCCACAAAAACAGTGTTTCAAATCTGCTCTCTCTAAATGAAAGTTCAACTCTGTCAGTTGAATACACACAACACAAGGAAGTTACTGAGAATTCTTCTGTCTAGCATAAAATGAAGAAATCCCGTTTCCAACGAAGGCCTCAAAGGGGTCTGAATATCCACTTGCAGACTTTATAAACAGAGTGTTTACTAACTGCTCTATGAAAAGAAAGGTTAAACTCTGTGAGTTGAACACACACATCACAAAGGAGTTTCTGAGAATCATTCTGTCTAGTTTCTATAGGAAGATATTTCCTATTCTACCATTGAACTCAAAGCGGCTGAAATCTCCACTTGCAAATTCCACAAAAACAGTGTTTCAAGTCTGCTCTGTGTAAAGGATCGTTCAACTCTGTGAGTTGAATACACACAACACAAGGAAGTTACTGAGAATTCTTCTGTCTAGCAGAATATCAAGAAATCCCGTTTCCAACGAGGGCCACAAGATGTCAGAATATCCACTTACAGAATTTACAAACAGACTGTTTCTTAACTGCTCTATGAAAAGAAAGGTTAAACTCTGTGAGTTGAACGAACACCTCACAACGCAGTTTGTGGGAATGATTCTGTCTAGTTTTGAAACGAAGATATTTCCTTTTCTGCCGTTGACCTTAAAGCGCTTGAAATCTACACTTGCAAATTGGACAAATAGAGTGTTTCAAATCTGCTCTGTCTAAGGGAACGTTCAACTCTGTGAGTTGAATGCACACAACACAAGGAAGTTACTGGGAATTCTTCTGTCTAGCCTTACATGCAAAAAACCCGTTTCCAACGAAGGCCTCTAAGTGGTCAAAATATCCACGTGCAGACTTTACAAACAGAGTGTTTCCAAACCGCTGAATGAAAAGAAAAGCTAAACTCTGAGAGTTGAACGCACACATCACGCAGCAGTTTCTGAGAATGATTCTGTCTAGTTTTTATACGAAGATATTTCCTTTTCTGCCTTTGGCCTCAAAGCGCTTGAAATCTCCACTTGCAAATTCCACAAAAAGAGTGTTTCAAATCTGCTCTGTGTAAATGAAAGTTCAACTCTGTGAGTTGAACACACACATCACAAGGAAGTTACTGGGAATTCTTCTGTCTAGCATAATATGAAGAAATCCAGTTTCCAACGAAGGCCTCAAAGAGGTCTGAATATCCACTTGCAGACTTTACAAACAGAGTGTTTCCTAACTGCTCTATGAAAAGAAAGGTTAAACTCTGTGAGTTGAACGCACACATCACAAAGGAGTTTATGAGAATCATTCTGTCTAGTCTTTATACGAAGATAGTTTCCTTTTCTACCATTGACCTCAAAGCGGCTGAAATCTCCACTTGCAAATTCCACAAAAGGAGTGTTTCAAGTCTGCTCTGTGTAAAGGATCGTTCAACTCTGTGAGTTGAATACACACAACACAAGGAAGTTACTGAGAATTCTTCTGTCTAGCAGAATATGAAGAAATCCCGTTTCCAACGAAGGCCACAAGATGTCAGAATATCCACTTACAGACTTTACAAACAGAGTGTTTCCTAACTGCTCTATGAACAGAAAGGTTAAACTCTGTGAGTTGAACGAACACATCACAACGCAGTTTGTAGGAATGATTCTGTCTAGTTTTTATACGAAGATATTTCCTTTTCTACCATTGACCACAAAGCGGCTGAAATCACCACTTGCCAATTGCACAAAAAGAGTGTTTCAAATCTGCTCTGTCTAAGGGAACGTTCAACTCTGTGAGTTGAATGTACACAACACAAGGAAGTTACTGGGAATTCTTCTGTGTAGCCTTACATGAAAAAAACCCGTTTCCAACGAAGGCCTCTAAGTGGTCAAATTATCCACGTGCAGACTTTACAAACAGAGTGTTTCCAAACTGCTGAATGAAAAGAAAAGTTAAACTCTGAGAGTTGAACGCACACATCACAGAGCAGTTTCTGAGAATGATTCTGTCTAGTTTTTATACGAAGATATTTCCTTTTCTGCCTTTGGCCTCCAAGCGCTTGAAATCTCCATTTGCAAATTCCACAAAAAGAGTGCTTCAAATCTGCTCTGTGTAAATGAAAGTTCAACTCTGTGAGTTGAACACACACAACACAAGGAAGTTACTGGGAATTCTTCTGTCTAGCAGAATATGAAGAAATCCCGTTTCCAACGAAGGCCGCAAGGAGGTCTGAATATCCACTTGCAGACTTTACAAACAGAGTGTTTCCTACCAGCTCTATGAACAGAAAGGTTAAACTCTGTGAGTTGAACGCACACATCACAAAGGAGTTTATGAGAATCATTCTGTCTAGTTTTTATAGGAAGATATTTCCTTTTCTACCTTTGACTTCAAAGCGGCTGAAATCTCCACTTGCAAATTACACAAAAAGAGTGTTACAAGTCTGCTCTGTGTAAAGGATCGTTCAACTCTGTGAGTTGAATACACACAACACAAGGGAAGTTACTGAGAATTCTTCTGTCTAGCAGAATATGTAGAAATCCCGTTTCCAACGAAGGCCACAAGATGTAAGAATATCCACTTACAGAATTTACCAACAGAGTGTTTCCTAACTGCTCTATGAAAAGAAAGGTTAAACTCTGTGAGTTGAACGAACACATCACAACGCAGTTTGTGGGAATGATTCTGTCTAGTTTTGAAATGAAGATATTTCCTTTTCTGCCATTGACCTTAAAGCGCTTGAAATCTACACTTGCAAATTGCACAAATAGAGTGTTTCAAATCTGCTCTGTCTAAGGGAATGTTCAACTCTGTGAGTTGAATGCACACAACACAAGGAAGTTACTGGGAATTCTTCTGTCTACCCTTACATGAAAAAAACCCGTTTCCAACGAAGGCCTCTAAGTGGTCAAAATATCCACGTGCAGACTTTACAAACAGAGTGTTTCCAAACTGCTGAATGAAAAGAAAAGTTAAACTCTGAGAGTTGAACGCACACATCACAGAGCATTTTCTGAGAATGATTCTGTCTAGTTTCTATAAGAAGGTATTTCCTATTCTACCATTGACCTCAAAGCGGCTGAAATCTCCACTTGCAAATTCCACAAAAAGAGTGTTTCAAGCCTGCTCTCTGTAAAGGATCGTTCAACTCTGTGAGTTGAATACACACAACACAAGGAAGTTACTGAGAATTATTCTGTCTAGCATAATATGAAGAAATCCCGTTTCCAACGAAGGCCTCAAAGAGGTCTGAATATCCACTTGCACACTTTACAAACAGAGTGTTTCCTAACTGCTCTATGAGAAGAAAAGTTAAACTCTGTGAGTTGAACGCACACATCACAAAAGATTTTCTGAGAATCATTCTGTCTAGTTTTTATAGGAAGATATTTCCTTTTCTACCATTGACCTCAAAGCGGCTGAAATCTCCACTTGCAAATTCCATAAAAAGAGTGTTTCAAGTCTGCTCTGTGTAAAGGATCGTTCAACTCTGTGAGTTGAATACACACAACACAAGGAAGATTCTGAGAATTCTTCTGTCTAGCAGAATATGAGGAAATCCCGTTTCCAACGAAGGCCACAAGATGTCAGAATATCCACTTACAGACTTTACAAACAGAGTGTTTCCTAACTGCTCTATGAACAGAAAGGTTAAACTCTGTGAGTTCAACGAACACATCACAACGCCATTTGTGGGAATGATTCTGTCTAGTTTTGAAACGAAGATATTTCCTTTTCTGCCATTGACCTTAAAGCGCTTGAAATCTCCATTTGCAAATTCCACAAAAAGAGTGTTTCAAATCTGCTTTGTCTAAGGGAACGTTCAACTCTGTGAGTTGAATGTACACAACACAAGGATGTTACTGGGAATTCTTCTGTCTAGCCTTACATGAAAAAAACCCGTTTCCAACGAAGGCCTCTAAGTGGTCAAAATTTCCACGTGCAGACTTTACAAACAGAGTGTTTCCAAACCGCTGAATGAAAAGAAAAGTTAAACTCTGAGAATTGAACGCACACATCACGCAGCAGTTTCTGAGAATGATTCTGTCTAGTTTTTATACGAAGATATTTCCTTTTCTGCCTTTGGCCTCAAAGCGCTTGAAATCTCCACCTGCAAATTCCACAAAAAGAGTGTTTCAAATCTGCTCTGTGTAAATGAAAGTTCAACTACTGTGAGTTGAACACACACAACACAAGGAAGTTACTGGGAATTCTTCTGTCTAGCCTTATATGAAAAAAACCCGTTTCCAACGAAGGCCTCAAAGAGGTCTGAATACCCACTTGCAGACTTTACAAACAGAGTGTTTCCTAACTGCTCTATGAAAAGAAAGGTTAAACTCTGTGAGTTGAACACACACATCACAAAGGAGTTTCTGAGAATCATTCTGTCTATTCTTTATACGAAGATATTTCCTTTTCTACCATTGACCTCAAAGCGGCTGAAATCTCCACTTGCAAATTCCACAAAAAGAGTGTTTCAAGTCTGCTCTCTGTAAAGGATCGTTCAACTCTGTGAGTTGAATACACACAACACAAGGAAGTTACTGAGAATTCTTCTGTCTAGCAGAATATGAAGAAATCCCGTTTCCAACGAAGGCCACAAGATGTCAGAATATCCACTTACAGAATTTACAAACAGACTGTTTCCTAACTGCTCTATGAAAAGAAAGGTTAAACTCTGTGAGATGAACGAACACATCACAACGCAGTTTGTGGGAATGATTCTGTCTAGTTTTGAAACGAAGATATTTCCTTTTCTGCCATTGACCTTAAAGCGCTTGAAATCTACACTTGCAAATTGCACAAATAGAGTGTTTCAAATCTGCTCTGTCTAAGGGAACGTTCAACTCTGTGAGTGGAATGCACACAACACAAGGAAGTTACTGGGAATTCTTCTGTCTAGCCTTACATGAAAAAAACCCGTTTCCAACGAAGGCCTCTAAGTGGTCAAAATATCCACGTGCAGTCTTTACAAACAGAGTGTTTCCAAACCGCTGAATGCAAAGAAAAGTTAAACTCTGAGAGTTGAACGCACACATCACGCAGCAGTTTCTGAGAATGATTCTGTCTAGTTTTTATACGAAGATATTTCCTTTTCTGCCTTTGGCCCCAAAGCGCTTGAAATCTCCAATTGCAAATTCCACAAAAACAGTGTTTCAAATCTGCTCTCTCTAAATGAACGTTCAACTCTGTCAGTTGAATACACACAACACAAGGAAAGTTACTGAGAATTCTTCTATCTAGCATAATATGAAGAAATCCCGTTTCCAACGAAGGCCTCAAGGAGGTCTGAATATCCACTTGCAGACTTTACAAACAGAGTGTTTCCTAACTGCTCTATGAAAAGAAAGGTTAAACTCTGTGAGTTGAACGCAGACATCACAAAGGAGTTTCTGAGAATCATTCTGTCTAGTTTCTATAGGAAGATATTTCCTATTCTACCATTGACCTCAAAGCGGCTGAAATCTCCACTTGCAAATTCCACAAAAGGAATGTTTCAAGTCTGCTCTGTGTAAAGGATCGTTCAACTCTGTGAGTTGAAAACACACAACACAAGGAAGTTTCTGAGAATTCTTCTGTCTAGCAGAATATGAAGAAATCCCGTTTCCAACGAAGGCCATAAGATGTCAGAATATCCACTTACAGAATTGACAAACAGACTGTTTCCTAACTGCTCTATGAAAAGAAAGGTTAAACTCTGTGAGTTGAACGAACACATCACAACGCAGTTTGTGGGAATGATTCTGTCTAGTTTTGAAACGAAGATATTTCCTTTTCTGCCATTGACCTTAAAGCGCTTGAAATCTCCATTTGCCAATTGCAGAAAAAGAGTCTTTCAAATCTGCTCTGTCTAAGGGAACGTTCAACTCTGTGAGTTGAATGTACACAACACAAGGAAGTTACTGGGAATTCTTCTGTCTAGCCTTACAGGAAAAAATACTCGTTTCCAACGAAGGCCTCTAAGTGGTCAAAATATCCACGTGCAGACTTTACAAACAGAGTGTTTCCAAACTGCTGAATGAAAAGAAAAGTTAAACTCTGAGAGTTGAACGCACACATCGCAGAGCAGTTTCTGAGAATGATTCTGTCTAGTTTTTATACGAAGATATTTCCTTTTGTGCCTTTGGCCCCAAAGCGCTTGAAATCTCCAGTTGAAAATTCCACAAAAACAGTGTTTCAAATCTGCTCTCTCTAAAAGAAAGTTCAACTCTGTCAGTTGAATACACACAACACAAGGAAGTTACTGAGAATTCTTCTGTCTAGCATAATATGAAGAAATCCCGTTTCCAACGAAGGCCTCAAAGGGGTCTGAATATCCACTTGCAGACTATATAAACAGAGTGTTTCCTAACTGCTCTATGAAAAGAAAAGTTCAACTCTGTGATTTGAACGCACACATCACGAAGGAGTTTAGGAGAATAATTCTGTCTAGTTTTTCTACGAAGATATTTCCTTTTCTACTCTTGACCTCAAAGCGGCTGAAATCTCCACTTGCAAATTCCACAAAAAGAGTGTTTCAAGTCTGCTCTCTGTAAAGGATCGTTCAACTCTGTGAGTTGAATACACACAACACAAGGAAGTTACTGAGAATTCTTCTGTCTAGCAGAATGTGAAGAAATCCCGTTTCCAACGAAGGCCACAAGATGTCAGAATATCCACTTGCAGAGTTTACAAACAGAGTGTTTCCTAACTGCTCTATGAACAGAAAGGTTAAACTCTGTGAGTTGAACGAACACATCACAACGCAGTTTGTGGGAATGATTCTGTCTAGTTTTTATACGAAGATATTTCCTTTTCTACCATTGACCTCAAAGCGGCTGAAATCACCACTTGCCAATTGCACAAAAAGAGTGTTTCAAATCTGCTCTGTCTAAGGGAACGTTCAACTCTGTGAGTTGAATGTACACAACACAAGGAAGTTCCTGGGAATCCTTCTGTCTAGCCTTACATGAAAAAAACCCGTTTCCAACGAAGGCCTCTAAGTGGTCAAAATATCCACGTGCAGACTTTACAAACAGAGTGTTTCCAAACCGCTGAATGAAAAGAAAAGTTAAACTCTTGAGAGTTGAACGCACACATCACGCAGCAGTTTCTGAGAATGATTCTGTCTAGTTTTTATATGAAGATATTTCCTTTTCTACCATTGACCTCAAAGCGGCTGAAATGTCCACTTACAAATTCCACAAAAAGAGTGTCTCAAGTCTGCTCTGTGTAAACGAACGTTCAACTCTGTGAGTTGAATACACACAACACAAGGAAGTTTCTGAGAATTCTTCTGTATAGCAGAATATGAAGAAATCCCGTTTCCAACGAAAGCCTCAAAGATGTCTGAATATCCACTTGCAGACTTTACAAACAGAGTGTTTCCTAACTGCTCTATGAAAAGAAAGGTTAAACTCTGTGAGTTGAACGCCCACATCACAAAGGAGTTTCTGAGAATCATTCTGTCTAGTTTCTATAGGAAGATATTTCCTATTCTACCATTGAACTCAAAGCGGCTGAAATCTCCGCTTGCAAATTCCACAAAAAGAGTGTTTCAAGTCTGCTCTGTGTAAAGGATCAGTTCAACTCTGTGAGTTGAATACACACAACACAAGGAAGTTACTGAGAATTCTTCTGTCTAGCAGAATGTGAAGAAATCCCGTTTCCAACGAAGGCCACAAGATGTCAGAATATCCACTTACAGAATTTACAAACAGACTGTTTCCTAACTGCTCTATGAAAAGAAAGGTTAAACTCTGTGAGTTGAACGAACACATCACAACGCAGTTTGTGGGAATGATTCTGTCTAGTTTTGAAACGAAGATATTTCCTTTTCTGCCATTGACCTCAAAGCGCTTGAAATCTCCACTTGCCAATTGCACAAAAAGAGTGTTTCAAATCTGCTCTGTCTAAGGGAACGTTCAACTCTGTGAGTTGAATGTACACAACGCAAGGAAGTTACTGGGAATTCTTCTGTCTAGCCTTACATGAAAAAAACCCGTTTCCAACCGAGACCTCTAAGTAGTCAAAATATCCACGTGCAGACTTTACAAACAGAGTGTTTCCAAACTGCTGAATGGAAAGAAAAGTTAAACTCTGAGAGTTGAACGCACACATCACAGAGCGGTTTCTGAGAATGATTCTGTCTAGTTTTTATACGAAGATATTTCCTTTTCTACCATTGACCTCAACGCGGCTGAAATCTCCAATTGCAAATTCCACAAAAAGAGTGTTTCAAGTCCGCTCTGTGTAAAGGATCGTTCAACTCTGTGAGTTGAATACACGCAACACAAGGAAATTACTGAGAATTGTTCTGTCTAGCAGAATATGAAGAAATCCCGTTTCCAACGAAGGCCTCAAGGAGGTCTGAATATCCACTTGCAGACTTTTCAAACAGAGTTTTTCCTAACTGCTCTATGAAAAGAAAGGTTAAACTCTGTGAGTTGAACGCACACATCACAAAGGAGTTTATGAGAATCATTCTGTCTACTTTTTATACGAAGATATTTCCTTTTCTACCATTGACCTCAAAGCGGCTGAAATCTCCACTTGCAAATTCCACAAAAAGAGTGTTTCAACTCTGCTCTGTGTAAAGGATCGTTCAACTCTGTGAGTTGAATACACACAACACGCGGAAGTTACTGAGAATTCTTCTGTCTAGCAGAATATGAAGAAATCCCGTTTCCAACGAAGGCCACAAGATGTCAGAATATCCACTTACAGAATTGACAAACAGACTGTTTCCTAACTGCCCTATGAAAAGAAAGGTTAAACTCTGTGAGTTGAATGAACACATCACAACGCAGTTTGTGGGAATGATTCTGTCTTGTTTTTATAGGAAGATATTTCTTTTTCTACCTTTGACTTCGAAGCGGCTGAAATCTCCACTTGCAAATTCCACAAAAAGTGTGTTACAAGTCTGCTCTGTGTAAAGGATCGTTCAACTCTGTGAGTTGAATACACACAACACAAGGAAGTTACTGAGAATTCTTCTGTCTAGCCTTACATGAAAAAAACCCGTTTCCAACGAAGGCCTCTAAGTTGTCAAAATATCCACGTGCAGACTTTACAAACAGAGTGTTTCCAAACAGCTGAATGAAAAGAAAAGTTAAACTCTGAGAGTTGAACGCACACATCACGCAGCAGTTTCTGAGAATGATTCTGTCTAGTTTTTATACGAAGATATTTCCTTTTCTGCCTTTGGCCTCAAAGCGCTTGAAATCTCCATTTGCAAATTCCACAAAAAGAGTGTTTCAAATCTGCTCTGTGTAAATGAAAGTTCAACTCTGTGAATTGAACACACACAACACATGGAAGTTAGTGGGAACTCTTCCGACTAGCCTTACATGAAAAAAACCCGTTTCCAACGAAGGCCTCAAAGAAGTCCAAATATCCACGTGCAGACTTTACAAACAGAGTGTTTCCTAACGGCTCTATGAAAAGAAAGGTTAAACTCTGTGAGTTGAACGCCCACATCACAAAGGAGTTTCTGAGAATCATTCTGTCTATTCTTTATACGAAGATATTTCCTTTTCTACCATTGACCTCAAAGCGGCTGAAATCTCCACTTGAAAATTCCAAAAAAAGTGTGTTTCAAGTCTGCTCTGTGTAAAGGATCGTTCAACTCTGTGAGTTGAATACACACAACACAAGGAAGTTTCTGAGAATTCTTCTGTCTAGCAGAATATGAAGAAATCCCGTTTCCAACGAAGGCCACAAGATGTCAGAATATCCACTTACAGAATTTTCAAACAGACTGTTTCCTAACTGCTCTATGAAAAGAAAGGTTAAACTCTGTGAGTTGAACGAACACATCACAACGCAGTTTCTGGGAATGATTCTGTCTAGTTTTGAAACGAAGATATTTCCTTTTCTGCCATTGACCTCAACGCGCTTGAAATCTCCACTTGCCAATTGCACAAAAAGAGTGTTTCAAATCTGCTCTGTCTAAGGGAACGTTCAACTCTGTGAGTTGAATGTACACAACACAAGGAAGTTACTGGGAATTCTTCTGTCTAGCCTTACATGAAAAAAACCCGTTTCCAACGAAGGCCTCTAAGTGGTCAAAATGTCCACGTACAGACTTTACAAACAGAGTGTTTCCAAACCGCTGAATGAAAAGAAAAGTTAAACTCTGAGAGTTGAACGCACACATCACGCAGCAGTTTCTGAGAATGATTCTGTCTAGTTTTTATACGAAGATATTTCCTTTTCTGCCTTTGGCCCCAAAGCGCTTGAAATCCCCACTTGCAAATTCCACAGAAACAGTGTTTCAAACCTGCTCTCTCTAAATGAAAGTTCAACTCTGTCAGTTGAATACACACAACACAAGGAAGTTACTGAGAATTCTTCTGTCTAGCATAATATGAAGAAATCCCGTTTCCAAAGAAGGCCTCAAAGAGGTCTGAATATCCACTTGCAGACTTTACAAACAGAGTGTTTCCTAACTGCTCTATGAAAAGAAAAGTTAAACTCGGTGAGTTGAACGCACACATCACAAAGGATTTTCTGAGAATCATTCTGTCTAGTTTCTATAGGAAGATATATCCTATTCTACCATTGAACTCAAAGCGGCTGAAATCTCCACTTGCAAATTCCACAAAAAGAGTGTTTCAAGTCTGCTCTGTGTAAAGGATCGTTCAACTCTGTGAGTTGAATACACACAACACAAGGAAGTTACTGAGAATTCTTCTTTCTAGCAGAATATGAAGAAATCCCCTTTCCAACGAAAGCCTCAAGGATGTCTGAATATCCACTTGCAGACTTTACAAACAGAGTGTTTCCTAACTGCTCTATGAAAAGAAAGGTTAAACTCTGTGAGTTGAACGCACACATCACAAAGGAGTTTCTGAGAATCATTCAGTCTAGTCTTTATACGAAGATATTTCCTTTTCTACCATTGACCTCAAAGCGGCTGAAATCTCCACTTGCAAATTCCACAAAAAGAGTGTTTCAAGTCTGCTCTGTGTAAAGGATCTTTCAACTCTGTGAGTTGAATACACACAACACAAGGAAGTTACTGAGAATTCTTCTGTCTAGCAGAATATGAAGAAACCCCGTTTCCAACGAAGGCCACAAGATGTCAGAATATCCACTTACAGACTTTACAAACAGAGTGTTTCCTAACTGCTCTATGAACAGAAAGGTTAAACTCTGTGAGTTGAACGAACACATCACAACGCAGTTTGTGGGAATGATTCTGTCTAGTTTTGAAACGAAGATATTTCCTTTTCTGCCATTGAACTTAAAGCGCTTGAAATCTCCATTTGCCAATTGCACAAAAAGAGTGTTTCAAATCTGCTCTGTCTAAGGGAACGTTCAACTCTGTGAGTTGAATGTACACAACACAAGGAAGTTACTGGGAATTCTTCTGTCTAGCCTTACATGAAAAAAACCCGTTTCCAACGAAGGCCTCTAAGTGGTCAAAATATCCACGTGCAGACTTTACAAACAGAGTGTTTCCAAACCGGTGAATGAAAAGGAAAGTTAAACTCTGAGAGTTGAACACACACATCACGCAGCAGTTTCTGAGAATGATTCTGTCTAGTTTTGAAACGAAGATATTTCCTTTTCTGCCTTTGGCCTCAAAGCGCTTGAAATCTCCACTTGCAACTTCCACAAAAAGAGTGTTTCAAATCTGCTCTGTGTAAATGAAAGTTCAAATCTGTGAGTTGAACACACACAACACAAGGAAGTTACTGGGAATTCTTCTGTCTAGCAGAATATGAAGAAATCCCATTTCCAACCAAGGCCTCAAGGAGGTCTGAATATCCACTTGCAGACTTTACAAACAGAGTGTTTCCTAACTGCTCTATGAAAAGAAAGGTTAAACTCTGTGAGTTGAACGCACACATCACAAAGGAGTTTCTGAGAATCATTCTGTCTAGTCTTTATACGAAGATATTTCCTTTTCTACCATTGACCTCAAAGCGGCTGAAATCTCCACTTGCAAATTCCACAAAAAGAGTGTTTCAAGTCTGCTCTGTGTAAAGGATCGTTCAACCCTGTGAGTTGAATACACATAACACAAGGAAGTTACTGAGAATTCTTCTGTCTAGCAGAATATGAAGAAATCCCGTTTCCAACGAAGGCCACAAGATGTCAGAATATCCACTTACAGAATTGACAAACAGACTGTTTCCTAACTGCTCTATGAAAGAAAGGTTAAACTCTGTGAGTTGAACGAACACATCACAACGCAGTTTGTGGGAATGATTCTGTCTAGTTTTGAAACGAAGATATTTCCTTTTCTGCCATTGAACTTAAAGCGCTTGAAATCTCCATTTGCCAATTGCACAAAAAGAGTGTTTCAAATCTGCTCTGTCTAAGGGAACGTTCAACTCTGTGAGTTGAATGTACACAACACAAGGAAGTTACTGGGAATTCTTCTGTCTAACCTTACGTGAAAAAAACCCGTTTCCAACGAAGGCCTCTAAGTGGTCAAGTTATCCACGTGCAGACTTTACAAACAGAGTGTTTCCAAACTGCTGAATGAAAAGAAAAGTTAAACTCTGAGAGTTGAACGCACACATCGCAGAGCAGTTTCTGAGAATGATTCTGTCTAGTTTTGAAACGAAGATATTTCCTTTTCTGCCTTTGGCCTCAAAGCGCTTGAAATCTCCACTTGCAAATTCCACAAAAAGAGTGTTTCAAATCTGCTCTGTGTAAATGAAAGTTCAACTCTGTGAGTTGAACACACACAACACAAGGAAGTTACTGGGAATCCTTCTTTCTAGCAGAATATGAAGAAATCCCGTTTCCAACGAAAGCCTCAAGGAGGTCTGAATATCCACTTGCAGACTTTACAAACAGAGTGTTTCCCAACTGCTCTATGAAAAGAAAGGGTAAACTCGGTGAGTTGAACGCACACATCACAAAGGAGTTTCTGAGAATCATTCTGTCTAGTTTTTATAGGAAGTTATTTCCTTTTCTGCCTTTGACTTCAAAGTGGCTGAAATCTCCACTTGCAAATTCCACAAAAAGAGTGTTACAAGTCTGCTCTGTGTAAAGGATCGTTCAACTCTGTGAGTTGAATACACACAACACAAGGAAGTTACTGAGAATTCCTCTGTCTAGCAGAATATGAAGAAATCCCGCTTCCAACGAAGGCCTCAAAGAAGTCTGAATATCCACTTGCAGACTTTACAAACAGAGTGTTTCCCAACTGCTCTATGAAAAAAAAGGTTGAACTCTGTGAGTTGAACGCACACATCACAAAGGAGTTTCTGAGAATCATTCTGTCTAGTTTTGAAACGAAGATATTTCATTTTCTGCCATTGACCTTAAAGTGCTTGAAATCTCCATTTGCCAATTGCACAAAAAGAGTGTTTCAAATCTGCTCTGTCTAAGGGAACGTTCAACTCTGTGAGTTGAATGTACACAACACAAGGAAGTTACTGGGAATTCTTCTGTCTAACCTTACATGAAAAAAACCCGTTTCCAACGAAGGCCTCTAAGTGGTCAAAATTTCCACGTGCAGACTTTACAAACAGAGTGTTTCCAAACCGCTGAATGAAAAGAAAAGTTAAACTCTGAGAGTTGAACGCACACATCACGCAGCAGTTTCTGAGAATGATTCTGTCTAGTTTTTATACGAAGATATTTCCTTTTCTGCCTTTGGCCTCAAAGCGCTTGAAATCTCCACTTGCAAATTCCACAAAAAGTGTGTTTCAAATCTGCTCTGTGTAAATCAAAGTTCAACTCTGTGAGTTGAACACACACAACACAAGGAAGTTACTGGGAATTCTTCTGTATAGCAGAATTTGAAGAAATCCCGTTTCCAACGAAGGCCTCAAGGAGGTCTGAATATCCACTTGCAGACTTTACAAACAGAGTGTTTCCTAACTGCTCTATGAAAAGAAAGGTTAAACTCTGTGAGTTGAACGCAGACATCACAAAGGAGTTTCTGAGAATCACTCTGTCTAGTCTTTATACGAAGATATTTCCTTTTCTACCATTGACCTCAAAGCGGCTGAAATCTCCACTTGCAAATTCCACAAAAAGAGTGTTTCCAGTCTGCTCTGTGTAAAGGATCGTTCAACTCTGTGAGTTGAATACACACAACACAAGGAAGTTAGTGAGAATTCTTCTGTCTAGCAGAATATGAAGAAATCCCGTTTCCAACGAAGGCCACAAGGATGTCAGAATATCCACTTACAGACTTTACAAACAGAGTGTTTCCTAACTGCTCTATGAACAGAAAGGTTAAACTCTGTGAGTTGAACGAACACATCACAACGCAGTTTGTGGGAATGATTCTGTCTACTTTTGAAACGAAGATATTTCCTTTTCTGCCATTGACCTTAAAGCGCTTGAAATCTCCATTTGCCAATTGCACAAAAAGAGTGTTTCAAATCTGCTCTGTCTAAGGGAACGTTCAACTCTGTGAGTTGAATGTACACAACACAAGGAAGTTACTGGGAATTCTACTGTCTAGCCTTACAGGAAAAAAACCCGTTTCCAACGAAGGCCTCTAAGTGGTCAAAATATCCACGTGCAGACTTTACAAACAGAGTGTTTCCAAACTGCTGAATGAAAAGAAAAGTTAAACTCTTGAGAGTTGAACGCACACATCGCAGAGCAGTTTCTGAGAATGATTCTGTCTAGTTTTTATACGAAGATATTTCCTTTTCTGCCTTTGGCCTCAAAGCGCTTGAAATCTCAATTTGCAAATTCCACAAAAAGAGTGTTTCAAATCTGCTCTGTGTAAATGAAAGTTCAACTCTGTGAGTTGAACACACACAACACAAGGAAGTTACTGGGAATTCTTCTATCTAGCCTTATATGAAAAAAACCCGTTTCCAACGAAGGCCTCAAAGAGGTCTGAATATCCACTTGCAGACTTTACAAACAGAGTGTTTCCTAACTGCTCTATGAAAAGAAAGGTTAAACTCTGTGAGTTGAACGCACACATCACAAAGGAGTTTCTGAGAATCATTTCTGTCTAGTTTTTATAGGAAGATATTTCCTTTTCTACCTTTGACTTCAAAGCGGCTGAAATCTCCACTTGCAAATTCCACAAAAAGAGTGTTTCAAGTCCGCTCTGTGTAAAGGATCGTTCAACTCTGTGAGTTGAATACACACAACACAAGGAAGTTACTGAGAATTCTTCTGTCTAGCACAGTATGAAGAAATCCCGTTTCCAAAGAAGGCCTCAAAGAGGTCTGAATATCCAATTGCAGACTTTACAAACAGAGTGTTTCCTAACTGCTCTATGAGAAGAAAGGTTAAACTCTGTGAGTTGAACGCACACATCACAAAGAAGTTTCTGAGAATCATTCTGTCTAGTTTCTATAGGAAGATATTTCCTATTCTACCATTGACCTCAAAGCGGCAGAAATCTCCACTTGCAAATTCCACAAAAAGAGTGTTTCAAGACTGCTCTCCTCTAAAGGATCGTTCAACTCTATGAGTTGAATACACACAACACAAGGAAGTTACTGAGAATTCTTCTGTCTAGCAGAATATGAAGAAATCCCGTTTCCAAAGAAGTCCTGAAAGAGGTCTGAATATCCACTTGCAGACTTTACAAACAGAGTGTTTCCTAACTGCTCTATGAAAAGAAAGGTTAAACTCTGTGAGTTGAACGCACACATCACAAAGCAGTTTCTGAGAATCATTCTGTCTAGTCTTTATACGAACATAGTTTCCTTTTCTACCATTGACCTCAAAGCGGCTGAAATCTCCACTTGCAAATTCCACAAAAAGAGTGTTTCAAGTCTGCTCTCTGTAAAGGATCGTTCAACTCTGTGAGTTGAATACACACAACACAAGGAAGTTACTGAGAATTCTTCTGTCTATCAGAATATGAAGAAATCCCGTTTCCAAAGAAGGCCTCAAGGAGGTCTGAATATCCACTTGCAGACTTTACAAACAGAGTGTTTCCTAACTGCTCTATGAAAAGAAAGGTTAAACTCTGTGAGTTGAACGCACACATCACAAAGGAGTTTATGAGAATCATTCTGTCTAGTTTCAATAGGAAGATATTTCCTATTCTACCGTTGACCTCAAAGCGGCTGAAATCTCCACTTACAAATTCCACAAAAAGAGTGTTTCAAGTCTGCTCTCTGTAAAGGATCGTTCAACTCTGTGAGTTGAATACACACAAAACAAGGAAGTTACTGAGAATTCTTCTGTCTACCAGAATATGAAGAAATCCCGTTTCCAACGAAGGCCACAAGATGTCAGAATATCCACTTACAGACTTTACAAACAGAGTGTTTCCTAACTGCTCTATGAACAGAAAGGTTAAACTCTGTGAGTTGAACGAACACATCACAACGCAGTTTGTGGGAATGATTCTGTCTAGTTTTGAAACGAAGATATTTCCTTTTCTGCCATTGACCTTAAAGCGCTTGAAATCTACACTTGCAAATGGCACAAATAGAGTGTTTCAAATCTGCTCTGTCTAAGGGATCTTTCATCTCTGTGAGTTGAATGCACACAACACAAGGAAGTTAATGGGAATTCTTCTGTCTAGCCTTACATGAAAAAAACCCGTTTCCAACGAAGGCCTCTAAGTGGTCAAAATATCCAGTGCAGACTTTACAAACAGAGTGTTTCCAAACTGCTGAATGAAAAGAAAAGTTAAACTCTGAGAGCTGAATGCACACATCACAGAGCAGTTTCTGAGAATGATTCTGTCTAGTTTTTATACGAAGATATTTCCTTTTCTGCCTTTGGCCCCAAAGCGCTTGAAATCTCCACTTGCAAATTCCACAAAAACAGAGTTTCAAATCTGCTCTCTCTAAATGAAAGTTCAACTATGTCAGTTGAATACACACAACACAAGGGAAGTTACTGAGAATTCTTCTGTCTAGCATAATATGAAGAAATCCCGTTTCCAACGAAGGCCTCAAAGGGGTCTGAATATCCACTTGCAGACTTTATAAACAGAGTGTTTACTAACTGCTCTATGAAAAGAAAGGTTAAACTCGGTGAGTTGAACACACACATCACAAAGGAGTTTCTGAGAATCATTCTGTCTAGTTTTTATTAGAAGATATTCCCTTTTCTACCTTTGACTTCAAAGCGGCTGAAATCTCCACTTGCAAATTCCACAAAAAGAGTGTTACAAGTCTGCTCTGTGTAAAGGATCGGTCAACTCTGTGAGTTGAATACACACAACACAAGGAAGTTACTGAGAATTCTTCTGTCAAGCCTTACATGAAAAAAACCCGTTTCCAACGAAGGCCTCTAAGTGGTCAAATTATCCACGTGCAGACTTTACAAACAGAGTGTTTCCAAACTGCTGAATGAAAAGAAAAGTTAAACTCTGAGAGTTGAACGCACACATCGCAGAGCAGTTTCTGAGAATGATTCTGTCTAGTTTTTATATGAAGATATTTCCTTTTCTGGCTTTGGCCCCAAAAGCGCTTGAAATCTCCACTTGCAAAATCCACAAAAAGAGTGTTTCAAGTCTGCTCTGTGTAAAGGATCGTTCAACTCTGTGAGTTGAATATACACTACACAAGGAAGTTTCTGAGAATTCTTCTGTCTAGCCTTACGTGAAAAAAACCCGTTTCCAACGAAGGCCTCTAAGTGGTCAAGTTATCCACGTGCAGACTTTACAAACAGAGTGTTTCCAAACTGCTGAATGAAAAGAAAAGTTAAACTCTGAGAGTTGAACGCACACATCGCAGAGCAGTTTCTGAGAATGATTCTGTCTAGTTTTTATACGAAGATATATCCTTTTCTGCCTTTGGCCTCAAAGCGCTTGAAATCTCCACTTGCAAATTCCACAAAAAGAGTGTTTCAAATCTGCTCTGTGTAAATGAAAGTTCAACTCTGTGAGTTGAACACACACAACACAAGGAAGTTACTGGGAATTCTTCTGTCTAGCAGAATATGAAGAAATCCCGTTTCCAACGAAGGCCTCAAAGAGGTCTGAATATCCAATTGCAGACATTATAAACAGAGTGTTTCCTAACTGCTCTATGAAAAGAAAGGTTGAACTCTGTGAGTTGAACGTACACATCACAAAGGAGTTTCTGAGAATCATTCTGTCTAGTTTCTATAGGAAGATATTTCCTATTCTACCATTGACCTCAAAGCGGCTGAAATCTCCACTTGAAAATTCCACAAAAAGAGTGTTTCAAGTCTGCTCTGTGTAAAGGATCGTTTAACTCTGTGAGTTGAATACACACAACACAAAGAAGTTACTGAGAATTCTTCTGTCTAGCAGAATATGAAGAAATCCCGTTTCCAACGAAGGCCACAAGATGTCAGAATATGCACTTACAGACTTTACAAACAGAGTGTTTCCTAACTGCTCTATGAACAGAAAGGTTAAACTCTGTGAGTTGAACGAACACATCACAACGCAGTTTGTGGGAATGATTCTGTCTAGTTTTGAAACGAAGATATCTCCTTTTCTGCCATTGACCTTAAAGCGCTTGAAATCTACACTTGCAAATTGCACAAATAGAGTGTTTCAAATCTGCTCTGTCTAAGGGAACGTTCAACTCTGTGAGTTGAATGCACACAACACATGGAAGTTACTGGGAATTCTTCTGTCTAGCCTTACATGAAAAAAACCCGATTCCAACGAAGGCCTCTAAGTGGTCAAAATATCCACGTGCAGACTTTACAAACAGAGTGTTTCCAAACAGCTGAATGAAAAGAAAAGTTAAACTCTGAGAGTTGAACGCACACATCACGCAGCAGTTTCTGAGAATGATTCTGCCTAGTTTTTATACGAAGATATTTCCTTTTCTGCCTTTGGCCCCAAAGCGCTTGAAATCTCCACTTGCAAATTCCACAAAAACAGTGTTTCAAATCTGCTCTCTCTAAATGAAAGTTCAACTCTGTCAGTTGAATACACACAACACAAGGAAGTTACTAAGAATTCTTCTGTCTAGCAGAATATGAAGAAATCCCGTTTCCAACGAAGGCCTCAAGGAGGTCTGAATATCCACTTGCAGAGTTTACAAACAGAGTGTTTCCTACCAGCTCTATGAACAGAAAGGTTAAACTCCTGTGAGTTGAACGCACACATCACAAAGGAGTTTCTGAGAATCATTCTGTCTAGTTTTTCTACGAAGATATTTCCTTTTCTACTATTGACCTCAAACCGGCTGAAATCTCCACTTGCAAATTCCACAAAAAAAGTGTTTCAAGTCTGCTCGGTGTAAAGGATCGTTCAACTCTGTGAGTTGAATACACACAACACAAGGAAGTTACTGAGAATTCTTCTGTCTAGCAGAATATGAAGAAATCCCGTTTCCAACGAAGGCCTCAAGGAGGTCTGAATATCCACTTGCAGACTTTACAAACAGAGTGTTTCCTAACTGCTCTATGAAAAGAAAGGTTAAACTCTGTGAGTTGAAGGCACACATCACAAAGGAGTTTATGATAATCATTCTGTCTATTTTCTATGGGAAGATATTTCCTATTCTACCATTGACCTCAAAGCGGCTGAAATCTCCACTTGCAAATTCCACAAAAAGAGTGTTTCAAGTCTGCTCTCTGTAAAGGATCGTTCAACTATGTGAGTTGAATACACACAACACAAGGAAGTTACTGAGAATTATTTTGTCTAGCCTTACATGAAAAAAACCCGTTTCCAACGAAGGCCTCTAAGTGGTCAAAATATCCACGTGCAGACTTTACAAACAGAGTGTTTCCAAACCGCTGAATGAAAAGAAAAGTTAAACTCTGAGAGTTGAACGCACACATCACGCAGCAGTTTCTGAGAATGATTCTGTCTAGTCTTTATACGAAGATATTTCCTTTTCTACCATTGACCTCAAAACGGCTGAAATCTCCACTTGTAAATTCCACAAAAAGAGTGTTTCAAGTCTGCTCTGTGTAAAGGATCGTTCAACTCTGTGAGTTGAATACACACAACCCAAGGAAGTTACTGAGAATTCTTCTGTCTAGCAGAATATGAAGAAATCCCGTTTCCACCGAAGGCCTCAAGGAGGTCTGAATATCCACTTGCAGACTTTACAAACAGAGTGTTTCCTAACTGCTCTATGAACAGAAAGGTTAAACTCTGTGAGTTGAACGCACACATCACAAAGGAGTTTCTGAGAATCATTCTGTCTAGTTTTTATAGGAAGATATTTCCTTTTCTACCTTTGACTTCAAAGCGGCTGAAATCTCCACTTGCAAATTACACAAAAAGAGTGTTACAAGTCTGCTCTGTGTAAAGGATCGTTCAACTCTGTGAGTTGAATACACACAACACAAGGGAGTTACTGAGAATTCTTCTGTCTAGCAGAATATGAAGAAATCCCGTTTCCAACGAAGGCCACAAGATGTCAGAATATCCACTTACAGAATTTACAAACATAGTGTTTCCTAACTGCTCTATGAAAAGAAAGGTTAAACTCTGTGAGATGAACGAACACATCACAACGCAGTTTGTGGGAATGATTCTGTCTAGTTTTTATACGAAGATATTTCCTTTTCTACCATTGACCTCAAAGCGGATGAAATCACCACTTGCCAATTGCACAAAAAGAGTGTTTCAAATCTGCTCTGTCTAAGGGAACGTTAAACTCTGTGAGTTGAATGTACACAACACAAGGAAGTTACTGGGAATTCTTCTGTCTAGCCTTACAGGAAAAAAACCCGTTTCCAACGAAGGCCTCTGAGTGGTAAAAATATCCACGTGCAGACTTTACAAACAGAGTGTTTCCAAACTGCTGAATGAAAAGAAAAGTTAAACTCTGAGAGTTGAACGCACACATCGCAGAGCAGTTTCTGAGAGTGATTCTGTCTAGTTTTTATACGAAGATATTTCCTTTCCTGCCTTTTGCCCCAAAGCGCTTGAAATCTCCACTTGCAAATTCCACAAAAACAGTTTTTCAAATCTGCTCTCTCTAAATGAAAGTTCAACTCTGTCAGTTGAATACACACAACACAAGGAAGTTACTGAGAATTCTTCTGTCTAGCCTTATATGAAAAAAACCCGTTTCCAACGAAGGCCTCAAAGAGGTCTGAATATCCACTTGCAGACTTTACAAACAGAGTGATTCCTAACTGCTCTATGAAAAGAAAGGTTAAACTCTGTGAGTTGAACACACACATCTCAAAGGAGTTTCTGAGAATCATTTCTGTCTAGTTTCTATAGGAAGATATTTCCTATTCTACCGTTGACCTCAAAGCGGCTGAAATCTCCACTTGCAAATTCCACAAAAAGAGTGTTTCAAGTCTGCTCTGTGTAAAGGATCGTTCAACTCTGTGAGTTGAATACACACAACACAAGGGAAGTTACTGAGAATTCTTCAGTCTAGCATAATATGAAGAAATCCCGTTTCCAACGAAGGCCTCAAGGAGGTCTGAATATCCACTTGCAGACTTTACAAACATTGTGTTTCCTAACTGCTCTATGAAAAGAAAAGTTAAACTCTGTGAGTTGAACACACACATCACAAAGGAGTTTCTGAGAATCATTCTGTCTAGTTTTGAAACAAAGATATTTCCTTTTCTGCCATTGACCTTAAAGCGCTTGAAATCTCCATTTGCCAATTGCACAAAAAGAGTGTTTCAAATCTGCTCTGTCTAAGGGAACGTTCAACTCTGTGAGTTGAATGTACACAACACAAGGAAGTTACTGGGAATTCTTCTGTCTAGCCTTACATGAAAAAAACCCGTTTCCAACGAAGGCCTCTAAGTGGTCAAAATATCCACTTGCAGACTTTACAAACAGAGTGTTTCCAAACCGCTGAATGAAAAGAAAAGTTAAACTCTGAGAGTTGAACGCACACATCACGCAGCAGTTTCTGAGAATGATTCTGTCTAGTTTTGAAACGAAGATATTTCCTTTTCTGCCTTTGGCCTCAAAGCGCTTGAAATCTCCACTTGCAAATTCCACAAAAAGAGTGTTTCAAATCTTCTCTGTGTAAATGAAAGTTCAACTCTGTGACTTGAACACACACACCACAAGGAAGTTACTGGGAATTCTTCTGTCTAGCATAATATGAAGAAATCCCGTTTCCAACGAAGGCCTCAAGGAGGTCTGAATATCCACTTGCAGTCTTTACAAACAGAGTGTTTCCTAACTGCTCTATGAAAAGAAAGGTTAAACTCTGTGAGTTGAACGCACACATCACAAAGGAGTTTCTGAGAATCATTCTGTCTAGTTTCTATAGGAAGATATTTCCTATTCTACCATTGACCTCAAAGCGGCTGAAATCTCCACTTGCAAATTCCAGAAAAAGAGTGTTTCAACTCTGCTCTGTGTAAGAAATCGTTCAACTCTGTGAGTTGAATACACACAACACAAGGAAGTTACTGAGAATTCTTGTGTCTAGCATAATATGAAGAAATCCCGTTTCCAACGAAGGCCTCAAAGAGGTCTGAATATCCACTTGCAGACTTTACAAACAGAGTGTTTCCTAACTGCTCTATGAAAAGAAAGGTTAAACTCTGTGAGTTGAACGCACACATCACAAAGGAGTTTCTGAGAATCATTCTGTCTAGTTTTGAAACTAAGATATTTCCTTTTCTGCCATTGACCTTAAAGCGCTTGAAATCTCCACTTGCCAATTGCACAAAAAGAGTATTTCAAATCTGCTCTCTCTAAGGGAACGTTCAACTCTGTGAGTTGAATGTACACAACACAGGAAGTTACTGGGAATTCTTCTGTCTACCCTTACATGAAAAAAACCCGTTTCCAACGAAGGCCTCTAAGTGGTCAAAATATCCACGTGCAGAATTTACAAACAGAGTGTTTCCAAACTGCTGAATGAAAAGAAAAGTTAAACTCTGAGAGTTGAACGCACACATCACAGAGCAGTTTCTGAGAATGATTCTGTCTAGTTTTTATACGAAGATATTTCCTTTTCTGCCTTTGGCCTCAAAGCGCTTGAAATCTCCATTTGCAAATTCCACAAAAAGAGTGTTTCAAATCTGCTCTGTGTAAATGAAAGTTCAACTCTGGGAGTTGAACACACACAACACAAGGAAGTTACTGGGAATTCTTCTGTCTAGCCTTATATGAAAAAAACCCGTTTCCAACGAAGGCCTCAAAGAGGTCTGAATATCCACTTGCAGACTTTACAAACAGAGTGTTTCCTAACTGCTCTATGAAAAGAAATGTTAAACTCTGTGAGTTGAACACACACATCACAAAGGAGTTTCTGAGAATCATTCTGTCTAGTTTTTATACGAAGATATTTCCTTTTCTACCATTGACCTCAACGCGGCTGAAATCTCCACTTGCAAATTCCACAAAAAGAGTGTTTCAAGTCTGCTCTGTGTAAAGGATGATTCAACTCTGTGAGTTGAATACACACAACACAAGGAAGTTACTGAGAATACTTCTGTCTAGCACAGTATGAAGAAATCCCGTTTCCAACGAAGGCCTCAAAGAGGTCTGAATATCCACTTGCAGACTTTACAAACAGAGTGTTTCCTAACTGCTCTATGAAAAGAAAGGTTAAACTCTGTGAGTTGAACGAACACATCACAACGCAGTTTGTGGGAATGATTCTGTCTAGTTTTGAAACGAAGATATTTCCTTTTCTGCCATTGACCTTAAAGCGCTTGAAATCTCCACTTGCCAATTGCACAAAAAGAGTGTTTCAAATCTGCTCTGTCTAAGGGAACGTTCACCTGCTGTGAGTTGAATGTACACAACACAAGGAAGTTACTGGGAATTCTTCTGTCTAGCCTTAAATGAAAAAAACCCGTTTCCAACGAAGGCCTCTAAGTGGTCAAAATATCCACGTGCAGACTTTACAAACAGAGTGTTTCCAAACCGCTGAATGAAAAGAAAAGTTAAACTCTGAGAGTTGAACGCACACATCACGCAGCAGATTCTGAGAATGATTCTGTCTATTTTTTATACGAAGATATTTCCTTTTCTGCCTTTGGCCCCAAAGCGCTTGAAATCTCCACTTGCAAATTCCACAAAAACAGTGTTTCAAATCTGCTCTCTCTAAATGATAGTTCAACTCTGTCAGTTGAATACACACAACACAAGGAAGTTACTGAGAATTCTTCTGTCTAGCATAATATGAAGAAATCCCGTTTCCAACGAAGGCTTCAAAGAGGTCTGAATATCCACTTGCAGACTTTACAAACAGAGTGTTTCCTAACTGCTCTATGAAAAGAAAGGTTAAACTCTGTGAGTTGAACGCACACATCACAAAGGAGTTTCTAAGAATCATTCTGTCTTGTTTTTATAGGAAGATATTTCCTTTTCTACCTTTGACTTCAAAGCGGCTGAAATCTCCACTTGCAAATTCCACAAAAAGAGTGTTACAAGTCTGCTCTGTGTAAAGGATCGTTCAACTGTGTGAGTTGAATACACACAACACAAGGAAGTTACTGAGAATTCTTCTGTCTAGCAGAATATGAAGAAATCCCGTTTCCAACGAAGGCCACAAGATGTCAGAATATCCACTTGCAGACTTTACAAACAGAGTGTTTCCTAACTGCTCTATGAACAGAAAGGTTAAACTCTGTGGGTTGAACGAACACATCACAACGCAGTTTGTGGGAATGATTCTGTCTAGTTTTGAAACGAAGATATTTCCTTTTCTGCCATTGACCTTAAAGCGCTTGAAATCTACACTTGCAAATTGCACAAATAGACTGTTTCAAATCTGCTCTGTCTAAGGGAACGTTCATCTCTGTGAGTTGAATGCACACAACACAAGGAAGTTACTGGGAATTCTTCTGTCTAGCCTTACATGAAAAAAACCCGTTTCCAACGAAGGCCTCTAAGTGGTCAAATTATCCACGTGCAGACTTTACAAACAGAGTGTTTCCAAACTGCTGAATGAAAAGAAATGTTAAACTCTGAGAGTTGAACGCACACATCGCAGAGCAGTTTCTGAGAATGATTCTGTCTAGTTTTTATACGAAGATATTTCCTTTTCTACAATTGACCTCAAAGCGGCTGAAATCTCCGCTTGCAAATTCCACAAAAAGAGTGTTTCAAGTCTGCTCTGTATAAAGGATCGTTGAACTCTTTGAGTTGAATACACACAACACAAGGAAGTTACTGAGAATTCTTCTCTCTAGCAGAATATGAAGAAATCCCGTTTCCAACGAAGGCCTCAAAGAGGTCTGAATATCCACTTGCAGACTTTACAAACAGAGTGTTTCCTAACTGCTCTATGAAAAGAAAGGTTAAACTCTGTGAGTTGAATGCACACATCACAAAGGAGTTTCTGAGAATCATTCTGTCTAGTTTCTATAGGAAGATATTTCCTATTCTATCATTGACCTCAAAGCGGCTGAAATCTCCACTTGCAAATTCCACAAAAAGAGTGTTTCAAGTCTGCACTCTGTAAAGGATCGTTCAACTCTGTGAGTTGAATACACACAACACAAGGAAGTTACTGAGAATTATTCTGTCTAGCATAATATGAAGAAATCCCGTTTCCAACGAAGGCCTCAAAGAGGTCTGAATATCCACTTGCAGACTTTAGAGAGTGTTTCCTAACTGCTCTATAAAAAGAAAGGTTAAACTCTGTGAGTTGAACGCACACATCACAAAGGAGTTTCTGAGAATCATTCTGTCTAGTTTTGAAACGAAGATATTTCCTTTTCTGCCGTTGACCTTAAAGCGCTTGAAATCTACACTTGCAAATTGCACAAATAGAGTGTTTCAAATCTGCTCTGTCTGAAGGGAACGTTCAACTCTGTGAGTTGAATGCACACAACACAAGGAAGTGACTGGGAATTCTTCTGTCTAGCCTTACATGAAAAAAACCCGTTTCCAACGAAGGCCTCTAAGTGGTCAAAATATCCACGTGCAGACTTTACAAACAGAGTGTTTCCAAACCGCTGAATGAAAAGAAAAGTTAAACTCTGAGAGTTGAACGCACACATCACGCAGCAGATTCTGAGAATGATTCTGTCTAGTTTTTATACGAAGATATTTCCTTTTCTGCCTTTGGCCCCAAAGCGCTTGAAATCTCCACTTGCAAATTCCACAAAAACAGTGTTTGAAATCTGCTCTCTCTAAATGATAGTTCAACTCTGTCAGTTGAATACACACAACACAAGGAAGTTACTGAGAATTCTTCTGTCTAGCAGAATATGAAGAAATCCCGTTTCCAACGAAGGCCTCAAAAAGGTCTGAATATCCACTTGCAGACTTTACAAACAGAGTGTTTCCTAACTGCTCTATGAAAAGAAAGGTTAAACTCTGTGAGTTGAACGCACACATCACAAAGGAGTTTATGAGAATCATTCTGTCTAGTTTCTATAGGAAGATATTTCCTATTCTACCATTGACCTCAAAGCGGCTGAAATCTCCACTTGCAAATTCCAAAAAAAGAGTGTTTCAAGTCTACTCTCTGTAAAGGATCGTTCAACTCTGTGAGTTGAATACACACAACACAAGGAAGTTACTGAGAATTCTTCTGTCTAGCATAATATGAAGAAATCCCTTTTCCAACGAAGGCCTCAAAGGGGTCTGAATATCCACTTGCAGACTTTATAAACAGAGTGTTTACTAACTGCTCTATGAAAAGAAAGGTTAAACTCTGTGAGTTGAACACACACATCACAAAGGAGTTTCTGAGAATAATTCTGTCTAGTTTTTATAGGAAGATATTCCCTTTTCTACCTTTGACTTCAAAGCGGCTGAAATCTCCACTTGCAAATTCCACAAAAAGAGTGTTACAAGTCTGCTCTGTGTAAAGGATCGTTCAACTCTGTGAGTTGAATACACACAACACAAGGAAAGTTACTGAGAATTCTTCTGTCTAGCCTTACAGGAAAAAAACCCGTTTCCAACGAAGGCCTCTAAGTGGTCAAATATCCACGTGCAGACTTTACAAACAGAGTGTTTCCAAACTGCTGAATGAAAAGAAAAGTTAAACTCTGAGAGTTGAACGCACACATCGCATAGCAGTTTCTGAGAATGATTCTGTCTAGTTTTGAAACGAAGATATTTCCTTTTCTGCCTTTGGCCTCAAAGCGCTTGAAATCTCCACTTGCAAATTCCACAAAAAGAGTGTTTCAAATCTGCTCTGGGTAAATGAAAGTTCAACTCTGTGTGTTGAACACACACAACACAAGGAAGTTACTGAGAATTCTTCTGTCTAGCCTTATATGAAAAAAACCCGTTTCCAACGAAGGCCTCAAAGAGGGCTGAATATCCACTTGCAGACTTTACAAGCAGAGTGTTTCCTAACTGCTCTATTAAAAGAAAGGTTAAACTCTGTGAGTTGAACGCACACATCACAAAGGAGTTTCTGAGAATCATTCTGTCTAGTTTTTATACGAAGATATTTCCTTTTCTACCATTGACCTCAACGCGGCTGAAATCTCCACTTGCAAATTCCACAAAAAGAGTGTTTCAAGTCCGCTCTGTGTAAAGGATCGTTCAACTCTGTGAGTTGAATACACACAACACTAGGAAGTTACTGAGAATTCTTTTGTCTAGCAGAACATGAAGAAATCCCGTTTCCAACGAAGGCCTCAAAGATGTCTGAATATCCACTTGCAGACTTTACAAACAGAGTGTTTCCTAACTGCTCTATGAAAAGAAAGGTTAAACTCTGTGAGTTGAACGCACACATCACAAAGGAGTTTCTCAGAATCATTCTGTCTAGTTTCTATAGGAAGATATTTCCTATTCTACCATTGACCTCAAAGCGGCTGAAATCTCCACTTGCAAATTCCACAAAAAGAGTGTTTCAAGTCTGCTCTGTGTAAAGGATCGTTCAACTCTGTGAGTTGAATACACACAACAAAAGGAAGTTACTGAGAATTCTTCTGTCTAGCCTTACAGGTAAAAAAACCCGTTTCCAACGAAGTCCTCTAAGTGGTCAAGTTATCCAAGTGCAGACTTTACAACCAGAGTGTTTCCAAACTGCTGAATGAAAAGAAAAGTTAAACTCTGAGAGTTGAACGCACACATCGCAGAGCAGTTTCTGAGAATGATTCTGTCTAGTTTTGAAACGAAGACATTTCCTTTTCTGCCTTTGGCCTCAAAGCGCTTGAAATCTCCATTTGCAAATTCCACAAAAAGAGTGTTTCAAATCTGCTCTGTGTAAATGAAAGTTCAACTCTGTGAGTTGAACACACACAACACAAGGGAAGTTACTGGGAATTCTTCTGTCTAGCATAATATGTAGAAATCCCGTTTCCAACGAAGGCCTCAAGGAGGTCTGAATATCCACTTGCAGACTTTACAAACAGAGTGTTTCCTAACTGCTCTATGAAAAGAAAGGTTAAACTCTGTGATTTGAACGCACACATCACAAAGGAGTTTCTGAGAATCATTCTGTCTAGTTTTTATACGAAGATATTTCCTTTTCTACCATTGACCTCAAAGCGGCTGAAATCTCCACTTGCAAATTCCACAAAACGAGTGTTTCAAGTCTGCTCTGTGTAAAGGAACGTTCAACTCTGTGAGTTGAATACACACAACACAAGGAAGTTACTGAGAATTCTTCTCTCTAGCAGAAGATGAAGAAATCCCGTTTCCAACGAACGCCACAAGATGTCAGAATATCCACTTACAGACTTTACAAACAGAGTGTTTCCTAACTGCTCTATGAACAGAAAGGTTAAACTCTGTGATTTGAACGAACACATCACAACGCAGTTTGTGGGAATGATTCTGTCTAGTTTTGAAACGAAGATATTTCCTTTTCTGCCATTGACCTTAAAGCGCTTGAAATCTCCATTTGCCAATTGCACAAAAAGAGTGTTTCAAATCTGCTCTGTGTAAATGAAAGTTCAACTCTGTGAGTTGAACACACACAACACAAGGAAGTTACTGGGAATTCTTCTGTCTAGCCTTACATGAAAAAAACCCGTTTCCAACGAAGGCCTCTAAGTGGTCAAAATATCCACGTGCAGACTTTACAAACAGAGTGTTTCCAAACCGCTGAATGAAAAGAAAAGTTAAACTCTGAGAGTTGAACGAACACATCACGCAGCAGTTTCTGAGAATGATTCTGTCTAGTTTTTATACGAAGATATTTCCTTTTCTGCCTTTGGCCTCAAAGCGCTTGAAATCTCCATTTCCAAATTCCACAAAAAGAGTGTTTCAAATCTGCTCTGTGTAAATGAAAGTTCAACTCTGTGAGTTGAACACACACAACACAAGGAAGTTACTGGGAATTCTTCTGTCTAGCAGAATATGAAGAAATCCCGTTTCCAACGAAGGCCTCAAGGAGGTCTGAATATCCACTTGCAGACTTTACAAACAGAGTGTTTCCTAACTGCTCTATGAACAGAAAGGTTAAACTTCTGTGAGTTGAACGCACACATCACAAAGGAGTTTATGAGAATCATTTTGTCTAGTTTCTATAAGAAGATATTTCCTATTCTACCATTGACCTCAAAGCGGCTGAAATCTCCACTTGCAAATTCCACAAAAAGAGGGTTTCAAGCCTCCTCTCTGTAAAGGATCCTTCAAGTCTGTGAGTTGAATACACACAACACAAGGAAGTTACTGAGAATTCTTCTGTCTAGCAGAATATGAAGAAATCCCGTTTCCAACGAAGGCCTCAAGGAGGTCTGAATATCCACTTGCAGACTTTACAGACAGAGTGTTTCCTAACTGCTCTATGAACAGAAAGGTTAAACTCTGTGAGTTGAACGAACACATCACAACGCAGTTTGTGGGAATGATTCTGTCTAGTTTTGAAACGAAGATATTCCCTTTTCTGCCATTGACCTTAAAGCGCTTGAAATCTACACTTGCCAATTGCACAAATAGAGTGTTTCAAGTCTGCTCTGTGTAAAGGATCGTTCAACTCTGTGAGTTGAATACACACAACACAAGGAAGTTACTGAGAATTCTTCTGTCTAGCCTTACATGAAAAAAACCCGTTTCCAACGAAGGCCTCTAAGTGGTCAAAATTTCCACGTGCAGACTTTACAAACAGAGTGTTTCCAAACTGCTGAATGAAAAGAAAAGTTAAACTCTGAGAGTTGAACGCACACATCACGCAGCAGTTTCTGAGAATGATTCTGTCTAGTTTTTATACGAAGATATTTCCTTTTCTGCCTTTGGCCTCAAAGCGCTTGAAATCTCCATTAGCAAATTCCACAAAAAGAGTGTCTCAAATCTGCTCTGTGTAAATGAAAGTTCAACTCTGTGAGTTGAACACACACAACACAAGGGAAGTTACTGGGAATTCTTCTGTCTAGCCTTATATGAAAAATCCCGTTTCCAACGAAGGCCTCAAAGAGGTCTGAATATCCACTTGCAGACTTTACAAACAGAGTGTTTCCTAACTGCTCTATGAAAAGAAAGGTTAAACTCTGTGAGTTGAACACACACATCACAAAGGAGTTTCTGAGAATCATTCTGTCTAGTTTTTATACGAAGATATTTCCTTTTCTACCATTGACCTCAAAGCGGCTGAAATCTCCACTTACAAATACCACAAAAAGAGTGTCTCAAGTCTGCTCTGTGTAAACGATCGTTCAACTCTGTGAGTTGAATACACACAACACAAGGAAGTTTCTGAGAATTCTTCTGTATAGCAGAATATGAAGAAATACCGTTTCCAACGAAGGCCTCAAGGAGGTCTGAATATCCACTTGCAGACTTTACAAACAGAGTGTTTCCTAACTGTTCTATGAAAAGAAAGGTTAAACTCTGTGAGTTGAACGCAGACATCACAAAGGAGTTTCTGAGAATCACTCGGTCTAGTTTTGAAACGAAGATATTTCCTTTTCTGCCATTGACCTTAAAGCGCTTGAAATCTCCATTTGCCAATTGCACAAAAAGAGTGTTTCATATCTGCTCTGTCTAAGGGAACGTTCAACTCTGTGAGTTGAATGTACACAACACAAGGAAGTTACTGGGAATTCTTCTGTCTAGCCTTACAGGCAAAAAAACCCGTTTCCAACGAAGGCCTCTAAGTGGTCAAAATATCCACGTGCAGACTTTACAAACAGAGTGTTTTCAAACTGCTGAATGAAAAGAAAAGTTAAACTCTGAGAGTTGAACGCACACATCGCAGAGCAGTTTCTGAGAATGATTCTGTCTAGTTTTGAAACGAAGATATTTCCTTTTTTGCCTTTGGCCTCAAAGCGCATGAAATCTCCACTTGCAAATTCCACAAAAAGAGTGTTTCAAATCTGCTCTGTGTAAATGAAAGTTCAACTCTGTGAGTTGAACACACACAACACAAGGAAGTTACTGGGAATTCTTCTGTCTAGCATAATATGAAGAAATCCTGTTTCCAACGAAGGCCTCTAGGAGGTCTGAATATCCACTTGCAGACTTTACAAACAGAGTGTTTCCTAACTGCTCTATGGAAAGAAAGGTTAAACTCTGTGAGTTGAACACACACAACACAAAGGAGTTTCTGAGAATCATTCTGTCTAGTCTTTATACGAAGATATATCCTTTTCTACCATTGACCTCAAAGCGGCTGAAATCTCCACTTGCAAATTCCACAAAAAGAGTGTTTCAAGTCTGCTCTGTGTAAAGGATCGTTCAACTCTGTGAGTTGAATACACACAACACAAGGAAGTTACTGAGAATTCTTCTGTCTAGCAGAATATGAAGAAATCCCGTTTCCAACGAAGGCCACAAGATGTCAGAATATCCACTTACAGAATTGACAAACAGACTGTTTCCTAACTGCTCTATGAAAAGAAAGGTAAAACTCTGTGAGTTGAACGAACACATCACAACGCAGTTTGTGGGAATGATTCTGTCTAGTTTTGAAACGAAGATATTTCCTTTTCTGCCATTGACCTTAAAGCGCTTGAAATCTCCATTTGCCAATTGCACAAAAAGAGTGTTTCAAATCTGCTCTGTCTAAGAAAACGTTCAACTCTGTGAGTTGAATGTACACAACACAAGGAAGTTACTGGGAATTCTTCTGTCTACCCTTACATGAAAAAAACCCGTTTCCAACGAAGGCCTCTAAGTGGTCAAAATATCCACGTGCAGAATTTACAAACAGAGTATTTCCAAACTGCTGAATGAAAACAAAAGTTAAACTCTGAGAGTTCAACGCACACATCACAGAGCATTTTCTGAGAATGATTCTGTCTACTTTTTATACGAAGATATTTCCTTTTCTGCCTTTGGCCCCAAAGCGCTTGAAATCTCCACTTGCAAATTCCACAAAAACAGTGTTTCAAATCTGCTCTCTCTAAATGAAAGTTCAACTCTGTCACTTGAATACACACAACAGAAGGAAGTTACTGAGAATTCTTCTGTCTAGCATAATATGAAGAAATCCCGTTTCTAACGAAGGCCTCAAAGGGGCCTGAATATCCACTTGCAGACTTTATAAACAGAGTGTTTACTAACTGCTCTATGAAAAGAAAGGTTAAACTCTGTGAGTTGAACACACACATCACAAAGGAGTTTCTGAGAATCATTCTGTCTAGTTTCTATAGGAAGATATTCCCTATTCTACCATTGACCTCAAAGCGGCTGAAATCTCCACTTGCAAATTCCACAAAAAGAGTGTTTCAAGTCTGCTCTCTGTAAAGGATCGTTCAACTCTGTGAGTGGAATACACACAACACAAGGAAGTTACTGAGAATTATTCTGTCTAGCAGTATATGAAGAAGTCCGGTTTCCAAACAAGGCCACAAGATGTCAGAATATCCACTTACGGACTTTACAAACAGAGTGTTTCCTAACTGCTCTATGAACAGAAAGGTTAATCTCTGTGAGTTGAACGAACACATCACAACGCAGTTTGTGGGAATGATTCTGTCTAGTTTTGAAACGAAGATATTTCCTTTTCTGCCATTGACCTTAAAGCGCTTGAAATCTACACTTGCAAATTGCACAAATAGAGTGTTTCAAATCTGCTCTGTCTAAGGGAACGTTCATCTGTGTGAGTTGAATGCACACAACACAAGGAAGTTACTGGGAATTCTTCTGTCTAGCCTTACAGGAAAAAAACCCGTTTCCAACGAAGGCCTATAAGTGGTCAAATTATCCACGTGCAGACTTTACAAACAGAGTGTTTCCAAACTGCTGAATGAAAACAAAAGTTAAACTCTGAGAGTTGAACGCACGCATCGCAGAGCAGTTTCTGAGAATGATTCTGTCTAGTTTTTATACGAAGATATTTCCTTTTCTGCCTTTGGCCTCACAGCGCTTGAAATCTCCACTTGCAAATTCCACAAAAAGAGTGTTTCAAATCTGCTCTGTGTAAATGAAAGTTCAACTCTGTGAGTTGAACACACACAACACAAGGAAGATACTGGGAATTCTTCTGTCTAGCATAATATGAAGAAATCCCGTTTCCAACGAAGGCCTCAAATAGGTCTGAATATCCACTTGCAGACTATACAAACAGAGTGTTTCCTAACTGCTCTATGAAAAGAAAAGTTAAACTCTTTGAGTTGAACGCACACATCACAAAGGAGTTTCTGAGAATCATTCTGTCTAGTTTTTATAGGAAGATATTTCCTTTTCTACCTTTGACTTCAAAGCGGCTGAAATCTCCACTTGCAAATTCCACAAAAAGAGTGTTACAAGTCTGCTCTGTGTAAAGGATCGTTCAACTCTGTGAGTGAATACACACAACACAAGGAAGTTACTGAGAATTCTTCTGTCTAGCAGAATATGAAGAAATCCCGTTTCCAACGAAGGCCACAAGATGTCAGAATATCCACTTACAGAATTGACAAACAGACTGTTTCCTAACTGCTCTATGAAAAGAAAGGTTAAACTCTGTGAGTTGAACGAACACATCCCAACGCAGTTTGTGGGAATGATTCTGTCTAGTTTTTATAGGAAGATATTTCCCTTTCTACTTTGACTTCAAAGCGGCTGAAATCTCCACTTGCAAATTCCACAAAAAGAGTGTTACAAGTCTGCTCTGTGTAAAGGATCGTTCAACTGTGTGAGTTGAATACACACAACACAAGGAAGTTACTGAGAATTCTTCTGTCTAGCCTTACATGAAAAAAACCCGTTTCCAACGAAGGCCTCTAAGTGGTCAAATTATCCACGTGCAGACTTTACAAACAGAGTGTTTCCAAACTGCTGAATGAAAAGAAAAGTTAAACTCTGAGACTTGAACGCACACATCGCAGAGCAGTTTCTGAGAATGATTCTGTCTAGTTTTTATACGAAGATATTTCCTTTTCTGCCTTTGGCCTCAAAGCGCTTGAAATCTCCACCTGCAAATTCCACAAAAAGAGTGCTTCAAATCTGCTCTGTGTAAATGAAAGTTCAACTCTGTGAGTTGAACACACACAACACAAGGAAGTTACTGGGAATTCTTCTGTCTAGCATAATATGAAGAAATCCCGTTTCCAACGAAGGCCTCAAAGGGGTCTGAATATCCACTTGCAGACTTTATAAACAGAGTGTTTACTAACTGCTCTATGAAAAGAAAGGTTAAACTCTGTGAGTTGAACACCACATCACAAAGGAGTTTCTGAGAATCATTCTGTCTAGTTTTTCTACGAAGATATTTCCTTTTCTACTATTGACCTCAAAGCGGCTGAAATCTCCACTTGCAAATTTCACAAAAAGAGTGTTTCAAGTCTGCTCTGTGTAAAGGATCGTTCAACTCTGTGAGTTGAATACACACAACACAAGGAAGTTACTGAGAATTCTTCTGTCTAGCAGAATATGAAGAAATCCCGTTTCCAACGAAGGCCACAAGATGTCAGAATATCCACTTACAGAATTGACAAACAGACTGTTTCCTAACTGCTCTATGAAAACAAAGGTTAAACTCTGTGAGTTGAACGAACACATCACAACGCAGTTTGTGGGAATGATTCTGTCTAGTTTTGAAACGAAGATATTTCCTTTTCTGCCGTTGACCTTAAAGAGCTTGAAATCTACACTTGCAATTGCACAAATAGGCTGTTTCAAATCTGCTCTGTCTAAGGGAACGTTCAACTCTGTGAGTTGAATGCACACAACACAAGGAAGTTACTGGGAATTCTTCTGTCTAGCCTTACATGAAAAAAACCCGTTTCCAACGAAGGCCTCTAAGTGGTCAAAATATCCACGTGCAAACTTTACAAACAGAGTGTTTCCAAACCGCTGAATGAAAAGAAAAGTTAAACTCTGAGAGTTGAACGCACACATCACGCAGCAGTTTCTGAGAATGATTCTGTCTAGTCTTTATACGAAGATAGTTTCCTTTTCTACCATTGACCTCAAAGCGGCTGAAATCTCCACTTGCAAATTCCACAAAAAGAGTGTTTCAAGTCTGCTCTGTGTAAAGGATCGTTCAACTCTGTGAGTTGAATACACACAACAGAAGGAAGTTACTGAGAATTCTTCTATCTAGCAGAATATGAAGAAATCCCGTTTCCAACGAAGACCTCAAGGAGGTCTGAATATCCACTTGCAGACTTTACAAACAGAGTGTTTCCTAACTGCTCTATGAAAAGAAAGGTGAAACTCTGTGAGTTGAATGCACACATCACAAAGGAGTTTATGAGAATCATTCTGTCTAGTTTCTATAGGAAGATATTTCCTATTCTACCATTGACCTCAAAGCGGCTGAAATCTCCACTTGCAAATTCCACAAAAAGAGTGTTTCAAGTCTGCTGAGTGTAAAGGATCGTTCAACTCTGTGAGTTGAATACACACAACACAAGGCAGTTACTGAGAATTCTTCTGTCTAGCAGAACATGAAGAAATCCCGCTTCCAACGAAGGCCTCAGAGAAGTCTGAATATCCACTTGCAGACTTTACAAACAGAGTGTTTCCCAACTGCTCTATGAAAAGAAAGGTTGAACTGTGTGAGTTGAACGCACACATCACAAAGGAGTTTCTGAGAATCATTCTGTCTAGTTTTGAAACGAAGATATTTCCTTTTCTGCCATTGACCTTAAAGCGCTTGAAATCTACACTTGCAAATTGCACAAATAGAGTGTTTCAACTCTGCTCTGTCTAAGGGAACGTTCAACTCTGTGAGTTGAATGCACACAACACAAGGAAGTTACTGGGAATTCTTCTGTCTAGCCTTACATGAAAAAAACCCGTTTCCAATGAAGGCCTCTAAGTGGTCAAATTATCCACGTGCAGACTTTACAAACAGAGTGTTTCCAAACTGCTGAATGAAAAGAAAAGTTAAACTCTGAGAGTTGAACGCACACATCGCAGAGCAGTTTCTGAGAATGATTCTGTCTAGTTTTGAAACGAAGACATTTCCTTTTCTGCCTTTGGCCTCAAAGCGCTTGAAATCTCCATTTGCAAATTCCACAAAAAGAGAGTTTCAAATCTGCTCTGTGTAAATGAAAGTTCAACTCTGTGAGTTGAACACACACAACACAAGGAAGTTACTGGGAATTCTTCTGTCTAGCACAGTATGAAGAAATCCCGTTTCCAACGAAGGCCTCAAAGAGGTCTGAATATCCACTTGGACAGTTTAAAAACACAGTGTTTCCTAACTGCTCTATGAAAAGAAAGGTTAAACTCTGTGAGTTGAACGCACACATCACAAAGAAGTTTCTGAGAATCATTCTGTCTAGTTTTTATACGAAGATATTTCCTTTTCTACCATTGACCTCAAAGCGGCTGAAATCTCCACTTGAAAATTCCACAAAAAGAGTGTTTCAAATCTGCTCTGTGTAAACCATCGTTCAACTCTGTGAGTTGAATACACACAACACAAGGAAGATTCTGAGAATTCTTCTGTCTAGCAGAATATGAAGAAATCCCGTTTCCAACGAAGGCCACAAGATGTCAGAATATCCACTTACAGAATTCACAAACAGACTGTTTCCTAACTGCTCTATGAAAAGAAAGGTTAAACTCTGTGAGTTGAACGAACACATCACAACGCAGTTTGTGGGAATGCTTCTGTCTAGTTTTGAAACGAAGATATTTCCTTTTCTGCCATTGACCTTAAAGCGCTTGAAATCTCCATTTGCCAATTACACAAAAAGAGTGTTTCAAATCTGCTCTGTCTAAGGGAACGTTCAACTCTGTGAGTTGAATGTACACAACACAAGGAAGTTACTGGGAATTCTTCTGTCTAGCCTTACATGAAAAAAACCCGTTTCCAACGAAGGCCTCTAAGTGGTCAAATTATCCACGTGCAGACTTTACAAACAGAGTGTTTCCAAACTGCTGAATGAAAAGCAAAGTTAAACTCTGAGAGTTGAACGCACACATCGCAGAGCACTTTCTGAGAATGATTCTGTCTAGTTTTTATACGAAGATATTTCCTTTTCTGCCTTTGGCCTCACAGCGCTTGAAATCTCCACTTGCAAATTCCACAAAAAGAGTGTTTCAAATCTGCTCTGTGTAAATGAAAGTTCAACTGCTGTGAGTTGAACACACACAACACAAGGAAGTTACTGGGAATTCTTCTGTCTAGCATAGTATGAAGAAATCCCGTTTCCAACGAAGGCCTCAAAGAGGTCTGAATATCCACTTGCAGAGTTTACAAACAGAGTGTTTCCTAACTGCTCTATGAAAAGAAAGGTTAAACTCTGTGAGTTGAACGCACACATCACAAAGAAGTTTCTGAGAATCATTTCTGTCTATTTTTTATAGGAAGATATTTCCTTTTCTACCTTTGACTTCAAAGCGGCTGAAATCTCCACTTGCAAATTCCACAAAAAGAGTGTTACAAGTCTGCTCTGTGTAAAGGATCGTTCAACTCTGTGAGTTGAATACACACAACACAAGGAAGTTACTGAGAATTCTTCTGTGTAGCAGAATATGAAGAAATCCTGTTTCCAACGAAGGCCACAAGATGTCAGAATATCCACTTACAGAATTTACCAACAGAGTGTTTCCTAACTGCTCTATGAAAAGAAAGGTTAAACTCTGTGAGTTGAACGAACACATCACAACGCAGTTTGTGGGAATGATTCTGTCTAGTTTTGAAACGAAGATATTTCCTTTTCTGCCATTGACCTTAAAGCGCTTGAAATCTCCACTTGCCAATTGCACAAAAAGAGTATTTCAAATCTGCTCTGTCTAAGGGAACGTTCAACTCTGTGAGTTGAATGTACACAACACAAGGAAGTTACTGGGAATTCTTCTGTCTAGACTTACATGAAAAAAACCCGTTTCCAACGAAGGCCTCTAAGTGGTCAAATTATCCACGTGCAGACTTTACAAACAGAGTGTTTCCAAACTGCTGAAGGAAAAGAAAAGTTAAACTCTGAGAGTTGAACACACCCATCGCAGAGCAGTTTCTTAGAATGATTCTGTCTAGTTTTTATACGAAGATATTTCCTTTTCTACCATTGACCTCAAAGCGGCAGAAATCTCCACTTGCAAATTCCACAAAAAGAGTGTTTCAAGTCTGCTCTGTGTAAAGGATCGTTCAATTCTGTGAGTTGAATACACACAACACAAGGAAGTTACTGAGAATTCTTCTGTCTAGCAGAATATGAAGAAACCCCGCTTCCAACGAAGGCCTCAAAGAAGTCTGAATATCCACTTGCAGACTTTACAAACAGAGTGTTTCCCAACTGCTCTATGAAAAGAAAGGTTAAACTCTGTGAGTTGAACGCACACATCACAAAGGAGTTTCTGAGAATCATTCTGTCTAGTTTTTATACGAAGATATTTCCTTTTCTACCATTGACCTCAAAGCGGCTGAAATGTCCACTTGCAAATTCCACCAAAAGAGTGTTTCAAGTCTGCTCTGTGTAAAGGATCGTTCAACTCTGTGAGTTGAAAACACACAACACAAGGAAGTTCCTGAGAATTCTTCTGTCTAGCAGAATATGAAGAAATCCCGTTTCCAACGAAGGCCACAAGATGTCAGAATATCCACTTACAGACTTTACAAACAGAGTGTTTCCTAACTGCTCTATGAACAGAAAGCTTAAACTCTGTGAGTTGAACGAACACATCACAACGCAGTTTGTGGGAATGATTCTGTCTAGTTTTGAAAGGAAGATATTTCCTTTTCAGCCGTTGACCTTAAAGCGCTTGAAATCTACACTTGCAAATTGCAAAAATAGGCTGTTTCAAATCTGCTCTGTCTAAGGGAACGTTCAACTCTGTGAGTTGAATGCACACAACACAAGGAAGTTACTGAGAATTCTTCTGTCTAGCCTTAAAGGAAAGAAACCCGTTTCCAACGAAGGCCTCTAAGTGGTCAAAATATCCACGTGCAGACTTTACAAACAGAGGGTTTCCAAACTGCTGAATGAAAAGAAAAGTTAAACTCTGAGAGTTGAACGCACACATCACAGAGCAGTTTCTGAGAATGATTCTGTCTAGTTTTTATACGAAGATATTTCCTTTTCTGCCTTTGGCCCCAAAGCGCTTATAATCTCCACTTGCAAATTCCACAAAAACAGTGTTTCAAATCTGCTCTCTCTAAATGAAAGTTCAACTCTGTCAGTTGAATACACACAACAGAAAGAAGTTACTGAGAATTCTTCTGTCTAGCCTTATATGAAAAAAACCCGTTTCCAACGAAGGCCTCAAAGAGGGCTGAATATCCACTTGCAGACTTTACAAACAGAGTGTTTCCTAACTGCTCTATGAAAAGAAAGGTTAAACTCTGTGAGTTGAACGCACACATCACAAAGGAGTTTCTGAGAATCTATCTGTCTAGTCTTTATACGAAGATATTTCCTTTTCTACCATTGACCTCAAAGCGGCTGAAATCTCCACTTGCAAATTCCACAAAAAGAGTGTTTCAAGTCTGCTCTGTGTAAAGGATCGTTCAATTCTGTGAGTTGAATACACACAACACAAGGAAGTTACTGAGAATTTTTCTTTCTAGCAGAATATGAAGAAATCCCGTTTCCAACGAAAGCCTCAAGGATGTCTGAATATCCACTTGCAGACTTTACAAACAGAGTGTTTCCCAACTGCTCTATGAAAAGAAAGGTTAAACTCTGTGAGTTGAACGCACACATCACAAAGGAGTCTCTGAGAATCATTCTGTCTAGTTTTGAAACGAAGATATTTCCTTTTCTGCCATTGACCTTAAAGAGCTTGAAAACTACACTTGCAAATTGCACAAATAGAGTGTTTCAAATCTGCTCTGTCTAAGGGAACGTTCAACTCTCTGAGTTGAATGCACACAACACAAGGAAGTTACTGGGAATTCTTCTGTCTAGCCTTACAGGAAAAAAACCCGTTTCCAACGAAGGCCTCTAAGTGGTCAAAATATCCACGTGCAGACTTTACAAACAGAGTGTTTCCAAACTGTTGAATGAAAAGAAAAGTTAAACTCTGAGAGTTGAACGCACACATCGCAGAGCAGTTTCTGAGAATGATTCTGTCTAGTTTTGAAACGAAGATATTTCCTTTTCTACCATTTACCTCAACGCGGCTGAAATCTCCATTTGCAAATTCCACAAAAAGAGTGTTTCAAATCTGCTCTGTGTAAATGAAAGTTCAACTCTGTGAGTTGAACACACACAACACAAGGAAGTTACTGGGAATTCTTCTGTCTAGCATAATATGAAGAAATCCCGTTTCCAAAGAAGGCCTCAAAGAGGTCTGAATATCCACTTGCAGACTTTACAAACAGAGTGTTTCCTAACTGCTCTATGAAAAGAAAAGTTAAACTCTGTGAGTTGAACGCACACATCACAAAGGAGTTTCTGAGAATCATTCTGTCTAGTTTCTATAAGAAGATATTTCCTATTCTACCATTGACCTCAAAGCGGCTGAAATCTCCACTTGCAAATTCCAGAAAAAGAGTGTTTCAAGTCTGCTCTGTGTAAAGGATCGTTCAACTCTGTGAGTTGAATACACACAACACAAGGTAAGTTACTGAGAATTCTTCTGTCAGGCATAATATGAAGAAATCCCGTTTCCAACGAAGGCCTCAAAGAGGTCTGAATATCCACTTTCAGACTTTACAAACAGAGTGTTTCCTAACTGCTCTATGAAAAGAAAGGTTAAACTCTGTGAGTTGAACGCACACGTCAGAAAGGAGTTTCTGAGAATCATTCTGTCTAGTTTTGAAACGAAGATATTTCCTTTTCTGCCATTGACCTTAAAGCGCTTGAAATCTACACTTGCAAATTGCACAAATAGAGTGTTTCAAATCTGCTCTGTCTAAGGGAACGTTCAGCTCTGTGAGGTGAATGCACACAACACAAGGAAGTTACTGGGAATTCTTCTGTCTAGCCTTACATGAAAAAATCCCGTTTTCAACGAAGGCCTCTAAGTGGTCAAAATATCCACGTGCAGACTTTACAAACAGAGTGTTTCCAAACCGCTGAATGAAAAGAAAAGTTAAACTCTGAGAGTTGAACGCACACATTACGCAGCAGTTTCTGAGAATGATTCTGTCTAGTTTTTATACGAAGATATTTCCTTTTCTGCCTTTGGCCCCAAAGCGCTTGAAATCTCCACTTGCAAATTCCACAAAAACAGTGTTTCAAATCTGCTCTCTCTAAATGAAATTCAACTCTGTCATTTGAATACACACAACACAAGGAAGTTACTGAGAATTCTTCTGTCTAGCCTTATATGAAAAAAACCCGTTTCCAACGAAGGCCTCAAAGAGGTCAGAATATCCACTTGCAGACTTTACAAACAGAGTGTTTCCTAACTGCTCTATGAAAAGAAAGGTTAAACTCTGTGAGTTGAACACACACATCACAAAGGAGTTTCTGAGAATCATTCTGTCTAATCTTTATATGAAGATAGTTTCCTTTTCTACCATTGACCTCAAAGCGGCTGAAATCTCCACTTGCAAATTCCACAAAAAGAGTGTTTCAAGTCTGCTCTGTGTAAAGGATCGTTCAACTCTGTGAGTTGAATACACACAACACAAGGAAGTTACTGAGCATTCTTCTGTCTAGCAGAATATGAAGAAATCCCGTTTCCAACGAAGGCCACAAAATGTCAGAATATCCACTTACAGAATTTACCAACAGAGTGTTTCCTAACTGCTCTATGAAAAGAAAGGTTAAACTCTGTGAGTTGAACGAACACATCACAACGCAGTTTGTGGGAATGATTCTGTCTAGTTTTGAAACGAAGATATTTCCTTTTCTGCCATTGACCTTAAAGCGCTTGAAATCTCCACTTGCCAATTGCACAAAAAGAGTATTTCAAATCTGCTCTCTCTAAGGGAACGTTCAACTCTGTGAGTTGAATGTACACAACACAAGGAAGTTACTGGGAATTCTTCTGTCTAGCCTTACATGAAAAAAAACCGTTTCCAACGAAGGCCTCAAAGTGGTCAATATATCCACTTGCAGACTATACAAACAGAGTGCTTCCAAACTGCTGAATGAAAAGAAAAGTTAAACTCTGTGAGTTGAACGCACACATCACAGAGCAGTTTCTGAGAATGATTCTGTCTAGTTTCTATAGGAAGATATTTCCTATTCTACCATTGACCTCAAAGCGGCTGAAATCTCCACTTGCAAATTCCACAAAAAGAATGTTTCAAGTCTGCTCTGTGTAAAGGATTGTTCAACTCTGTGAGTTGAATACACACAACACAAGGAAGTTACTGAGAATTATTCTGTATAGCAGAATATGAAGAAATCCCGTTTCCAACGAAGGCCTCAAGGAGCTCTGAATATCCACTTGCAGACTTTACAAACAGAGTGTTTCCTAACTGCTCTATGAAAAGAAAGGTTAAACTCTGTGAGTTGAACGCACACATCACAAAGGAGTTTCTGAGAATCACTCTGTCTAGTTTCTATAGGAAGATATTTCCTATTCTAACATTGACCTCAAAGCGGCTGAAATCTCCACTTGCAAATTCCACAAAAAGAGTGTTTCAAGTCTGCTCTGTGTAAAGGATCGTTCAACTCTGTGAGTTGAATACACACAACACAAGGAAGTTACTGAGAATTCTTCTGTCTAGCATAATATGAAGAAATCCCGTTTCCAACGAATGCCTCAAGGAGGTCTGAATATCCACTTGCAGACTTTACAAACAGAGTGTTTTCTAACTGCTCTATGAAAAGAAAGGTTAAACTGTGTGAGTTGAACGCACACATCACAAAGGAGTTTCTGAGAATCATTCTGTCTAGTTTTTATACGAAGATATTCCCTTTTCTACCATAGACCTCAAAGCAGCTGAAATCACCACTTGCCAATTGCACAAAAAGAGTGTTTCAAATCTGCTCTGTCTAAGGGAACGTTCAACTCTGTGAGTTGAATGTACACAACACAAGTAAGTTACTGGGAATTCTTCTGTCTAGCCTTACAGGAAAAAAACCCGATTCCAACGAAGGCCTCTAAGTGGTCAAAATATCCACGTGCAGACTTTACAAACAGAGTGTTTCCAAACTGCTGAATGAAAAGAAAAGTTAAACTCTGAGAGTTGAACGCACACATCGCAGAGCAGTTACTGAGAATGATTCTGTCTAGTTTTTATACGAAGATATTTCCTTTTCGGCCTTTGGCCTCAAAGCGCTTGAAATCTCCACTTGCAAATTCCACAAAAAGAGTGTTTCAGATCTGCTCTGTCTAAATGAAAGTTCAACTCTGTCAGTTGAATACACACAACACAAGGAAGTTACTGAGAATTCTTCTGTCTAGCATAATATGAAGAAATCCCGTTTCCAACGAAGGCCTCAAGGAGGTCTGAATATCCACTTGCAGACTTTACAAACAGAGTGTTTCCTAACTACTCTATGAAAAGAAAGGTTAAACTCTGTGAGTTGAATGCACACATCACAAAGGAGTTTCTGAGAATCATTCTGTCTAGTTTCTATAAGAAGATATTTCCTATTCTACCATTGACCTCAAAGCGGCTGAAATCTCCACTTGCAAATTCCACAAAAGGAGTGTTTCAAGTCTGCTCTGTGTAAAGGATCGTTCAACTCTGTGAGTTGAATACACACAACACAAGGCAGTTACTGAGAATTCTTCTGTCTAGCAGAATATGAAGAAATCCCGTTTCCAACGAAGGCCACAAGATGTCACAATATCCACTTACAGACTTTACAAACAGAGTGTTTCCTAACTGCTCTATGAACGGAAAGGTTAAACTCTGTGAGTTGAACGAACACATCACAACGCAGTTTGTGGGAATGATTCTGTCTAGTTTTTATAGGAAGATATTTCCTTTTCTACCTCTGACTTCACAGCGGCTGAAATCTCCACTTGCAAATTCCACAAAAAGAGTGTTACAAGTCTGCTCTGTGTAAAGGATCGTTCAACTCTGTGAGTTGAATACACACAACACAAGGAAGTTACTGAGAATTCTTCTGTCTAGCCTTACATGAAAAAAACCCGTTTCCAACGAAGGCCTCTATGTGGTCAAATTATCCACGTACAGACTTTACAAACAGAGTGTTTTCAAACTGCTGAATGAAAAGAAAAGTTAAACTCTGAGAGTTGAACACACACAATGCAGAGCAGTTTCTGAGAATGATTCTGTCTACTTTTGAAACGAAGACATTTCCTTTTCTGCCTTTGGCCTCAAAGCGCTTGAAATCTCCATTTGCAAATTCCACAAAAAGAGTGTTTCAAATCTGCTCTGTGTAAATGAAAGTTCAACTCTGTGAGTTGAACACACACAACACAAGGAAGTTACTGGGAATTCTTCTGTCTAGCCTTATATGAAAAAAACCCGTTTCCAACGAAGGCCTCAAAGAGGTCTGAGTATCCACTTGCAGACTTTACAAACAGAGTGTTTCCTAACTGCTCTATGAAAAGAAAGGTTAAACTCTGTGAGTTGAACGCACACATCACAAAGGAGTTTCTGAGAATCATTCTGTCTAGTTTCTATAGGAAGATATTTCCTATTCTACCATTGACCTCAAAGCGGCTGAAATCTCCACTTGCAAATTCCAGAAAAAGAGTGTTTCAACTCTGCTCTGTGTAAGAGATCGTTCAACTCTGTGAGTTGAATACACACAACACAAGGAAGTTACTGAGAATTCTTCTGTCTAGCAAAATATGAAGAAATCCCGTTTCCAACGAAGGCCTCAAAGAGGTCTGAATATCCACTTGCAGACTTTACAAACAGAGTGTTTCCTAACTGCTCTATGAGAAGAAAAGTTAAACTCTGTGAGTTGAACGCACACATCACAAAGGAGTTTCTGAGAATCGTTCTGTCTAGTTTTTATACGAAGATATTTCCTTTTCTACCATTGACCTCAAAGAGGCTGAAATCACCACTTGCCAATTGCACAAAAAGAGTGTTTCAAATCTGCTCTGTCTAAGGGAACGTTCAACTCTGTGAGTTGAATGTACACAACACAAGGAAGTTACTGGGAATTCTTCTGTCTAGCCTTACAAGAAAAAAACCCGTTTCCAACGAAGGCCTCTAAATGGTCAAAATATCCACGTGCAGACTTTACAAACAGAGTGTTTCCAAACTGCTGAATGAAAAGAAAAGTTAAACTCTGAGAGTTGAACGCACACATCGCAGAGCAGTTTCTGAGAATGATTCTGTCTAGTTTCTATAGGAAGATATTTCCTATTCTACCATTGAACTCAAAACGGCTGAAATCTCCACTTGCAAATTCCACAAAAAGAGTGTTTCAAGTCCGCTCTGTGTAAAGGATCATTCAATTCTGTGAGTTGAATACACACAACACAAGGGAAGTTACTGAGAATTCTTCTGTCTAGCAGAATATGAAGAAAACCCGTTTCCAACGAAGGCCTCAAAGGGGTCTGAATATCCACTTGCAGACTTTATAAACAGAGTGTTTACTAACTGCTCTATGAAAAGAAAGGTTAAACTCTGTGAGTTGAACACACACATCACAAAGGAGTTTCTGAGAATCATTCTGTCTAGTTTTTATAGGAAGATATTTCCTTTTCTACCTTTGACGTCAAAGCGGCTGAAATCTCCACTTGCAAATTCCACAAAAAGAGTGTTACAAGTCTGCTCTGTGTAAAGGATCGTTCAACTCTGTGAGTTGAATACACACAACACAAGGAAGTTACTGAGAATTCTTCTGTCTAGCATAGTATGAAGAAATCCCGTTTCCAACGAAGGCCTCAAAGAGGTCTGAACATCCACTTGCAGAGTTTTCAAACAGAGTGTTTCCTAACTGCTCTATGAAAAGAAAGGTTAAACTCTGTGAGTTGAACGCACACATCACAAAGAAGTTTCTGAGAATCATTCTGTCTAGTTTTGAAACGAAGATATTTCCTTTTCTGCCATTGACCTTAAAGCGCTTGAAATCTCCACTTGCCAATTGCACAAAAAGAGTGTTTCAAATCTGCTCTGTCTAAGGGAACGTTCAACTCTGTGAGTTGAATACACACAACACAAGGAAGTTACTGAGAATTCTTCTGTCTAGCCTTACATGAAAAAAACCCGTTTCCAACGAAGTCCTCTAAGTGGTCAAATTATCCACGTGCAGACTTTACAAACAGAGTGTTTCCAAACTGCTGAATGAAAAGAAAAGTTAAACTCTGAGAGTTGAACGCACACATCGCAGAGCAGTTTCTGAGAATGATTCTGTCTAGTTTTTCTACGAAGATATTTCCTTTTCTACAATTGACCTCAAAGCGGCTGAAATCTCCACTTGCAAATTCCACAAAAAGAGTGTTTCAAGTCTGCTCTGTGTAAAGGTTCGTTCAACTCTGTGAGTTGAATACACACAACACAAGGAAGTTACTGAGAATTCTTCTGTCTAGCAGAATATGAAGAAATCCCGTTTCCAACGAAGGCTTCAAAGAGGTCTGAATATCCACTTGCAGACTTTACAAACAGAGTGTTTCCTAACTGCTCTATGAAAAGAAAGGTTAAACTCTGTGAGTTGAACGCACACATCACAAAGGAGTTTCTGAGAATCATTCTGTCTAGTTTCTATAGGAAGATATTTCCTATTCTACCATTGACCTCAAAGCGGCTGAAATCTCCACTTGCAAATTCCACAAAAAGAGTGTTTCAAGACTGTTCTGTGTAAAGGATCATTCAACTCTGTGAGTTGAAAACACACAACACCACGAAGTTACTGAGAATTCTTCTGTCTAGCAGAATATGAAGAAATCCCGTTTCCATCGAAGGCTTCAAAGAGGTCTGAATATCCACTTGCAGACTTTACAAACAGAGTGTTTCCTAACTGCTCTATGAACAGAAAGGTTAAACTCTGTGAGTTGAACGAACACATCACAACGCAGTTTGTGGGAATGATTCTGTCTAGTTTTTATAGGAAGATATTTCCTTTTCTACCTTTGACTTCAAAGCGGCTGAAATCTCCACTTGCAAATCCCACAAAAAGAGTGTTACAAGTCTGCTCTGTGTAAAGGATCGTTCAACTGTGTGAGTTGAATACACACAACACAAGGAAGTTACTGAGAATTCTTCTGTCTAGCCTTACATGAAAAAAAACCCGTTTCCAACGAAGGCCTCTAAGTGGTCAAAATATCCACGTGCAGACTTTAAAAACAGAGTGTTTCCAAACCGCTGAATGAAAAGAAAAGTTAAACTCTGAGAGTTGAACGCACACATCACGCAGCAGTTTCTGAGAATGATTCTGTCTAGTTTTGAAACGAAGATATTTCCTTTTCTGCCTTTGGCCTCAAAGCGCTTGAAATCTCCACTTGCAAATTCCACAAAAAGAGTGTTTCAAATCTGCTCTGTGTAAATGAAAGTTCAACTCTGGGAGTTGAACACACACAAGACAAGGAAGTTACTGGGAATTCTTCTGTATAGCAGAATATGAAGAAATCCAGTTTCCAACGAAAGCCTCAAAGATGTCTGAATATCCACTTGCAGACTTTACAAACAGAGTGTTTCCTAACTGCTCTATGAAAAGAAAGGTTAAACTCTGTGAGTTCGAACGCCCACATCACAAAGGAGTTTCTGAGAATCATTCTGTCTAGTTTCTATAGGAAGATATTTCCTATTCTACCATTGACCTCAAAGCGGCTGAAATCTCCACTTGCAAATTCCACAAAAAGAGTGTTTCAAGTCTGCTCTGTGTAAAGGATCGTTCAACTCTGTGAGTTGAATACACACAACACAAGGAAGTTGCTGAGAATTCTTCTGTCTAGCAGAATATAAAGAAATCCCGTTTCCAACGAAGGCCACAAGATGTCAGAATATCCACTTACAGACTTTACAAACAGAGTGTTTCCTAACTGCTCTAAGAACAGAAAGGTTAAACTCTGTGAGTTGAACGAACACATCACAACGCAGTTTGTGGGAATGATTCTGTCTAGTTTTGAAACGGAGATATATCCTTTTCTGCCATTGACCTTAAAGCGCTTGAAATCTACACTTGCAAATTACACAAATAGAGTGTTTCAAATCTGCTCTGTCTAAGGGAACGTTCATCTCTGTGAGTTGAATGCACACAACACAAGGAAGTTACTGGGAATTCTTCTGTCTAGCCTTACATGAAAAAAACCCGTTTCCAACGAAGGCCTCTAAGTGGTCAAATTATGCACGTGCAGACTTTACAAACAGAGTGTTTCCAAACTGCTGAATGAAAAGAAAAGTTAAACTCTGAGAGGTGAACGCACACATCGCAGAGCAGTTTCTGAGAATCATTCTGTCTAGTTTTGAAACGAAGATATTTCCTTTTCTGCCTTTGGCCTCAAAGCGCTTGAAATCTCCACTTGCAAATTCCACAAAAAGAGTGTTTCAAATCTGCTCTGTGTAAATGAAAGTTCAACTCCTGTGAGTTGAACACACACAACACAAGGAAGTTACTGGGAATTCTTCTGTCTAGCCTTACATGAAAAAAACCCGTTTCCAACGAAGGCCTCAAAGTAGGTCTGAATATCCACTTGCAGACTTTAAAAACAGAGTGTTTCCCAACTGCTCTATGAAAAGAAAGGTTAAACTCTGTGAGTTGAACGCACACATCACAAAGAAGTTTCTGAGAATCATTCTGTCTAGTTTTTATACGAAGATATTTCCTTTTCTACCATGGACCTCAAAGCGGCTGTAATCTCCACTTGCAAATTCCACAAAAAGAGTGGTTCAAGTCTGCTCTGTGTAAAGGATCATTCAACTCTCTGAGTTGAATACACACAACAGAAGGAAGATTCTGAGAATTCTTCTGTCTAACAGAATATGAAGAAATCCCGTTTCCAACGAAGGCCACAAGATGTCAGAATATCCACTTACAGACTTTACAAACAGAATGTTTCCTAACTGCTCTATGAACAGAAAGGTTAAACTCTGTGTGTTGAACGCACACATCACAAAGGAGTTTATGACAATCATTCTGTCTAGTTTTGAAACGAAGATATTCCCTTTTCTGCCATTGACCTTAAAGCGCTTGAAATCTCCATTTGCCAATTGCACAAAAAGAGTGTTTCAAATCTGCTCTGTCTAAGGGAACGTTCAAATCTGTGAGTTGAATGTACACAACACAAGGAAGTTACTGGGAATTCTTCTGTCTAGCCTTACATGAAAAAAACCCGTTTCCAACGAAGGCCTCTAAGTGGTCAAAATATCCACGTGCAGACTTTACAAACAGAGTGTTTCCAAACCGCTGAATGAAAAGGAAAGTTAAACTCTGAGAGTTGAACGCACACATCACGCAGCAGTTTCTGAGAATGATTCTGTCTAGTTTTTATACGAAGATATTTCCTTTTCTGCCTTTGGCCCCAAAGCGCTTGAAATCTCCACTGGCAAATTCCACAAAAACAGTGTTTCAAATCTGCTCTCTCTAAATGAAAGTTCAACTCTGTCAGTTGAATACACACAACACAAGGAAGTTACTGAGAATTCTTCTGTCTAGCAGAAAATGAAGAAATCCCGTTTCCAACGAAGGCCTCAAAGAGGTCTGAATATCCACTTGCAGACTTTACAAACAGAGTGTTTCCTAACTGCTCTATGAAAAGAAAAGTTAAACTCTGTGAGTTGAACGCACACATCACAAAGGAGTTTCTGAGAATCATTCTGTCTAGTTTCTATAGGAAGATATTCCCTATTCTACCATTGACCTCAAAGCGGCTGAAATCCCCACTTGCAAATTCCACAAAAAGAGTGTTTCAAGTCTGCTCTGTGTAAAGCGTCGTTCAACTCTGTGAGTTGAATACACACAACACAAGGAAGTTTCTGAGAATTCTTCTGTCTAGCACAGTATGAAGAAATCCCGTTTCCAACGAAGGCCTCAAACAGGTCTGAATATCCACTTGCAGACTTTACAAACAGAGTGTTTCCTAACTACTCTATGAAAAGAAAGGTTAAACTCTGTGAGTTGAACGCACACATCACAAAGGAGTTTGTGAGAATCATTCTGTCTAGTTTTGAAACGAAGATATTTCCTTTTCTGCCATTGAACTTATAGCGCTTGAAATCTCCATTTGCCAATTGCACAAAAAGAGTGTTTCAAATCTGCTCTGTCTAAGGGAACGTTCAACTCTGTGAGTTGAATGTACACAACACAAGGAAGTTACTGGGAATTCTTCTGTCTAGCCTTATATGAAAAAAACCCGTTTCCAAAGAAGGCCTCTAAGTGGTCAAATTATCCACGTGCAGACTTTACAAACAGAGTGTTTCCAAACTGCTGAATGAAAAGAAAAGTTAAACTGTGAGAGTTGAACGCACACATCGCAGAGCAGTTTCTGAGAATGATTCTGTCTAGTTTTTATACGAAGATATTTCCTTTTCTGACTTTGGCCTCAAAGCGCTTGAAATCTCCACTTGCAAATTCCACAAAAAGAGTGTTTCAAATCTGCTCTGTCTAAATGAAAGTTCAACTCTGTCAGTTGAATACACACAACACAAGGAAGTTACTGAGAATTCTTCTGTCTAGCATAATATGAAGAAATCCCGTTTCCAACGAAGGCCTCAAAGGGGTCTGAATATCCACTTGCAGACTTTATAAACAGAGTGTTTACTTACTGCTCTATGAAAAGAAAGGTTCAACTCTGTGAGTTGAACACACACATCACAAAGGAGTTTCTGAGAATCATTCTCTCTAGTTTCTATAGGAAGATATTTCCTATTCTACCATTGAACTCAAAGCGGCTGAAATCTCCACTTGCAAATTCCACAAAAAGAGTGTTTCAAGTCTGCTCTGTGTAAAGGATCGTTCAACTCTGTGAGTTGAATACACACAACACAAGGAAGTTACTGAGAATTCTTCTGTCTAGCAGAATATGAAGAAATCCCGTTTCCAACGAAGGCCACAAGATGTCAGAATATCCACTTACAGAATTGACAAACAGACTGTTTCCTAACTGCTCTATGAAAAGAAAGGTTAAACTCTGTGAGTTGAACGCACACATCACAAAGGAGTTTCTGAGAATCATTCTGTCTAGTTTTGAAACGAAGATATTTCCTTTTCTGCCGTTGACCTTAAAGAGCTTGAAAACTACACTTGCAAATTGCACAAATAGAGTGTTTCAAATCTGCTCGGTCTAAGGGAACGTTCAACTCTGTGAGTTGAATGCTCACAACACAAGGAAGTTACTGGGAATTCTTCTGTCTAGCCTTACAGGAAAAAAACCCGTTTCCAACGAAGGCCTCTAAGTGGTCAAAATATCCACGTGCAGACTTTACAAACAGAGTGTTTCCAAACTGCTGAATGAAAAGAAAAGTTAAACACTGAGAGTTGAACGCACACATCGCAGAGCAGTTTCTGAGAATGATTCTGTCTAGTTTTTATACGAAGATATTGCCTTTTCTACCATTGACCTCAAAGCGGCTGAAATCTCCACTTGCCAATTCCACAAAAAGAGTGTTTCAAGTCTACTCTGTGTAAAGGATCGTTGTACTCTGTGAGTTGAAAACACACAACACAAGGAAGTTTCTGAGAATTCTTCTGTCTAGCATAATATGAAGAAATCCCGTTTCCAACGAAGACCTCAAAGAGGTCTGAATATCCACTTGCAGACTTCATAAACAGAGTGTTTACTAACTGCTCTATGAAAAGAAACGTTAAACTCTGTGAGTTGAACACACACATCACAAAGGAGTTTCTGAGAATCATTCTGTCTAGTTTTTATAGGAGGATATTTCCTTTTCTAACTTTGACTTCAAAGCGGCTGAAATCTCCACTTGAAAATTCCACAAAAAGAGTGTTACAAGTCTGCTCTGTGTAAAGGATCGTTCAACTCTGTGAGTGGAATACACACAACACAAGGAAGTTACTGAGAATTCTTCTGTCTAGCAGAATATGAAGAAATCCCGTTTCCAACGAAGGCCACAAGATGTCAGAATATCCACTTACAGAATTGACAAACAGACTGTTTCCTAACTGCTCTATGAAAAGAAAGGTTAAACTCTGTGAGTTGAACGAACACATCACAACGTAGTTTGTGGGAATGATTCTGTCTAGTTTTGAAACGAAGATATTTCCTTTTCTGCCGTTGACCTTAAAGCGCTTGAAATCTACACTTGCAAATTGCACAAATAGAGTGTTTCAAATCTGCTCTGTGTAAAGGATCATTCAACTCTGTGAGTTGAATAAACACAACACAAGGAAGTTACTGAGAATTCTTCTGTCTAGCCTTACATGAAAAAAACCCGTTTCCAACGAAGGCCTCTAAGTGGTCAAAATATGCACGTTCAGACTTTACAAACAGAGTGTTTCCAAACCGCTGAATGAAAAGAAAAGTTAAACTCTGAGTGTTGAACGCACACATCACGCAGCAGTTTCTGAGAATGATTCTGTCTAGTTTTTATACGAAGATATTTCCTTTTCTGCCTTTGGCCCCAAAGCGCTTGAAATCTCCACTTGCAAATTCCACAAAAACAGTGTTTCAAAACTACTCTCTCTAAATGAAAGTTCAACTCTGTCAGTTGAATACACACAACACAAGGAAGTTACTGAGAATTCTTCTGTCTAGCACAGTATGAAGAAATCCCGTTTCCAACGAAGGCCTCAAAGAGGTTTGAATATCCACTTGCAGAGTTTACAAACAGAGTGTTTCCTAACTGCTCTATGAAAAGAAAGGTTAAACTCTGTGAGTTGAACGCACACATCACAAAGAAGTTTCTGAGAATCATTCTGTCTAGTCTTTATACGAAGATATTTCCTTTTCTACCATTGACCTCAAAGCGGATGAAATCTCCACTTGCAAATTCCACAAAAAGAGTGTTTCAAGTCTGCTCTCTGTAAAGGATCGTTCAACTCTCTGAGTTGAATACACTCAACACACGGAAGTTACTGAGAATTACTCTGTCTAGGAAAATATGAAGAAATCCCGTTTCCAACGAAGGCCACAAGATGTCAGAATATCCACTTACAGAATTGACAAACAGACTGTTTCCTAACTGCTCTATGAAAAGAAAGGTTAAACTCTGTGAGTTGAACGAACCATCACAACGCAGTTTGTGGGAATGATTCTGTCTAGTTTTTATACGAAGATATTTCCTTTTCTACCATTGACCTCAAAGCGGTTGAAATCACCACTTGCCAATTGCACAAAAAGAGTGTTTCAAATCTGCTCTGTCTAAGGGAACGTTCAACTCTGTGAGTTGAATGTACACAACACAAGGAAGTTACTGGGAATTCTTCTCTATAGCCTTACATGAAAAAAACCCGTTTCCGACGAAGGCCTCTAAGTGGTCAAAATATCCACGTGCAGACTTTACAAACAGAGTGTTTCCAAACTGCTGAATGAAAAGAAAAGTTAAACTCTGAGAGTTGAACGCACTCATCGCAGAGCAGTTTCTGAGAATCATTCTGTCTAGTTTTGAAACGAAGACATTTCCTTTTCTGCCTTTGGCCTCAAAGCGCTTGAAATCTCCATTTGCAAATTCCACAAAAAGAGTGTTTCAAATCTGCTCTGTGTAAATGAAAGTTCAATTCTGTGAGTTGAACACACACAACACAAGGAAGTTACTGGGAATTCTTCTGTCTAGCCTTATATGAAAAAATCCCGTTTCCAACGAAGGCCTCAAAGAGGTCTGAATATCCACTTGCAGACTTTACAAACAGAGTGTTTCCTAACTGCTCTATGAAAAGAAAGGTTAAACTCTGTGAGTTGAACCCACACATCACAAAGGAGTTTCTGAGAATCATTCTGTCTAGTTTCTATAGGAAGATATTTCCTATTCTACCATTGACCTCAAAGCGGCTGAAATCTCCACTTGCAAATTCCGCAAAAAGAGTGTTTCAAGTCTGCTCTGTGTAAAGGATCGTTCAACTCTGTGAGTTGAATACACACAACACAAGGAAGTTACTGAGAATTCTTCTGTCTAGCAGAATATGAAGAAATCCCGTTTCCAACGAAGGCCACAATATGTCAGAATATCCACTTACAGAATTTACAAACAGACTGTTTCCTAACTGGTCTATGAAAAGAAAGGTTAAACTCTGTGAGTTGAACGAACACATCACAACGCAGTTTGTGGGAATGATTCTGTCTAGTTTTGAAACGAAGATATTTCCTTTTCTGCCATTGACCTTAAAGCGCTTGGAATCTACTCTTGCAAATTGCACAAATAGAGTGTTTCAAATCTGCTGTGTCTAAGGAACGTTCAACTCTGTGAGTTGAATGCACCCAACACAAGGAAGTTACTGGGAATTCTTCTGTCTAGCCTTACAGGAAAAAAACCCGTTTCCAACGAAGGCCTCTAAGTGGTCAAAATATCCACGTGCAGACTTTACAAACAGAGTGTTTCCAAACTGCTGAATGAAAAGAAAAGTTAAACTCTGAGAGTTGAACGCACACATCGCAGAGCAGTTTCTGAGAATGCTTCTGTCTAGCCTTACATGAAAAAAAACCCGTTTCCAACGAAGGCCTCAAAGAGGTGAAAATATCCACTTGCAGACTTTATAAACAGAGTGTTTCCTAACTGCTCTATGAAAAGAAAGTTAAACTCTGTGAGTTGAACACCCACATCACAAAAGAGTTTCTGAGAATCATTCTGTCTAGTTTCTATAAGAAGATATTTCCTATTCTACCATTGACCTCAAAGCGGCTGAAATCTCCACTTGCAAATTCGACAAAAAGAGTGTTTCAATCCTGATCTCTGTAAAGGATCGTTCAACTCTGTGAGTTGAATACACACAACACAAGGAAGTTACTGAGAATTATTCTGTCTAGCAGAATATGAAGAAATCCCGTTTCCAACGAAGACCACAAGATGTCAGAATATCCACTTACAGAATTTACAAACAGACTGTTTCCCAACTGCTCTATGATAAGAAAGGTTAAACTCTGTGAGTTGAACGAACACATCACAACGCAGTTTTTGGGAATGATTCTGTCTAGTTTTGAAACGAAGATATTTCCTTTTCTGCCATTGACCTTAAAGCGCTTGAAATCTCCCCTTGCCAATTGCACAAAAAGAGTGTTTCAAATCTGCTCTGTCTAAGGGAACGTTCAACTCTGTGAGTTGAATGTACACAACACAAGGAAGTTACTGGGAATTCTTCTGTCTAACCTTACAGGAAAAAAACCCGTTTCCAATGAAGGCCTCTAAGTGGTCAAATTATCCACGTGCAGACTTTACAAACAGAGTGTTTCCAAACTGCTGAATGAAAAGAAAAGTTAAACTCTGAGAGTTGAACGCACACATCGCAGAGCAGTTTCTGAGAATGATTCTGTCTAGTCTTTATACGAAGATATTTACTTTTCTACCGTTGACCTCAAAGCGGCTGAAATCTCCACTTGCAAATTCCACAAAAAGAGTGTTTCAATTCTGCTCTGTGTAAAGGATCATTCAACTCTGTGAGTTGAATAAACACAACACAAGGAAGTTACTGAGAATTCTTCTGTCTAGCCTTATATAAAAAAAACCCGTTTCCAACGAAGGCCTCAAAGAGGGCTGAATATCCACTTGCAGACTTTACAAGCAGAGTGTTTCCTAACTGCTCTATGAAAAGAAAGGTTAAACTCTGTGAGTTGAACGCACACATCACAAAGGAGTTTCTGAGAATCATTCTGTCTAGTTTTTATAGGAAGATATTTCCTTTTCTACCTTTGACTTCAAAGCGGCTGAAATCTCCACTTGCAAATTCCACAAAAAGAGTGTTACAAGTCTGCTCTGTGTAAAGGATCGTTCAACTCTGTGAGTTGAATACACACAACACAAGGAAGTTACTGAGAATTCTTTCTGTCTAGCAGAATATGAAGAAATCCCGTTTCCAACGAAGGCCTCAAGGAGGTCTGAATATCCACTTGCAGACTTTACAAACAGAGTGTTTTCTAACTGCTCTATGAACAGAAAAGTTAAACTCTGTGACTTGAACGAACACATCACAACGCAGTTTGTGGGAATGATTCTGTCTAGTTTTGAAACGAAGATATTTCCTTTTCTGCCATTGACCTTAAAGCGCTTGAAATCTACACTTGCAAATTGCACAAATAGAGTGTTTCAAATCTGCTCTGTCTAAGGGAATGTTCAACTCTGTGAGTTGAATGCACACAACACAAGGAAGTTACTGGGAATTCTTCTGTCTAGCCTTACAGGAAAAAAACCCGTTTCCAACGAAGGCCTCTAAGTGGTCAAAATATCCACGTGCAGACTTTACAACCAGAGTGTTTCCAAACTGCTGAATGAAAAGAAAAGTTAAACTCTGAGAGTTGAACGCACACATCGCAGAGCAGTTTCTGAGAATGATTCTGTCTAGTTTTTATACGAAGATATTTCCTTTTCTGCCTTTGGCCTCAAAGAGTTTGAAATCTCCATTTGCAAATTCCACAAAAAGAGTGTTTCAAATCTACTCTGTGTAAATGAAAGTTCAACTCTGTGAGTTGAACACACACAACACATGGAAGTTACTGGGAATTCTTCTGTCTAGCCTTATATGAAAAAAACCCGTTTCCAACGAAGGCCTCAAAGAGGTCTGAATATCCACTTGCAGACTTTAGAAACAGAGTGTTTCCTAACTGCTCTATGAAAAGAAAGGTTAAACTCTGTGAGTTGAACACACACATCACAAAGGAGTTTCTGAGAATCATTCTGTCTAGTTTGTATAAGAAGATATTTCCTATTCTACCATTGACCTCAAAGCGGCTGAAATCTCCACTTGCAAATTCGACAAAAAGAGTGTTTCAAGCCTGCTCTCTGTAAAGGATCCTTCAACTCTGTGAGTTGAATACACACAACACAAGGAAGTTACTGAGAATTATTCTGTCTAGCAGAATATGAAGAAATCCCGTTTCCAACGAAGGCCACAAGATGTCAGAATATCCACTTACAGACTTTACAAACAGAGTGTTTCCTAACAGCTCTATGAACAGAAAGGTTAAACTCTGTGAGTTGAACGAACACATCACAACGCAGTTTGTGGGAATGATTCTGTCTAGTTTTGAAACGAAGATATTTCCTTTTCTGCCATTGACCTTAAAGCGCTTGAAATCTCCACTTGCCAATTGCACAAAAAGAGTGTTTCAAATCTGCTCTGTCTAAGGGAACGTTCAACTCTGTGAGTGGAATGTACACAACACAAGGAAGTTACTGGGAATTCTTCTGTCTAGCCTTACATGAAAAAAACCCGTTTCCAACGAAGGCCTCTAAGTGGTCAAAATATCCACGTGCAGACTTTACAAACAGAGTGTTTCCAAACCGCTGAATGGAAAGAAAAGTTAAACTCTGAGAGTTGAACGCACACATCACGCAGCAGTTTCTGAGAATGATTCTGTCTACTTTTTATACGAAGATATTTCCTTTTCTGCCTTTGGCCCCAAAGCGCTTGAAATCTCCAATTGCAAATTCCACAAAAACAGTGTTTCAAATCTGCTCTCTCTAAATGAAAGTTCAATTCTGTCAGTTGAATACACACAACACAAGGAAGTTACTGAGAATTCTTCTCTCTAGCCTTATATGAAAAAAACCCGTTTCCAACGAAGGCCTCAAAGAGGTCTGAATATCCACCTGCAGACTTTACAAACAGAGTGATTCCTAACTGCTCTATGAAAAGAAAGGTTAAACTCTGTGAGTTGAACACACACATCTCAAAGGAGTTTCTGAGAATCATTTCTGTCTAGTTTTTATACGAAGATATTTCCTTTTCTACCATTGACCTCAAGGCGGCTGAAATCTCCACTTGCAAATTACACAAAAAGAGTGTTTCAAGTCTACTCTGTGTAAAGCATCGTTCAACTCTGTGAGTTGAAAACACACAACACAAGGAAGTTTCTGAGAATTCTTCTGTCTAGCAGAATATGAAGAAATCCCGTTTCCAACGAAGGCCACAAGATGTCAGAATATCCACTTACAGAATTTACAAACAGACTGTTTCCTAAGTGCTCTATGAAAAGAAAGGTTAAACTCTGTGAGTTGAACGAACACATCACAACGCAGTTTGTGGGAATTATTCTGTCTAGTTTTGAAACGAAGATATTTCCTTTCCTGCCATTGACCTTAAAGCGCTTGAAATCTCCATTTGCCAATTGCACAAAAAGAGTGTTTCAAATCTGCTCTGTCTAAGGGAACGTTCAACTCTGTGAGTTGAATGTACACAACACAAGGAAGTTACTGGGAATTCTTCTGTCTAGCCTTACAGGAAAAAAACCCGTTTCCAACGAAGTCCTCTAAGTGGTCAAGTTATCCACGTGCAGACTTTACAAACAGAGTGTTTCCAAACTGCTGAATGAAAAGAAAAGTTAAACTCTTGAGAGTTGAACGCACACATCGCAGAGCAGTTTCTGAGAATGATTCTGTCTAGTTTTTATACGAAGATATTTCCTTTTCTGCCTTTGGCCTCAAAGCGCATGAAATCTCCACTTGCAAATTCCACAAAAAGAGTGTTTCCAATCTGCTCTGTGTAAATGAAAGTTCAACTCTGTGAGTTGAACACACACAACACAAGGAAGTTACTGGGAATTCTTCTTTCTAGCATAATATGAAGAAATCCCGTTTCCAACGAAGGCCTCAAGGAGGTCTGAATATCCACTTGCAGACTTTACAAACAGAGTGTTTCCTAACTGCTCTATGAAAAGAAAGGTTAAACTCTGTGAGTTGAACGCACACATCACAAAGGATTTCTCAGAATCATTCTGTCTAGTTTCTATAGGAAGATATTTCCTATTCTACCATTGACCTCAAAGCGGCTGAAATCTCCACTTGCAAATTCCACAAAAGGAGTGTTTCAAGTCTCCTCTGTGTAAAGGATCGTTCAACTCTGTGAGTTGAATACACACAACACAAGGAAGTTACTGAGAATTCTTCTGTCTAGCAGAATATGAAGAAATTCCGTTTCCAACGAAGGCCACAAGATGTCAGAATATCCACTTACAGACTTTACAAACAGAGTGTTTCCTAACTGCTCTATGAACAGAAAGTTTAAAATCTGTGAGTTGAACGAGCACTTCACAACGCAGTTTGTGGGAATGATTCTGTCTAGTTTTGAAACGAAGATATTTCCTTTTCTGCCGTTGACCTTAAAGAGCTTGAAAACTACACTTGCAAATTGCACAAATAGAGTGTTTCAAATCTGCTCTGTCTAAGGGAACGTTCAACTCTGTGAGTTGAATGCACACAACACAAGGAAGTTACTGGGAATTCTTCTGTCTAGCCTTACATGAAAAAAACCCGTTTCCAACGAAGGCCTCTAAGTGGTCAAAATTTCCACGTGCAGACTTTACAAACAGAGTGTTTCCAAACTGCTGAATGAAAAGAAAAGTTAAACTCTGAGAGTTGAACGCACACATCACGCAGCAGTTTCTGAGAATGATTCTGTCTAGTTTTTATACGAAGATATTTCCTTTTCTGCCTTTGGCCCAAAAGCGCTTGAAATCTCCACTTGCAAACTCCACAAAAACAGTGTTTCAAATCTGCTCTCTCTAAATGAAAGTTCAACTCTGTCAGTTGAATACACACAACACAAGGAAGTTACTGAGAATTCTTCTGTCTAGCATAATATGAAGAAATCCCGTTTCCAACGAAGGCCTCAAAGAGGTCTGAATATCCACTTGCAGACTTTACAAACAGAGTGTTTCCTAACTGCTCTATGAAAAGAAAAGTTAAACTCTGTGAGTTGAACACACACATCACAAAGGAGTTTCTGAGAATCATTCTGTCTAGTCTTTATACGAAGATATTTCCTTTTCTACCATTGACCTCAAAGCTGCTGAAATCTCCACTTGCAAATTCCACAAAAAGAGTGTTTCAAGTCTGCTCTGTGTAAAGGATCGTTCAACTCTGTGAGTTGAATACACACAACACAAGGAAGTTACTGAGAATTCTTCTGTCTAGCAGAATATGAAGAAATCCCGTTTCCAACGAAGGCCACAAGATGTCAGAATATCCACTTAGAGACTTTACAAACAGTGTGTTTCCTGACTGCTCTATGAACGGAAAGGTTAAACTCTGTGAGTTGAACGAACACATCACAATGCAGTTTGTGGGAATGATTCTGTCTAGTTTTTATACGAAGATATTTCCTTTTCTACCATTGACCTCAAAGCGGCTGAAATCACCACTTGCCAATTGCACAAAAAGAGTGTTTCAAATCTGCTCTGTCTAAGGGAACGTTCAACTCTGTGAGTTGAATGTACACAACAGAAGGAAGTTACTGGGAATTCTTCTGTCTAGCCTTACATGAAAAAAACCCGTTTCCAACGAAGGCCTCTAAGTGGTCAAAATTTCCACGTGCAGACTTTACAAACAGAGTGTTTCCAAACCGCTGAATGAAAAGAAAAGTTAAACTCTGAGAGTTGAAAGCACACATCACGCAGCAGTTTCTGAGAATGATTCTGTCTAGTTTTTATACGAAGATATTTCCTTTTCTGCCTTTGTCCTCAAAGCGCTTGAAATCTCCACTTGCAAATTCCACAAAAAGAGTGTTTCAAATCTGCTCTGTGTAAATGAAAGTTCAACTCTGTGAGTTGAACACACACAACACAAGGAAGTTACTGGGAATTCTTCTGTCTAGCAGAATATGAAGAAATCCCGCTTCCAACGAAGGCCTCAAAGAAGTCTGAATATCCACTTGCAGACTTTACAAACAGAGTGTTTCCCAACTGCTCTATGAAAAGAAAGGTTGAACTCTGTGAGTTGAACGCGCACATCACAAACGAGTTTCTGAGAATCATTCTGTGTAGTTTCTATAGGAAGATATTTCCTATTCTACCATTGAACTCAAAGCGGCTGAAATCTCCACTTGCAAATTCCACAAAAAGAGTGTTTCAAGTCTGCTCTGTGTAAAGGATCGTTCAACTCTGTGAGTTGAATACACACAACACAAGGAAGTTACTGAGAATTCCTCTGTCTAGCAGAATATGAAGAAATCCCGTTTCCAACGAAGGCCACAAGATGTCAGAATATCCACTTACAGAATTTAGCAACAGAGTGTTTCCTAACTGCTCTATGAAAAGAAAGGTTAAACTCTGTGAGTTGAACGAACACATCACAACGCAGTTTGTGGGAATGATTCTGTCTAGTTTTGAAACGAAGATATTTCCTTTTCTGCCATTGACCTTAAAGCGCTTGAAATCTCCATTTGCCAATTGCACAAAAAGAGTGTTTCAAATCTGCTCTGTCTAAGGGAACGTTCAACTCTGTGAGTTGAATGTACACAACAGAAGGAAGTTACTGGGAATTCTTCTGTCTAGCCTTACAGGAAAAAAACCCGTTTCCAACGAAGGCCTCTAAGTGGTCAAAATATCCACGTGCAGACTTTACAAACAGAGTGTTTCCAAACTGCTGAATGAAAAGAAAAGTTAAACTCTCAGAGTTGAACGCACACATCGCAGAGCAGTTTCTGAGAATGATTCTGTCTAGTTTTTATACGAAGATATTTCCTTTTCTGCCTTTGGCCTCACAGCGCTTGAAATCTCCACTTGCAAATTCCACAAAAAGAGTGTTTCAAATCTGCTCTGTGTAAATGAAAGTTCAACTCTGTGAGTTGAACACACACAACACAAGGAAGTTACTTGGGAATTCTTCTGTCTAGCCTTATATGAAAAAAACCCGTTTCCAACGAAGGCCCCAAAGAGTTCTGAATATCCACTTGCAGACTTTACAAACAGAGTGTTTCCTAACTGTTCTATGAAAAGAAAGGTTAAACTCTGTGAGTTGAACACACACATCACAAAGGAGTTTCTGAGAATCATTTCTGTCTAGTTTCTATACGAAGATATTTCATTTTCTACCATTAACCTCAAAGCGGCTGAAATCTCCACTTGCAAATTCCACAAAAAGAGTGTTTCAAGTCTGCTCTGTGTAAAGGATCGTTCAACTCTGTGAGTTGAATACACACAACACAAGGAAGTTACTGAGAATTCTTCTGTCTAGCAGAATATGAAGAAAACCCGTTTCCAACGAAGGCCACAAGACGTCAGAATATCCACTTACAGAATTGACAAACAGACTGTTTCCTAACTGCTCTATGAAAAGAAAGGTTAAACTCTGTGAGTTGAACGAACACATCACAACGCAGTTTGTGGGAATGATTCTGTCTAGTTTTGAAACGAAGATATTTCTTTTTCTGCCATTGACCTTAAAGCGCTTGAAATCTCCATTTGCCAATTGCACAAAAAGAGTGTTTCAAATCTGCTCTGTCTAAGGGAACGTTCAACTCTGTGAGTTGAATGTACACAACACAAGGAAGTTACCGGGAATTCTTCTGTCTAGCCTTACAGGAAAAAAACCTGTTTCCAACGAAGGCCTCTAAGTGGTCAAAATATCCACGTGCAGACTTTACAAACAGAGTGTTTCCAAACTGCTGAATGAAAAGAAAAGTTAAACTCTGAGAGTTGAACGCACACATCGCACAGCAGTTTCTGAGAATGATTCTGTCTAGTTTTTATACGAAGATATTTCCTTTTCTGCCTTTGGCCCCAAAGCGCTGGAAATCTCCACTTGCAAATTCCACAAAAACAGTGTTTCAAATCTGCTCTCTCTAAATGAAAGTTCAACTCTGTCACTTGAATACACACAACACAAGGAAGTTACTGAGAATTCTTCTGTCTAGCATAATATGAAGAAATCCCGTTTCCAACGAAGGCCTCAAGGAGGTCTGAATATCCACTTACAGACTTCACAAACAGAGTGTTTCCTAACTGCTCTATGAAAAGAAAGGTTAAACTCTGTGAGTTGAACGCACACATCACAAAGGTGTTTCTGAGAATCATTCTGTCTAGTTTTTATACGAAGATATTTCCTTTTCTACCATTGACCTCAAAGCGGCTGAAATCTCCACTTGCAAATTCCACAAAAAGAGTGTTTCAAGTCTGCTCTGTGTAAAGGATCGTTCAACTCTGTGAGATGAATACACACAACACAAGGAATTTACTGAGAATTCTTCTGTCTAGCAGAATATGAAGAAATCCCGTTTCCAACGAAGGCCACAAGTTGTCAGAATATCCACTTACAGAATTTACAAACAGACTGTTTCCCAACTGCTCTATGAAAAGAGAGGTTAAACTCTGTGAGTTTACTGAACACCTCACAACGTAGTTTGTGGGAATGATTCTGTCTAGTTTTGAAACGAAGATATTTCCTTTTCTGCCGTTGACCTTAAAGAGCTTGAAAACTACACTTGCAAATTGCACAAATAGAGTGTTTCAAATCTGCTCTGTCTAAGGGAACGTTCAACTCTGTGAGTTGAATGCACACAACACAAGGAAGTTACTGGGAATTCTTCTGTCTAGCCTTACAGGAAAAAAACCCGTTTCCAACGAAGGCCTCTAAGTGGTCAAAATATCCACGTGCAGACTTTACAGAGTGTTTCCAAACTGCTGAATGAAAAGAAAAGTTAAACTCTGAGAGTTGAACGCACACATCGCAGAGCAGTTTCTGAGAATGATTCTGTCTAGTTTTTATACGAAGATATTTCCTTTTCTGCCTTTGGCCTCAAAGCGCTTGAAATCCCCATTTGCAAATTCCACAAAAAGAGTGTTTCAAATCTGCTCTGTGTAAATGAAAGTTCAACTCTGTGAGTTGAACACACACACACAAGGAAGTTACTGGGAATTCTTCTGTCTAGCATAGTATGAAGAAATCCCGTTTCCAACGAAGGCCTCAAAGAGGTCTGAATATCCACTTGCAGACTTTACAAACAGAGTGTTTCCTAACTGCTCTATGAAAAGAAAGGTTAAACTCTGTAAGTTGAACGCACACATCACAAAGGAGTTTCTGAGAATCATTCTGTCTAGTTTTTATACGAAGATATTTCCTTTTCTACCATTGACGTCAAAGCGGCTGAAATCTCCACTTGCAAATTCCACAAAAAGAGTGTTTCAAGTCTACTCTGTGTAAAGCATCGTTCAACTCTGTGAGTTGAAAACACACAACACAAGGAAGTTTCTGAGAATTCTTCTCTATAGCAGAATATGAAGAAACCCCGTTTCCAACGAAAGCCTCAAAGATGTCTGAATATCCACTTGCAGACTTTACAAACAGAGTGTTTCCTAACTGCTCTATGAAAAGAAAGGTTAAACTCTGTGAGTTGAACGCACACATCACAAAGGAGTTTCTGAGAATCAGTCTGTCTAGTTTCTATAGGAAGATATTTCCTATTCTACCATTGACCTCAAAGCGGCTGAAATCTCCACTTGCAAATTCCACAAAAAGAGTGTTTCTAATCTGTTCTGTGTAAACGATCGTTCAACTCTGTGAGTTGAATACACACAACAAAAGGAAGTTACTGAGAATTCTTCTGTCTAGCCTTACAGGAAAAAAACCCGTTTCCAACGAAGGCCTCTAAGTGGTCAAAATATCCACGTGCAGACTTTACAAACAGAGTGTTTCCAAACTGCTGAATGAAAAGAAAAGTTAAACTCTGAGAGTTGAACGCACACATCACAAAGGAGTTTCTGAGAATCATTCTGTCTAGTTTTTATACGAAGATATTTCCTTTTCTGCCTTTGGCCCCAAAGCGCTTGAAATCTCCACTTGCAAATTCCACAAAAACAGAGTTTCAAATCTGCTCTCTCTAAATGAAAGTTCAACTCTGTCAGTTGAATACACACAACACAAGGAAGTTACTTGAGAATTCTTCTGTCTAGCATAGTATGAAGAAATCCCGTTTCCAACGAAGGCCTCAAACAGGTCTGAACATCCACTTGCAGAGTTTACAAACAGAGTGTTTCCTAACTGCTCTATGAAAAGAAAGGTTAAACTCTGTGAGTTGATCGCACACATCACAAAGAAGTTTCTGAGAATCATTCTGTCTAGTTTTTATAGGAAGATATTTCCTTTTCTACCTTTGACTTCAAAGCGGCAGAAATCTCCACTTGCAAATTCCACAAAAAGAGTGTTACAAGTCTGCTCTGTGTAAAGGATCGTTCAACTCTGTGAGTTGAATACACACAACACAAGGAAGTTACTGAGAATTCTTCTGTCTAGCCTTACATGAAAAAAACCCGTTTCCAACGAAGGCCTCTAAGTGGTCAAATTATCCACGTGCAGACTTTACAAACAGAGTGTTTCCAAACTGCTGAATGAAAAGAAAAGTTAAACTCTCAGAGTTGAACGCACACATCGCAGAGCAGTTTCTGAGAATGATTCTGTCTAGTTTTGAAAGGAAGATATTTCCTTTTCTGCCATTGACCTCAAAGCGCTTGAAATCTCCACTTGCCAATTGCACAAAAAGAGTGTTTCAAATCTGCTCTGTCTAAGGGAACGTTCACCTCTGTGAGTTGAATGTACACAACACAAGGAAGTTACTGGGAATTCTTCTGTCTAGCAGAATATGAAGAAATCCCGTTTTCAACGAAGGCCTCTAGGAGGTCTGAATATCCACTTGCAGACTTTACAAACAGAGTGTTTCCTAACTGCTCTATGAACAGAAAGGTTAAACTCTGTGAGTTGAACGCACACATCAAAAAGGAGTTTCTGAGAATCATTCTGTCTAGTCTTTATACGAAGATATTTACTTTTCTACCATTGACCTCAAAGCGGCTGAAATCTCCATTTGCAATTTCCACAAAAAGAGTGTTTCAAGTCTGCTCTGTGTAAAGGATCATTCAACTCTGTGAGTTGAATAAACACAACACAAGGAAGTTACTTGAGAATTCTTCTGTCTAGCCTTATATGAAAGAAACCCGTTTCCAACGAAGGCCTCAAACAGGTCTGAATATCCACTTGCAGACTTTACAAACAGAGTGTTTCCTAACTGCTCTATGAAAAGAAAGGTTAAACTCTGTGAGTTGAACGCACACATCACAAAGGAGTTTCTGAGAATCATTCTGTCTAGTTTCTATAGGAAGATATTTCCTATTCTACCATTGACCTCAAAGCGGCTGAAATCTCCACTTGCAAATTCCTCAAAAGGAGTGTTTCAAGTCTGCTCTGTGTAAAGGATCGTTCAACTCTGTGAGTTGAAAACACACAACACAAGGAAGTTTCTGAGAATTCTTCTGTCTAGCAGAATATGAAGAAATCCCGTTTCCAACGAAGGCCTCAAAGAGGTCTGAATATCCACTTGCAGACTTTACAAACAGAGTGTTCCCTAACTGCTCTATGAAAAGAAAAGTTAAACTCTGTGAGTTGAACGCACACATCACAAAGGAGTTTCTGAGAATCATTCTGTCTAGTTTCTATAGGAAGATATTTCCTATTCTACCATTGAACTCAAAGCGGCTGAAATCTCCACTTGCAAATTCCACAAAAAGAGTGTCTCAAGTCTGCTCTGTGTAAAGGATCGTTCAACTCTGTGAGTTGTATACACACAACACAAGGAAGTTACTGAGAATTCTTCTGTCTAGCAGAATATGAAGAAATCCCTTTTCCAACGAAGGCCTCAAAGAGGTCTGAATATCCACTTGCAGACTTTACAAACAGAGTGTTTCCTAACTGCTCTATGAACAGAAAGGTTAAACTCTGTGAGTTGAACGAGCACATCACAACGCAGTTTGTGGGAATGATTCTGTCTAGTTTTAAAACGAAGATATTTCCTTTTCTACCATTGACCTTAAAGCGCTTGAAATCTACACTTGCAAATTGCACAAATAGAGTGTTTCAAATCTGCTCTGTCTAAGGGAACGTTCAACTCTGTGAGTTGAATGCACACAACACAAGGAAGTTACTGGGAATTCTTCTGTCTAGCCTTACTGGAAAAAAACCCGTTTCCAACGAAGGCGTCTAAGTGGTCAAAATATCCACGTGCAGACTTTACAAACAGAGTGTTTCCAAACTGCTGAATGAAAAGAAAAGTTAAACTCTGAGAGTTGAACGCACACATCGCAGAGCAGTTTCTGAGAATGATTCTGTCTAGTTTTTCTACGAAGATATTTCCTTTTCTGCTTTTGGCCCCAAAGCGCTTGAAATCTCCACTTGCAAATTCCACAAAAACAGTGTTTCAAATCTGCTCTCTCTAAATGAAAGTTCAACTCTGTCAGTTGAATACACACAACACAAGGAAGTTACTGAGAATTCTTCTGTCTAGCACAGTATGAAGAAATCCCGTTTCCAACGAAGGCCTCAAAGAGGTCTGAATATCCACTTGCAGACTTTACAAACAGAGTGTTTCCTAACTGCTCTATGAAAAGAAAGGTTAAACTCTGTGAGTTGAACGCACACATCACAAAGGAGTTTCTGAGAATCTTTCTGTCTAGTTTTTATAGGAAGATATTTCCTTTTCTACCTTTGACTTCAAAGCGGCTGAAATCTCCACTTGCAAATTCCACAAAAAGAGTGTTACAAGTCTGCTCTGTGTAAAGGATCGTTGAACTCTGTGAGTTGAATACACACAACACAAGGAAGTTACTGAGAATTCTTCTGTCTAGCAGAATATGAAGAAATCCCGTTTCCAACGAAGGCCACAAGATTTCAGAATATCCACTTACAGAATTTACAAACAGAGTGTTTCCTAACTGCTCTATGAAAAGAAAGGTTAAACTCTGTGAGTTGAACGCACACATCACAAAGAAGTTTCTGAGAATCATTCTGTCTAGTTTTGAAACGAAGATATTTCCTTTTCTGCCATTGACCTTAAAGCGCTTGAAATCTACACTTGCAAATTGCACAAATAGAGTGTTTCAAATCTGCTCTGTCTAAGGGAACGTTCATCTCTGTGAGTTGAATGCACACAACACAAGGAAGTTACTGGGAATGCTTCTGTCTAGCCTTACATGAAAAAAACCCGTTTCCAACGAAGGCCTCTAAGTGGTCAAAATATCCACGTGCAGACTTTACAAACAGAGTGTTTCCAAACTGCTGAATGAAAAGAAAAGTTAAACTCTGAGAGTTGAACGCATACATCGCAGAGCAGTTTCTGAGAATGATTCTGTCTAGTTTTTATACGAAAATATATCCTTTTCTGCCTTTGGCCTCAAAGCGCTTGAAATCTCCACTTGCAAATTCCAGAAAAAGAGTGTTTCAAATCTGCTCTGTCTAAATGAAAGTTCAACTCTGTCAGTTGAATACACACAACAAAAGGAAGTTACTGAGAATTCTTCTGTCTAGCCTTACATGAAAAAAAAGCCGTTTGCAACGAAGGCCTCAAAGAGGTGAAAATATCCACTTGCAGACTTTAGAAACAGTGTGTTTCCTAACTGCTCTATGAAAAGAAAGTTAAACCCTGTGAGTTGAACACCCACATCACAAAGGAGTTTCTGAGAATCATTCTGTCTTGTTTCTATACGAAGATATTTCCTTTTCTACCATTGACCTCAAAGCGGCTGAAATCTCCACTTGCAAATTCCACAAAAAGTGTGTTTCAAGTCTGCTCTGTGTAAAGGATCGTTCAATTCTGTGAGTTGAATACACACAACACAAGGAAGTTACTGAGAATTCTTCTGTCTAGCAGAATATGAAGAAATCCCGTTTCCAACGAATGCCACAAGATGTCAGAATATCCACTTACAGACTTTACAAACAGAGTGTTTCCTAACTGCTCTATGAACAGAAAGGTTAAACTCTGTGAGTTGAACGAACACATCACAACGCAGTTTGTGGGAATGATTCTGTCTAGTTTTGAAACGAAGATATTTCCTTTTCTGCCATTGACCTTAAAGCGCTTGAAATCTACAGTTGCATATTGCACAAATAGAGTGTTTCAAATCTGCTCTGTCTAAGGGAACGTTCAACTCTGTGAGTTGAATGCACACAACACAAGGAAGTTACTGGGAATTCTTCTGTCTAGCCTTACATGAAAAAAACCTGTTTCCAACGAAGGCCTCTAAGTGGTCAAATTATCCACGTGCAGACTTTACAAACAGAGTGTTTCCAAACTGCTGAATGAAAAGAAAAGTTAAACTCTGAGAGTTGAACGCACACATCGCAGAGCAGTTTCTGAGAATGATTCTGTCTAGTTTTTATACGAAGATATTTCCTTTTCTGCCTTTGGCCCCAAAGCGCTTGAAGTCACCACTTGCAAATTCCACAAAAACAGTGTTTCAAATCTGCTCTCTCTAAATGAAAGTTCAACTCTGTCAGTTGAATACACACAACACAAGGAAGTTACTGAGAATTCTTCTGTCTAGCATAGTATGAAGAAATCCCGTTTCCAACGAAGGCCTCAAAGAGGTCTGTATATCCACTTGCAGAGTTTACAAACAGAGTGTTTCCTAACTGCTCTATGAAAAGAAAGGTTAAACTCTGTGAGTTGAACGCACACATCACAAAGAAGTTTCTGAGAATCATTCTGTCTAGTTTTTATACGAAGATATTTCCTTTTCTACCATTGACTTCAAAGCGGCTGAAATCTCCACTTGCAATTTCCACAAAAAGAGTGTTTCAAGTCTGCTCTGTGTAAAGGATCGTTCAACTCTGTGAGTTGAATACACACAACACAAGGAAGTTACTGAGAATTCTTCTGTCTAGCATAATATGAAGAAATCCCGTTTCCAACAAAGGCCTCAAAGAGGTCTGAATATCCACTTGCAGACTTTACAAAGAGAGTGTTTCCTAACTGCTCTATGAAAAGAAAGGTTAAACTCTGTGAGTTGAACGCACACATCACAAAGGAGTTTCTGAGAATCATTCTGTCTAGTTTTGAAACGAAGATATTTCCTTTTCTGCCGTTGACCTTAAAGCGCTTGAAATCTACACTTGCAAATTGGACAAATAGAGTGTTTCAAATCTGCTCTGTCTAAGGGAACGTTCAACTCTGTGAGTTGAATGCACACAACACAAGGAAGTTACTGGGAATTCTTCTGTCTAGCCTTACAGGAAAAAAACCCGTTTCCAACGAAGGCCTCTAAGTGGTCAAAATATCCCCGTGCAGACTTTACAAACAGAGTGTTTCCAAACTGCTGAATGAAAAGAAAAGTTAAACTCTGAGAGTTGAACGCACACATCGCAGAGCAGTTTCTGAGAATGATTCTGTCTAGTTTTTATACGAAGATATTTCCTTTTCTGCCTTTGGCCTCAAAGCGCTTGAAATCTCCACTTGCAAATTCTACAAAAAGAGTGTTTCAAATCTGCTCTGTCTAAGGGAACGTTCAACTCTGTGAGTTGAACACACACAACACATGGAAGTTACTGGGAATTCTTCTGTCTAGCAGAATAGGAAGAAATCCCGTTTCCAACGAAGGCCTCAAAGAGGTCTGAATATCCACTTGCAGACTTTACAAACAGAGTGTTTCCTAACTGCTCTATGAAAAGAAAGGTTAAACTCTGTGAGTTGAACGCACACATCACAAAGGAATTTCTGAGAATCGTTCTGTCTAGTTTTTATAGGAAGATATTTCCTTTTCTACCATTGACCTCAAAGCGGCTGAAATCTCCACTTGCAAATTCCACAAAAAGAGTGTTTCAAATCTGCTCTGTGTAAACCATCGTTCAACTCTGTGAGTTGAATACACACAACACAAGGAAGATTCTGAGAATTCTTCTATCTAGCAGAATATGAAGAAATCCCGTTTCCAACGAAGGCCACAAGATGTCAGAATATCCACTTACAGAATTTACAAACAGACTGTTTCCTAACTGCTCTATGAAAAGAAAGGTTAAACTCTGTGAGATGAACGAACACATGACAACGCAGTTTTTGGGAATGATTCTGTCTAGTTTTGAAACGAAGATATTTCCTTTTCTGCCATTGACCTCAAAGCGCTTGAAATCTCCACTTGCCAATTGCACAAAAAGAGTGTTTCAAATCTGCTCTGTCTAAGGGAACGTTCAACTCTGTGAGTTGAATGTACACAACACAAGGAAGTTACTGGGAATTCTTCTGTCTAGCCTTACATGAAAAAAACCCGTTTCCAACCAAAGCCTCTAAGTGGTCAAATTATCCACGTGCAGACTTTACAAACAGAGTGTTTCCAAACTGCTGAATGAAAAGAAAAGTGAAACTCTGAGAGTTGAACGCACACATCGCAGAGCAGTTTTTGAGAATGATTCTGTCTAGTTTTTATACGAAGATATTTCGTTTTCTGCCTTTGGCCCCAAAGCGCTTGAAATCTCCACTTGCAAATTCCACAAAAACAGTGTTTCAAATCTGCTCTCTCTAAATGAAAGTTCAACTCTGTCAGTTGAATACACAAAACACAAGGAAGTTACTGAGAATTCTTCTGTCTAGCATAATATGAAGAAATCCGGTTTCCAACCAAGGCCTCAAAGAGGTCTGAATATCCACTTGCAGACTTTACAAACAGAGTGTTTCCTAACTGCTCTATGAAAAGAAAAGTTAAACTCTGTGAGTTGAACGCACACATCACAAAGGATTTTCTGAGAATCATTCTGTCTACTTTCTATAGGAAGATATTTCCTATTCTACCATTGACCTCAAAGCGGCTGAAATCTCCACGTGCAAATTCCACAAAAGGAGTGTTTCAAGTCTGCTCTGTGTAAAGGATCGTTCAACTCTGTGAGTTGAAAACACACAACACAAGGAAGTTTCTGAGAATTCTTCTGTCTAGCAGAACATGAAGAAATCCCGCTTCCAACGAAGGCCTCAAAGAAGTCTGAATATCCACTTGCAGACATTACAAACAGAGTGTTTCCCAACTGCTCTATGAAAAGAAAGGTTAAACTCTGTGAGTTGAACGCACACATCACAAAGGAGTTTCTGAGAATCATTCTGTCTAGTTTTAATACGAAGATATTTCCTTTTCTACCATTGACCTCAAAGCGGCTGAAATCACCACTTGCCAATTGCACAAAAAGAGTGTTTCAAATCTGCTCTGTCTAAGGGAACGTTCAACTCTGTGAGTTGAATGTACACAACACAAGGAAGTTACTGGGAATTCTTCTGTCTAGCCTTACAGGAAAAAAACCCGTTTCCAACGAAGGCCTCTAAGTGGTCAAAATATCCACGTGCAGACTTTACAAACAGAGTTTTTCCACACTGCTGAATAAAAAGAAAAGTTAAACTCTGAGAGTTGAACGCACACATCGCAGAGCAGTTTCTGAGAATGATTCTGTCTAGTTTTTATACGAAGATATTTCCTTTTCTGCCTTTGGCCCCAAAGCGCTTGAAATCTCCACTTGCAAATTCCACAAAAACAGTGTTTCAAATCTGCTCTCTCGAAATGAAAGTTCAACTCTGTCAGTTGAATACACACAACACAAGGAAGTTACTGAGAATTCTTCTGTCTAGCATAATATGAAGAAATCCCGTTTCCAAAGAAGGCCTCAAGCAGGTCTGAATATCCACTTGCAGACTTTACAAACAGAGTGTTTCCTAACTGCTCTATGAAAAGAAAGTTTAAACTCTGGGAGTTGAACGCACACATCACAAAGGAGTTTATGAGAATCATTCTGTCTAGTTTCTATAGGAAGATATTTCCTATTCTACCATTGACCTCAAAGCGGCTGAAATCTCCACTTGCAAATTCCGCAAAAAGAGTGTTTCAAGTCTGCTCTGTGTAAAGGATCGTTCAACTCTGTGAGTTGAATACACACAACACAAGGAAGTTTCTGAGAATTCTTCTGTCTAGCAGAATATGAAGAAATTCCGTTTCCAACGAAGGCCACAAGATGTCAGAATATCCACTTACAGACACTACAAACAGAGTGTTTCCTAACTGCTCTATGAACAGAAAGGTTAAACTATGTGAGTTGAACGAGCACTTCACAACGCAGTTTGTGGAAATGATTCTGTCTAGTTTTGAATCGAAGATATTTCCTTTTCTGCCGTTGACCTTAAAGCGCTTGAAATCTACACTTGCAAATTGCACAAATAGAGTGTTTCAAATCTGCTCTGTCTAAGGGAACGTTCAACTCTGTGAGTTGAATGCACACAACACAAGGAAGTTACTGGGAATTCTTCTGTCTAGCCTTACATGAAAAAAACCCGTTTCCAATGAAGGCCTCTAAGTGGTCAAAATATCCACGTGCAGACATTACAAACAGAGTGTTTCCAAACCGCTGAATGAAAAGAAAAGTTAAACTCTGAGAGTTGAACGCACACATCACGCAGCAGTTTCTGAGAATGATTCTGTCTAGTTTTTATACGAAGATATTTCCTTTTCTGCCTTTGGCCCCAAAGCGCTTGAAATCTCCACTTGCAAATTCCACAAAAACAGTGTTTCAAATCTGCTCTATCTAAATGAAAGTTCAACTCTGTCAGTTGAATACACACAACACAAGGAAGTTACTGAGAATTCTTCTGTCTAGCCTTATATGAAAAAAACCCGTTTCCAACGAAGGCCGCAAAGACGTCTGAATATCGACTTGCAGACTTTACAAACAGATTGTTTCCTAACTGCTCTATGAATAGAAAGGTTAAACTCTGTGAGTTGAACGCACACATCACAAAGGAGTTTCTGGGAATCATTCTGTCTAGTTTTTCTACGAAGATATTTCCTTTTCTACTATTGACCTCAAAGCGGCTGAAATCTCCACTTCCAAATTCCACAAAAAGAGTGTTTCAAGTCTGCTCTGTGTAAAGGATCGTTCAACTCTGTGAGTTGAATACACACAACACAAGGAAGTTACTGAGAATTCTTCTGTCTAGCAGAATATGAAGAAATCCGGTTTCCAACGAAGGCCTCAAAGAGGTCTGAATATCCACTTGCAGACTTTACAAACAGAGTGTTTCCTAACTGCTCTATGAAAAGAAAGGTTAAACTGTGTGAGTTGAACGCACACATCACAAAGGAGTTTATGAGAATCATTCTGTCCAGTTTTGAAACGAAGATATTTCCTTTTCTGCCATTGACCTTAAAGCGCTTGAAATCTCCATTTGCCAATTGCACAAAAAGAGTGTTTCAAATCTGCTCTGTCTAAGGGAACGTTCAACTCTGTGAGTTGAATGTACACAACACAAGGAAGTTACTGGGAATTCTTCTGTCTAGCCTTACATGAAAAAAACCCGTTTCCAACGAAGGCCTCTAAGTGGTCAAATTATCCACGTGCAGACTTTACAAACAGAGTGTTTCCAAACTGCTGAATGAAAAGCAAAGTTAAACTCTGAGAGTTGAACGCACACATCGCAGAGCAGTTTCTGAGAATGATTCTGTCTAGTTTTTATACGAAGATATTTCCTTTTCTGCCTTTGGCCTCAAAGCGCTTGAAATCTCCACTTGCAAATTCCACAAAAAAAGTGTTTCAAATCTGCTCTGTGTAAATGAAAGTTCAACTCTGTGAGTTGAACACACACAACACAAGGAAGTTACTGGGAATTCTTCTGTCTAGCAGAATATGAACAAATCCCGTTTCCAACGAAGGCCTCAAAGGGGTCTGAATATCCACTTGCAGACTTTATAAACAGAGTGTTTACTAACTGCTCTATGAAAAGAAAGGTTAAACTCTGTGAGTTGAACGCACACATCACAAAGGAGTTTCTGAGAATCATTCTGTCTAGTTTTTATATGAAGATATTTCCTTTTCTACCATTGACCTCAAAGCGGCTGAAATCTCCTCTTACAAATTCCACAAAAAGAGTGTCTCAAGTCTGCTCTGTGTAAACGAACGTTCAACTCTGTGAGTTGAATACACACAACACAAGGAAGTTTCTGAGAATTCTTCTTTCTAGCAGAATATGAAGATATCCCGTTTCCAACGAAAGCCTCAAGGAGGTCTGAATATCCACTTGCAGACTTTACAAACAGAGTGTTTCCCAACTGCTCTATGAAAAGAAAGGTTAAACTCTGTGAGTTGAACGCACACATCACAAAGGAGTTTCTGAGAATCATTCTGTCTAGTTTCTATAGGAAGATGTTTCCTATTCTACCATTGACCTCAAAGCGGCTGAAAACTCCACTTGCAAATTCCACAAAAAGAGTGTTTCAAGTCTGCTCTGTGTAAAGGATCGTTCAACTCTGTGAGTTGAATACACACAACACAAAGAAGTTACTGAGAATTCTTCTGTCTAGCAGAATATGAAGAAATCCCGTTTCCAACGAAGGCCACAAGATGTCAGAATATCCACTTACAGACTTTACAAACAGAGTGTTTCCTAACTGCTCTATGAACAGAAAGGTTAAACTGCTGTGAGTTGAACGAACACATCACAACGCAGTTTGTGGGAATGATTCTGTCTAGTTTTGAAACGAAGATATTTCCTTTTCTGCCATTGACCTCAAAGCGCTTGAAATCTCCACTTGCCAATTGCACAAAAAGAGTGTTTCAAATCTGCTCTGTCTAAGGGAAGGTTCAACTCTGTGAGTTGAATGTACACAACACAAGGAAGTTACTGGGAATTCTTCTGTCTAGCCTTACATGAAAAAAACCCGTTTCCAACGAAGGCCTCTAAGTGGTCAAATTATCCACGTGCAGACTTTACAAACAGAGTGTTTCCAAACTGCTGAATGAAAAGAAAAGTTAAACTCTGAGAGTTGAACGCACACATCACAGAGCAGTTTCTGAGAATGATTCTGTCTAGTTTTTATACGAAGATATTTCCTTTTCTGCCTTTGGCCTCAAAGCGCTTGAAATCTCCACTTGCAAATTCCACAAAAAGAGTGTTTCAAATCTGCTCTGTGTAAATGAAAGTTCAACTCTGTGAGTTGAACACACACAATACAAGGAAGTTACTGGGAATTCTTCTGTCTAGCAGAATATGAAGAAATCCCGTTTCCAAAGAAGGCCTCAAAGGGGTCTGAATATCCACTTGCAGACTTTATAAACAGAGTGTTTACTAACTGCTCTATGAAAAGAAAGGTTAAACTCTGTGAGTTGAACACACACATCACAAAGGAGTTTCTGAGAATCATTCTGTCTAGTTTTGAAACGAAGATATTTCCTTTTCTACCATTGACCTCAACGCGGCTGAAATCTCCATTTGCAAATTCCACAAAAAGAGTGTTTCAAATCTGCTCTGTGTAAATGAAAGTTCAACTACTGTGAGTTGAACACACACAACACAAGGAAGTTACTGGGAATTCTTCTGTCTAGCAGAATATGAAGAAATCCCGTTTCCAACGAAGGCCACAAGATGTCAGAATATCCACTTACAGAATTTACAAACAGACTGTTTCCTAACTGCTCTATGAAAAGAAAGGTTAAACTCTGTTAGTTGAACGAACACATCACAACGCAGTTTGTGGGAATGATTCTGTCTAGTTTTGAAACGAAGACATTTCCTTTTCTGCCATTGACCTTAAAGCGCTTGAAATCTACACTTGCAAATTGCACAAATAGAGTGTTTCAAATCTGCTCTGTCTAAGGGAACGTTCAACTCTGTGAGTTGAATGCACACAACACAAGGAAGTTACTGGGAATTCTTCTGTCTAGCCTTACATGAAAAAAACCCGTTTCCAACGAAGGCCTCTAAGTGGTCAAAATATCCACTTGCAGACTTTACAAACAGAGTGTTTCCAAACCGCTGAATGAAAAGAAAAGTTAAACTCTGAGAGTTGAACGCACACATCACGCAGCAGTTTCTGAGAATGATTCTGTCTAGTTTTGAAACGAAGATATTTCCTTTTCTGCCTTTGGCCTCAAAGCGCTTGAAATCTCCATTTGCAAATTCCACAAAAAGAGTCTTTCAAATCTGCTCTGTGTAAATGAAAGTTCAACTCTGTGAGTTGAACACACACAACACAAGGATGTTAGTGGGAATTCTTCTGTCTAGCAGAATAGGAAGAAATCCCGTTTCCAACGAAGGCCTCAAAGAGGTCTGAATATCCACTTGCAGACTTTACAAACAGAGTGTTTCCTAACTGCTCTATGAAAAGAAAGGTTAAACTCTGTGAGTTGAACGCAAACATCACAACGGAGTTTCTGAGAATCGTTCTGTCTAGTTGTTATACGAAGATATTTCCTTTTCTACCATTGACCTCAAAGCGGCTGAAATCTCCACTTGCAAATTCCACCAAATGAGTGTTTCAAATCTGCTCTTTGTAAACCATCGTTCAACTCTGTGAGTTGAATACACACAACACAAGGAAGATTCTGAGAATTCTTCTGTCTAGCAGAATATGAAGAAATCCCGTTTCCAACGAAGGCCACAAGATGTCAGAATATCCACTTACAGAATTTTCAAACAGACTGTTTCTTAACTGCTCTATGAAAAGAAAGGTTAAACTCTGTGAGTTGAACGAACACCTCACAACGCAGTTTGTGGGAATGATTCTGTCTAGTTTTGAAACGAAGATATTTCCTTTTCTGCCATTGACCTTAAAGCGCTTGAAATCTCCATTTGCCAATTGCACAAAAAAAGTGTTTCAAATCTGCTCTGTCTAAGGGAACGTTCAACTCTGTGAGTTGAATGTACACAACACAAGGAAGTTACTGGGAATTCTTCTGTCTAGCCTTACAGGAAAAAAACCCATTTCCAACGAAGGCCTCTAAGTGGTCAAAATATCCACGTGCAGACTTTACAAACAGAGTGTTTCCAAACTGCTGAATGAAAAGAAAAGTTAAACTCTGAGAGTTGAACGCACACATCGCAGAGCAGTTTCTGAGAATGATACTGTCTAGTTTTTATACGAAGATATTTACTATTCTACCATTGACCTCAAAGCGGCTGAAATCTCCACCTGCAAATTCCAGAAAAGGAGTGTTTCAAGTCTGCTCTGTGTAAAGGATCGTTCAACTCTGTGAGTTGAATACACACAACACAAGGAAGTTTCTGAGAATTCTTCTGTCTAGCAGAATATGAAGAAATCCCGTTTCCAACGAAAGCCTCAAAGATGTCTGAATATCCACTTGCAGACTTTACAAACAGAGTGTTTCCTAACTGCTCTATGAAAAGAAAGGTTAAACTTCTGTGAGTTGAACGCACACATCACAAAGGAGTTTCTGAGAATCATTCTGTCTAGTTTTGAAACGAAGATATTTCCTTTTCTACCATTGACCTCAAAGCGGCTGAAATCTCCACTTGCAAATTCCACAAAAAGAGTGTTTCAAATCTGCTCTGTGTAAAGGATCGTTCAACTCTGTGAGTTGAATATACACAACACAAGGAAGTTACTGGGAATTCTTCTGTCTAGCCTTACGTGAAAAAAACCCGTTTCCAACAAAGACCTCTAAGTGGTCAAAAGATCCTCGTGCAGACTTTACAAACAGAGTGTTTCCAAAGTGCTGAATGAAAAGAAAAGTTAAACTCTGAGAGTTGAACGCACACATCACAGAGCATTTTCTGAGAATGATTCTGTCTAGTTTTTATACGAAGATATTTCCTTTTCCACCATTGACCTCAAAGCGGCTGAAATCACCACTTGCCAATTGCACAAAAAGAGTGTTTCAAATCTGCTCTCTCTAAGGAAACGTTCAACTCTGTGAGTTGAATGTACACAACACAAGGAAGTTACTGGGAATTCTTCTGTCTAGCCTTACAGGAAAAAAACCCGTTTCCAACGAAGTCCTCTAAGTGGTCAAGTTATCCACGTGCAGACTTTACAAACAGAGTGTTTCCAAACTGCTGAATGAAAAGAAAAGTTAAACTCTGAGAGTTGAACGCACACATCGCAGAGCAGTTTCTGAGAATGATTCTGTCTAGTTTTTATATGAAGATATTTCCTTTTCTACCATTGACCTCAAATCGGCTGAAATCTCCACTTACAAATTCCACAAAAAGAGTGTCTCAAGTCTGCTCTGTGTAAACGATCGTTCAACTCTGTGAGTTGAATACACACAACTCAAGGAAGTTTCTGAGAATTCTTCTTTCTAGCAGAATATGAAGAAATCCCTTTTCCAACGAAAGCCTCAAGGATGTCTGAATATCCACTTGCAGACTTTACAAACAGAGTGTTTCCTAACTGCTCTATGAAAAGAAAGGTTAAACTCTGTGAGTTGAACGCACACATCACAAAGGAGTTTCTGAGAATCATTCTGTCTAGTTTCTATAGGAAGATATTTCCTTTTCTACCATTGACCTCAAAGCGGCTGAAATCTCCCCCTGCAAATTCCACAAAAAGAGTGTTTCAAGTCTGTTCTGTGTAAAGGATCATTCAACTCTGTGAGTTGAATACACACAACACAAGGAAGTTACTGAGAATTCTTCTGTCTAGCATAATATGAAGAAATCCCGTTTCCAACGAAGGCCTCAAAGAGGTCTGAATATCCACTTGCAGACTATACAAACAGAGTGTTTCCTAACTGCTCTATGAAAAGAAAGGTTAAACTCTGTGAGTTGAATGCACACATCACAAAGGAGTTTCTGAGAATCATTCTGTCTAATTTTGAAACGAAGATATTTCCTTTTCTGCCATTGACCTCAAAGCGCTTGAAATCTCCACTTGCCAATTGCACAAAAAGAGTGTTTCAAATCTGCTCTGTCTAAGGGAACGTTCAACTCTGTGAGTTGAATGTGCACAACACAAGGAAGTTACTGGGAATTCTTCTGTCTAGCCTTACAGGAAAAAAACCCGTTTCCAACGAAGGCCTCTAAGTGGTCAAAATATCCACGTGCAGACTTTACAAACAGAGTGTTTCCAAACTGCTGAATGAAAAGAAAAGTTAAACTCTGAGAGTTGAACACACACATCGCAGAGCAGTTTCTGAGAATGATTCTGTCTAGTTTTTATACGAAGATATTTCCTTTTCTGCCTTTGGCCTCAAAGCGCTTGAAATCTCCACTTGCAAATTCCACAAAAAGAGTGTTTCAAGTCCTGCTCTGTGTAAAGGAACGTTCAACTCTGTGAGTTGAATACACACAACACAAGGAAGTTACTGAGAATTCTTCTCTGTAGCAGAATATGAAGAAATCCCGTTTCCAACGAAGGCCTCAAGGAGGTCTGAATATCCACTTGCAGACGTTACAAACAGAGTGTTTCCTAACTGCTCTATGAAAAGAAAGGTTAAACTCTGTGAGTTGAACGCACACATCACAAAGGAGTTTCTGAGAATCACTCTGTCTAGTTTCTATAGGAAGATATTTCCTATTCTACCATTGACCTCAAAGCGGCAGAAATCTCCACTTGCAAATTCCACAAAAACAGTGTTTCAAGACTGCTCTGTGTAAAGGATCGTTCAACTCTGTGAGTTCAATACACACAACACAAGGAAGTTACTGAGAATTCTTCTGTCTAGCAGAATATGAAGAAATCCCGTTTCCAACGAAGGCCTCAAGATGTCAGAATATCCACTTACAGACTTTACAAACAGAGTGTTTCCTAACTGCTCTATGAACAGAAAGGTTAAACTCTGTGAGTTGAACGAACACATCACAACGCAGTTTGTGGGAATTATTCTGTCTAGTTTTGAAACGAAGATATTTCCTTTTCTGCCATTGACCTTAAAGCGCTTGAAATCTACGCTTGCAAATTGCACAAATAGAGTGTTTCAAATCTGCTCTGTCTAAGGGAACGTTGAACTCTGTGAGTTGAATGCACACAACACAAGGGAGTTACTGGGAATTCTTCTCTCTAGCCTTACAGGAAAAAAACCCGTTTCCAACGAAGGCCTCTAAATGGTCAAAATATCCACTTGCAGACTTTACAAACAGAGTGTTTCCAAACTGCTGAATGAAAAGAAAAGTTAAACTCTGAGAGTTGAACGCACACATCGCAGAGCAGTTTCTGAGAATGATTCTGTCTAGTTTTTATACGAAGATATTTCCTTTTCTGCCTTTGGCCTCAAAGCGCTTGAAATCTCCACTTGGAAATTCCACAAAAAGAGTGTTTCAAATCTGCTCTGTGTAAATGAAAGTTCAACTCTGTGAGTTGAACACACACAACACAAGGAAGTTACTGGGAATTCCTTCTGTCTAGCAGAATATGAAGAAATCCCGTTTCCAACGAAGGCGTCAAAGAGGTCTTAATATCCACTTGCAGACTTTACAAACAGAGTGTTTCCTAACTGCTCTATGAAAAGAAAGGTTAAACTCTGTGAGTTCAACGCACACATCACAAAGGAGTTTCTGAGAATCATTCTGTCTAGTTTCTATAGGAAGATATTTCCTATTCTACCATTGACCTCAAAGCGGCTGAAATCTCCACTTGCAAATTCCACAAAAAGAGTGTTTCAAGACTGTTCTGTGTAAAGGATCATTCAACTCTGTGAGTTGAATACACACAACACAAGGAAAGTTACTGAGAATTCTTCTGTCTAGCAGAATATGAAGAAATCCCGTTTCCAACGAAGGCCTCAAAGAGGTCTGAATATCCACTTGCAGACTTTACACACAGAGTGTTTCCTAACTGCTCTATGAACAGAAAGGTTAAACTCTGTGAGTTGAACGAACACATCACAACGCAGTTTGTGGGAATGATTCTGTCTAGTTTTGAAACGAAGATATTTCCTTTTCTGCCATTGACCTTAAAGCGCTTGAAATCTACACTTGCAAATTGCACAAATAGAGTGTTTCAAATCTGCTCTGTCTAAGGGAACGTTCAACTCTGTGAGTGGAATGCACACAACACAAGGAAGTTACTGGGAATTCTTCTGTCTAGCCTTACACGAAAAAAACCCGTTTCCAACGAAGGCCTCTAAGTGGTCAAATTATCCACGTGCAGACTTTACAAACAGAGTGTTTCCAAACTGCTGAATGAAAAGAAAAGTTAAACTCTGAGAGTTGAACGCACACATCGCAGAGCAGTTTCTGAGAATGATTCTGTCTACTTTTTATACGAAGATATTTCCTTTTCTGCCTTTGGCCCCAAAGCGCTTGAAATCTACACTTGCAAATTCCACAAAAACAGTGTTTCAAATCTGCTCTCTCTAAATGAAAGTTCAACTCTGTCAGTTGAATACACACAACACAAGGAAGTTACTGAGAATTATTCTGTCTAGCATAATATGAAGAAATCCCGTTTCCAACGAAGGCCTCAAAAAGGTCTGAATATCCACTTGCAGACTTTACAAACAGAGTGTTTCCTAACTGCTCTATGAAAAGAAAAGTTAAACTCTGTGAGTTGAACGCACACATCACAAAGGAGTTTATGAGAATCATTCTGTCTTGTTTTTATATGAAGATATTTCCTTTTCCACCATTGACCACAAAGCGGCAGAAATCTCCACTTGCAAATTCCACAAAAAGAGTGTTTCAAATCTGCTCTGTGTAAAGGATCGTTCAACTCTGTGACTTGAATACACACAACACAAGGAAGTTACTGAGAATTCTTCTGTCTAGCAGAATATGAAGAAATCCCGTTTCCAACGAAGGCCTCTAGGAGGTCTGAATATCCACATGCAGACTTTACAAACAGAGTGTTTCCTAAGTGCTCTATGAACAGAAAGGTTAAACTCTGTGAGTTGAACGAACACATCACAACGCAGTTTGTGGGAATGATTCTGTCTAGTTTTGAAACGAAGATATTTCCTTTTCTGCCGTTGACCTTAAAGCGCTTGAAATCTACACTTGCAGATTGCACAAATAGAGTGTTTCAAATCTGCTCTGTCTAAGGGAACGTTCAACTCTGTGAGTTGAATGCACACAACACAAGGAAGTTACTGGGAATTCTTCTGTCTAGCCTTACATGAAAAAAACCCGTTTCCAAGGAAGGCCTCTAAGTGGTCAAAATATCCACGTGCAGACTTTACAAACAGAGTGTTTCCAAACCGCTGAATGAAAAGAAAAGTTAAACTCTGAGAGTTGAACGCACACATCACGCAGCAGTTTCTGAGAATGATTCTGTCTAGTTTTCATACGAAGATATTTCCTTTTCTGCCTTTGGCCCCAAAGCGCTTGAAATCTCCACTTGCAAATTCCACAAAAACAGTGTTTCAAATCTGCTCTCTCTAAATGAAAGTTCAACTCTGTCAGTTGAATACACATAACACAAGGAAGTTACTGAGAATTCTTCTGTCTAGCATAATATGAAGAAATCCCGTTTCCAACGAAGGCCTCAAAGGGGTCTGAATATCCACTTGCAGACTTTATAAACACAGTGTTTACTAACTGCTCTATGAAAAGAAAGGTTAAACTCTGTGAGTTGAACACACACATCACAAAGGAGTTTCTGAGAATCATTCTGTCTAGTTTCTATAGGAAGATATTTCCTATTCTACCATTGACCTCAAATCGGCTAAAATCTCCACTTGCAAATTCCACAAAAAGAGTGTTTCAAGTCCGCTCTGTGTAAAGGATCGTGCAACTCTGTGAGTTGAATACACACAACACAAGGAAGTTACTGAGAATTCTTCTGTCTAGCAGAATATGAAGAAGTCCCGTTTCCAACGAAGGCCACAATATGTCAGAATATCCACTTACAGACTTTACAAACAGAGTGTTTCCTAACTGCTCTATGAACAGAAAGGTTAAACTCTGTGAGTTGAACGAACACATCACAACGCAGTTTGTGGGAATGATTCTGTCTATTTTTAAAACGAAGATATTTCCTTTTCTGCCATTGACCTTAAAGCGCTTGAAATCTACAATTGCAAATTGCACAAATAGAGTGTTTCAAATGTGCTCTGTCTAAGGGAACGTTCAACTCTGTGAGTTGAATGCACACAACACAAGGAAGTTACTGGGAATTCTTCTGTCTAGCCTTACATGAAAAAAAACAGTTTCCAACGAAGGCCTCTAAGTGCTGAAAATATCCACGTGCAGACTTTACAAACAGAGTGTTTCCAAACTGCTGAATGAAAAGAAAATTTAAACTCTGAGAGTTGGACGCACACATCACAGAGCAGTTTCTGAGAATGATTCTGTCTAGTTTTTATACGAAGATATTTCCTTTTCTGCCTTTGGCCTCAAAGCGCTTGAAATCTAAACTTGCAAATTCCACAAAAAGAGTGTTTCAAATCTGCTCTGTGTAAATCAAAGTTCAACTCTGTGAGTTGAACACACACAACACAAGGAAGTTACTGGGAATTCTTCTGTCTAGCATAATATGAAGAAATCCCGTTTCCAACGAAGGCCTCAAGGAGGTCTGAATATCCACTTGCAGACTTTACAAACAGAGTGTTTCCTAACTGCTCTATGAAAAGAAAGGTTAAACTCTGTGAGTTGAACGCACACATTACAAAGGAGTTTCTCAGAATCATTCTGTCTAGTTTCTATAGGAAGATATTTCCTATTCTACCATTGACTTCAAAGCGGCTGAAATCTCCACTTGCAAATTCCACAAAAAGAGTGTTTCAAGTCTGCTCTGTGTAAAGGATCGTTCAACTCTGTGAGTTGAATACAGACAACACAAGGAAGTTACTGAGAATTCTTCTGTCTAGCATAATATGAAGAAATCCCGTTTCCAACGAAGGCCTCAAGGAGGTCTGAATATCCACTTGCAGACTTTACAAACAGAGTGTTTCCCAACTGCTCTATGAAAAGAAAGGTTAAACTGTGTGAGTTGAACGCACACATCACAAAGGAGTTTCTGAGAATCATTCTGTCTAGTCTTTATACGAAGATATTTCCTTTTCTACCATTGACTCAAAGCGGCAGAAATCTCCCCTTGCATATTCCACAAAAAGAGTGTTTCAACTCTGCTCTGTGTAAAGGATCGTTCAACTCTGTGAGTTGAATACACACAACACAAGGAAGTTACTGAGAATTCTTCTGTCTAGCAGAATATGAAGAAATCCCGTTTCCAACGAAGGCCACAAGATGTCTGAATATCCACTTACAGACTTTACAAACAGAGTGTTTCCTAACTGCTCTATGAACAGAAAGGTTAAACTCTGTGAGTTGAACGAACACATCACAACGCAGTTTGTGGGAATGATTTCTGTCTAGTTTTGAAACGAAGATATTTCCTTTTCTGCCATTGACCTTAAAGCGCTTGAAATCTACACTTGCAAATTGCACAAATAGAGTGTTTCAAATCTGCTGTGTCTAAGGAACGTTCAACTCTGTGAGTTGAATGCACACAACACAAGGAAGTTACTGGGAATTCTTCTGTCTAGCCTTATGTGAAAAAAACCCGTTTCCAACAAAGACCTCTAAGTGGTCAAAATATCCTCGTGAAGACTTTACAAACAGAGTGTTTCCAAAGTGCTGAATGAAAAGAAAAGTTAAACTCTGAGAGTTGAACGCACACATCACAGAGCAGTTTCTGAGAATGATTCTGTCTAGTTTTGAAACGAAGATATTTCCTTTTCTGCCTTTGGCCTCAAAGCGCTTGAAATCTCCACTTGCAAATTCCACAAAAAGAGTGTTTCAAATCTGCTCTGTGTAAACGAAAGTTCAACTCTGTGAGTTGAACACACACAACACAAGGAAGTTACTGGGAATTCTTCTGTCTAGCCTTATATGAAAAAAACCCGTTTCCAACGAAGGCCTCAAAGAGGTCTGAATATCCACTTGCAGACTTTACAAACAGAGTGTTTCCTAACTGCTCTATGAAAAGAAAGGTTAAACTCTGTGCGTTGAACACACACATCACAAAGGAGTTTCTGAGAATCATTCTGTCTAGTTTTTCTACGAAGATATTTCCTTTTCTACTATTGACCTCAAAGCGGCTGAAATCTCCACTTGCAAATTCTACAAATAGAGTGTTTCAAGTCTGCTCTGTGTAAAGGATCGTTCAACTCTGTGAGTTCAATACACACAACACAAGGAAGTTGCTGAGAATTCTTCTGTCTAGCAGAATATGAAGAAATCCCGTTTCCAACGAAGGCCTCAAAGAGGTCTGAATATCCACTTGCAGACTTTACAAACAGAGTGTTTCCTAACTGCTCTATGAAAAGAAAAGTTAAACTCTGTGAGTTGAACGCACACATCACAAAGTAGTTTATGAGAATCATTCTGTCTAGTTTTTATACGAAGATATTTCCTTTTCTACCATTGACCTCAAAGCGGCTGAAATCTCCACTTGCAAATTCCACAAAAAGAGTGTTTCAAGTCTGCTCTTTGTAAAGGATAGTTCAACTCTGTGAGTTGAATACACACAACACAAGGAAGTTACTGAGAATTTTTCTGTCTAGCAGAATATGAAGAAATACCGTTTCCAACGAAGGCCTCAAGGAGGTCTGAATATCCACTTGCAGACTTTACAAACAGTGTGTTTCCTAACTGCTCTATGAACAGAAAGGTTAAAGTCTGTGAGTTGAACGAACACATCACAACGCAGTTTGTGGGAATGATTCTGTCTAGTTTTGAAACGCAGATATTTCCTTTTTTGCCATTGACCTTAAAGCGCTTGAAATCTACACTTGCAAATTACACAAATAGAGTGTTTCAAATCTGCTCTGTCTAAGGGAATGTTCATCTCTGTGAGTTGAATGCACACAACACAAGGAAGTTACTGGGAATTCTTCTGTCTAGCCTTACAGGAAAAAAACCCATTTCCAACGAAGGCCTCTAAGTGGTCAAAATATCCACGTGCAGACTTTACAAACAGAGTGTTTCCAAACTGCTGAATGAAAAGAAAAGTTAAACTCTGAGAGTTGAACGCACACATCGCAGAGCAGTTTCTGAGAATGATTCTGTCTAGTTTTTATACGAAGATATTTCCTTTTCTGCCTTTGGCCCCAAAGCGCTTGAAATCTCCACTTGCAAATTCCACAAAAACAGTGTTTCAAATCTGCTCTCTCTAAATGAAAGTTCAACTCTGTCAGTTGAATACACAACACAAGGAAGTTACTGAGAATTCTTCTGTCTAGCATAGTATGAAGAAATCCCGTTTCCAACGAAGGCCTCAAAGAGGTCTGAATATCCACTTGCAGAGTTTACAAACAGAGTGTTTCCTAACTGCTCTATGAAAAGAAAGGTTAAACTCTGTGAGTTGAATGCACACATCACAAAGAAGTTTCTGAGAATCATTCTGTCTAGTTTTTATACGAAGATATTTCCTTTTCTACCATGGACCTCAAAGCGGCTGAAATCTCCACTTGCAAATTCCACAAAAAGAGTGTTTCAAGTCTGCTCTGTGTAAAGGATCGTTCAACTCTGTGAGTTGAATACACACTACACAAGGAAGATTCTGAGAATTCTTCTGTCTAGCAGAATGTGAAGAAATCCCGTTTCCAACGAAGGCCACAAGATGTCAGAATATCCACTTACAGAGTTTACAAACAGAGTGTTTCCTAACTGCTCTATGAACAGAAAGGTTAAACTCTGTGAGTTGAACGAACACATCACAACGCAGTTTGTGGGAATGATTCTGTCTAGTTTTGAAACGAAGATATTTCCTTTTCTGCCGTTGACCTTAAAGCGCTTGAAATCTACACTTGCAAATTGGACAAATAGAGTGTTTCAAATCTGCTCTGTCTAAGGGAACGTTCAACTCTGTGAGTTGAATGCACACAACACAAGGAAGTTACTGGGAATTCTTCTGTCTAGCCTTACATGAAAAAAACCCGTTTCCAACGAAGGCCTCTTAGTGGTCAAAATATGCACGTGCAGACTTTACAAACACAGTATTTCCAAACCGCTGAATGAAAAGAAAAGTTAAACTCTGAGAGTTGAACGCACACATCACGCAGCAGTTTCTGAGAATGATTCTGTCTAGTTTTTATACGAAGATATTTCCTTTTCTGCCTTTGGCTTCACAGCGCTTGAAATCTCCACTTGCAAATTCCACAAAAAGAGTCTTTCAAATCTGCTCTGTGTAAATGAAAGTTCAACTCTGTGAGTTGAACACACACAACACAAGGAAGTTACTGGGAATTCTTCTTTCTAGCAGAATATGAAGAAATCCCGTTTCCAACGAAAGCCTCAAGGATGTCTGAATATCCACTTGCAGACTTTACAAACAGAGTGTTTCCTAACTGCTCTATGAAAAGAAAGGTTAAACTCTCTGAGTTCAACGCACACATCACAAAGGAGTTTCTGAGAATCATTCTGTCTCTTTTCTGTAGGAAGATATTTCCTATTCTACCATTGACTTCAAAGCGGCTGAAATCTCCACTTGCAAATTCCACAAAAAGAGTGTTTCAAGTCTGCTCTCTGTAAAGGATCGTTCAACTCTGTGAGTTGAATACACACAACACAAGGAAATTACTGAGAATTCTTCTTTCTAGCAGAATATGAAGAAATCCCGTTTCCAACGAAAGCCTCAAGGATGTCTGAATATCCACTTGCAGACTTTACAAACAGAGTGTTTCCTAACTGCTCTATGAAAAGAAAGGTTAAACTCTGTGAGTTTAACGCACACATCACAAAGGAGTTTCTGAGAATCATTCTGTCTAGTTTTGAAAGGAAGATATTTCCTTTTCTGCCATTGACCTTAAAGCGCTTAAAATCTCCCCTTGCCAATTGCACAAAAAGAGTGTTTCAAATCTGCTCTGTCTAAGGGAACGTTCAACTCTGTGAGTTGAATGTACACAACACAAGGAAGTTACTGGGAATTCTTCTGTCTAGCCTTACAAGAAAGAAACCCGTTTCCAACGAAGGCCTCTAAGTGGTCAAAATATCCACGTGCAGACTTTACAAACAGAGTGTTTCCAAACTGCTGAATGAAAAGAAAAGTTAAAATCTGAGAGTTGAACGCACACATCGCAGAGCAGTTTCTGAGAATGATTCTGTCTAGTTTTTATACGAAGATATTTCCTTTTCTGCCTTTGGCCTCAAAGCGCTTGAAATCTCCACTTGCAAATTCCACAAAAAGAGTGCTTCAAATCTGCTCTGTCTAAGGGAACGTTCAACTCTGTGAGTTGAACACACACAACACAAGGAAGTTACTGGGAATTCTTCTGTCTAGCCTTATATGAAAAAAACCCGTTTCCAACGAAGGCCTCAAAGAGGTCTGAATATCCACTTGCAGACTTTACAAACAGAGTGTTTCCTAACTGCTCTATTAAAAGAAAGGTTAAACTCTGTGAGTTGAACGCACACATCACAAAGGAGTTTCTGAGAATCATTCTGTCTAGTTTCTATAGGAAGATATTTCCTATTCTACCATTGACCTCAAAGCGGCTGAAATCTCCACTTGCAAATTCCAGAAAAAGAGTGTTTCAAGTCTGCTCTGTGTAAAGGATCGTTGAAATCTGTGAGTTGAATACACACAACACAATGAAGTTACTGAGAATTCTTCTCTCTAGCAGAATATGAAGAAATCCCGTTTCCAACGAAGGCCTCAAATAGGTCTGAATATCCACTTGCAGACTTTACAAACAGAGTGTTTCCTAACTGCTCTATGAAAAGAAAGGTTAAACTCTGTGAGTTGAATGCACACATCACAAAGGAGTTTCTGAGAATCATTCTGTCTAGTTTTTATAGGAAGATATTTCCTTTTCTACTTTGACTTCAAAGCGGCTGAAATCTCCACTTGCAAATTCCACAAAAAGAGTGTTACAAGTCTGCTCTCTGTAAAGGATCGTTCAACTGTGTGAGTTGAATACACACAACACAAGGAAGTTACTGAGAATTCTTCTGTCTAGCCTTACATGAAAAAAACCCGTTTCCAACGAAGGCCTCTAAGTGGTCAAATTATCCACGTGCAGACTTTACAAACAGAGTGTTTCCAAACTGCCGAATGAAAACAAAAGTTAAACTCTGAGAGTTGAACGCACACATCGCAGAGCAGTTTCTGAGAATGATTCTGTCTAGTTTTGAAACGGAGATATTTCCTTTTCTGCCTTTGGCCTCAAAGCGCTTGAAATCTCCACTTGCAAATTCCACAAAAAGAGTGTTTCAAATCTGCTCTGGGTAAATGAAAGTTCAACTCTGTGAGTTGAACACACACAACACAAGGAAGTTACTGGGAATTCTTCTGTCTAGCAGAATATGAAGAAATCCCGTTTCCAATGAAGGCCTCAAGGAGGTCTGAATATCCACTTGCAGACTTTACAAACAGAGTGTTTCCTAACTGCTCTATGAAAAGAAAGGTTAAACTCTGTGAGTTGAACGCACACATCACAAAGGAGTTTATGAGAGTCATTCTGTCTAGTTTCTATACGAAGATATTTCCTATTCTACCATTGACCTCAAAGCGGCTGAAATCTCCACTTGCAAATTCCACAAAAAGAGTGTTTCAAGTCTGCTCTGTGTAAAGGATCGTTCAACTCTGTGAGTTGAATACACACAACACTAGGAAGTTACTGAGAATTCTTTTGTCTAGCAGAATATGAAGAAATCCCGCTTCCAACGAAGGCCTCAAAGAAGTCTGAATATCCACTTGCAGACTTTACAAACAGAGTGTTTCCCAACTGCTCTATGAAAAGAAAGGTTGAACTCTGTGAGTTGAACGCACACATCACAAAGGAGTTTCTGAGAATCATTCTGTCTAGTTTTGAAACGAAGATATTTCCTTTTCTGCCATTGACCTTAAAGCGCTTGAAATCTACACTTGCAAATTGCACAAATAGAGTGTTTCAAATCTGCTCTGTCTAAGGGAACGTTCAACTCTGTGAGGTGAATGCACACAACACAAGGAAGTTACTGGGAATTCTTCTGTCTAGCCTTACATGAAAAAATCCCGTTTCCAACGAAGGCCTCTAAGTGGTCAAAATATCCACGTGCAGACTTTACAAACAGAGTGTTTCCAAACCGCTGAATGAAAAGAAAAGTTAAACTCTGAGAGTTGAACGCACACAATACGCAGCAGTTTCTGAGAATGATTCTGTCTAGTTTTTATACGAAGATATTTCCTTTTCTGACTTTGGCCCCAAAGCGCTTGAAATCTCCACTTGCAAATTCCACAAAAACAGTGTTTCAAATCTGCTCTCTCTAAATGAAAGTTCAAATCTGTCAGTTGAATACACACAACACAAAGAAGTTACTGAGAATTCTTCTTTCTAGCATAATATGAAGAAATCCCGTTTCCAACGAAAGCCTCAAGGATGTCTGAATATCCACTTGCAGACTTTACAAACAGAGTGTTTCCTAACTGCTCTATGAAAAGAAAGGTTGAACTCTGTGAGTTGAACGCACACATCACAAAGGAGTTTCTGAGAATCATTCTGTCTAGTTTCTATAGGAAGATATTTCCTATTCTACCATTGACCTCAAAGCGGCTGAAATCTACACTTGCAAATTCCAGAAAAAGAGTGTTTCAAGTCTGCTCTGTGTAAAGGATCGTTGAAATCTGTGAGTTGAATACACACAACACAATGAAGTTACTGAGAATTCTTCTCTCTAGCAGAATATGAAGAAATCCCGTTTCCAAAGAAGGCCTCAAAGAGGTCTGAATATCCACTTGCAGACTTTACAAACAGAGTGTTTCCTAACTGCTCTATGAAAAGAAAGGTTAAACTCTGTGAGTTGAACGCACACATCACAAAGGAGTTTCTGAGAATCATTCTGTCTAGTTTTGAAACGAAGATATTTCCTTTTCTGCCGTTGACCTTAAAGCGCTTGAAATCTACACTTGGAAATTTCACAAATAGAGTGTTTCAAATCTGCTCTGTCTAAGGGAACGTTCAACTCTGTGAGTTGAATGCACACAACACAAGGAAGTTACTGGGAATTCTTCTGTCTAGCCTTACATGAAAAAAACCCGTTTCCAACGAAGGCCTCTAAGTGGTCAAAATATCCACGTGCAGACTTTACAAACAGAGTGTTTCCAAACCGCTGAATGAAAAGAAAAGTTAAACTCTGAGAGTTGAACGCACACATCACGCAGCAGCTTCTGAGAATGATTCTGTCTAGTTTTTATACGAAGATATTTCCTTTTCTGCCTTTGGCCCCAAAGCGCTTGAAATCTCCACTTGCAAATTTCACAAATCAGTGTTTCAAATCTGCTCTCTCTAAATGAAAGTTCAACTCTGTCAGTTGAATACACACAACACAAGGAAGTTACTGAGAATTCTTCTTTCTAGCATAATATGAAGAAATCCCGTTTCCAACGAAAGCCTCAAGGATGTCTGAATATCCACTTGCAGACTTTACAAACAGAGTGTTTCCCAACTGCTCTATGAAAAGAAAGGTTGAACTCTGTGAGTTGAACGCACACATCACAAAGGAGTTTCTGAGAATCATTCTGTCTAGTTTCCTATAGGAAGATATTTCCTATTCTACCATTGACCTCAAAGCGGCTGAAATCTCCACTTGCAAATTCCACAAAAAGAGTGTTTCAAGTCTGCTCTGTGTAAAGGATCGTTCAACTCTGTGAGTTGAATACACACAACACAAGGAAGTTACTGAGAATTCTTCTGTCTAGCAGAATATGAAGAAATCCCGCTTCCAACGAAGGCCTCAAATAAGTCCGAATATCCACTTGCAGACTTTACAAACAGAGTGTTTCCCAACTGCTCTATGAAAAGAAAGGTTGAACTCTGTAAGTTGAATGCACACATCACAAAGGAGTTTCTGAGAATCATTCTGTCTAGTTTCTATAGGAAGATATTTCCTATTCTACCATTGACCACAAAGCGGCTGACATCTCCACTTGCAAATTCCACAAAAAGAGTGTTTCAAGTCTGCTCTGTGTAAAGGATCGTTCAACTCTGTGAGTTGAATACACACAACACAAGGAAGTTACTGAGAATTCTTCTGTCTAGCCTTACATGAAAAAAACCCGTTTCCAACGAAGGCCTCTAAGTGGTCAAAATATCCACGTGCAGACTTTACAAACAGAGTGTTTCTAAACTGCTGAATGAAAAGAAAAGTTAAACTCTGAGAGTTGAACGCATACATCGCAGAGCAGTTTCTGAGAATGATTCTGTCTAGTTTTTATACGAAGATATATCCTTTTCTGCCTTTGGCCTCAAAGCGCTTGAAATCTCCACTTGCAAATTCCAGAAAAAGAGTGTTTCAATTCTGCTCTGTCTAAATGAAAGTTCAACTCTGTCAGTTGAATACACACAACAAAAGCAAGTTACTGAGAATTCTTCTGTCTAGCAAAATATGAAGAAATCCCGTTTCCAACGAAGGCCTCAAAGGGGTCTGAATATCCACTTGCAGACTTTATAAACAGAGTGTTTACTAACTGCTCTATGAAAAGAAAGGTTAAACTCTGTGAGTTGAACACACACATCACAAAGGAGTTTCTGAGAATCATTCTGTCTAGTTTCTTTAGGAAGATATTTACTATTCTACCATTGACCTCAAAGCGGCTGAAATCTCCACTTGCAAATTCCACAACAAGAGTGTTTCAAGTCTGCTCTGTGTAAACGATCGTTCAACTCTGTGAGTTGAATACACACAACACAAGGAAGTTTCTGAGAATTCTTCTGTCTAGCAGAATATGAAGAAATCCCGTTTCCAACGAAGGCCACAAGATGTCAGAATATCCACTTACAGACTTTACAAACAGAGTGTTTCCTAAGTGCTCTATGAACAGAAAGGTTAAACTCTGTGAGTTGAACGAACACATCACAACGCAGTTTGTGGGAATGATTCTGTCTAGTTTTAAAACGAAGATATTTCCTTTTCTGCCATTGACCTTAAAGCGCTTGAAATCTACACTTGCAAATTGCACAAATAGAGTGTTTCAAATCTGCTCTCTCTAAATGAAAGTTCAACTCTGTCAGTTGAATACACACAACACAAGGAAGTTACTGAGAATTCTTCTGTCTAGCCTTACATGAAAAAAAACCCGTTTCCAACGAAGGCCTCTAAGAGGTCAAAATATCCACGTGCAGACTTTACAAACAGAGTGTTTCCAAACCGCTGAATGAAAAGAAAAGTTAAACTCTGAGAGTTGAACGCACACATCACGCAGCAGTTTCTGAGAATGATTCTGTCTAGTTTTTATACGAAGATATTTCCTTTTCTGCCTTTGGCCTCAAAGCGCTTGAAATCTCCATTTGCAAATTCCACAAAAAGAGTGTTTCAAATCTGCTCTGTGTAAATGAAAGTTCAACCCTGTGAGTTGAACACACACAACACAAGAAAGTTACTGGGAATTCTTCTGTCTAGCAGAATATGAAGAAATCCCGTTTCCAACGAAGGCCTCAAAGAGGTCTGAATATCCACTTGCAGACTTTCCAAACAGAGTGTTTACTAACTGCTCTATGAAAAGAAAGGTTAAACTCTGTGAGTTGAACGCACACATCACAAAGGAGTTTCTGAGAATCATTCTGACTAGTTTCTATAGGAAGATATTTCCTATTCTACCATTGACCACAAAGCGGCTGAAATCTCCACTTGCAAATTCCACAAAAAGAATGTTTCAAGTCTGCTCAGTGTAAAGGATCGTTCAACTCTGTGAGTTGAATACACACAACACAAGGAAGTTACTGAGAATTCTTCTGTCTAGCAGAATATGAAGAAATCCCGTTTCCAACGAAGGCCTCAAGGAGGTCTGAATATCCACTTGCAGACTTTACAAACAGAGTGTTTCCTAACTGCTCTATGAACAGAAATGTTAAACTCTGTGAGTTGAACGAACACATCACAACGCAGTTTGTGGGAATGATTCTGTCTAGTTTTGAAACGAAGATATTTCCTTTTCTGCCATTGACCTTAAAGCGCTTGAAATCTACACTTGCAAATTGCACAAATAGAGAGTTTCAAATCTGCTCTGTCTAAGGGAACGTTCAACTCTGTGAGTTGAATGCACACAACACAAGGAAGTTACTGGGAATTCTTCTGTCTAGCCTTACATGAAAAAAACCCGTTTCCAACGAAGGCCTCTAAGTGGTCAAATTATCCACGTGCAGACTTTACAAACAGAGTGTTTCCAAACTGCTGAATGAAAAGCAAAGTTAAACTCTGAGAGTTGAACGCACACATCGCAGAGCAGTTTACTGAGAATGATTCTGTCTAGTTTTGAAACGAAGATATTTCCTTTTCTACCTTTGGCCTCAAAGCGCTTGAAATCTCCACTTGCAAATTCCACAAAAAGAGTGTTTCAAATCTGCTCTGTTTAAATGAAAGTTCAACTCTGTGAGTTGAACACACACAACACAAGGAAGTTACTGGGAATTCTTCTGTCTAGCCTTATATGAAAAAAACCCGTTTCCAACGAAGGCCTCAAAGAGGGCTGAATATCCACTTGCAGACTTTACAAGCAGAGTGATTCCTAACTGCTCTATGAAAAGAAAGGTTAAACTCTGTGAGTTGAACGCACACATCACAAAGGAGTTTCTGAGAATCATTCTGTCTAGTTTCTATAGGAAGATATTTCCTATTCTACCATTGACCTCAAAGCGGCTGAAATCTCCACTTGCAAATTCCACAAAAAGAGTGTTTCAAGTCTGCTCTGTGTAAAGGATAGTTCAACTCTGTGAGTTGAATACACACAACATAAGGAAGTTACTGAGAATTCTTCTGTCTAGCAGAATATGAAGAAATCCCGTTTCCAACGAAGGCCACAGGATGTCAGAATATCCACTTACAGACTTTACAAACAGAGTGTTTCCTATCTGCTCTAAGAACACAAAGGTTAAACTCTGTGAGTTGAACGAACACATCACAACGCAGTTTGTGGGAATGATTCTGTCTAGTTTTTATACGAAGATATTTCCTTTTCTACCATTGACCTCAAAGCGGCTGAAATCACCACTTGCCAATTGCACAAAAAGAGTGTTTCAAATCTGCTCTGTCTAAGGGAACGTTCAACTCTGTGAGTTGAATGTACACAACACAAGGAAGTTACTGGGAATTCTTCTGTCTAGCCTTACAGGAAAAAAACCCGTTTCCAACGAAGGCCTCTAAGTGGTCAAAATATCCACGTGCAGACTTTACAAACAGAGTGTTTCCAAACTGCTGAATGAAAAGAAAAGTTAAACTCTGAGAGTTGAACAGCACACATCGCAGAGCAGTTTCTGAGAATGATTCTGTCTAGTTTTTATACGAAGATATTTCCTTTTCTGCCTTTGGCCTCAAAGCACTTGAAATCTCCACTTGCAAATTTCACAAAAAGAGTGTTTCCAATCTGCTCTGTGTAAATGAAAGTTCAACTCTGTGAGTTGAACACACACAACACAAGGAAGTTACTGGGAATTCTTCTGTCTAGCCTCATATGAAAAAAACCCGTTTCCAACGAAGGCCTCAAAGAGGTCTGAATATCCACTTGCAGACTTTACAAACAGAGTGTTTCCTAACTGCTCTATGAAAAGAAAGGTTAAACTCTGTGAGTTGAACACACACATCACAAAGGAGTTTCTGAGAATCATTCTGTCTAGTCTTTATACGAAGATACTTTCCTTTTCTACCATTGACCTCAAAGCGGCTGAAATCTCCACTTGCAAATTCCACAAAAAGAGTGTTTCAAGTCTGCTCTGTTTAAAGGATCGTTCAACCCTGTGAGTTTAATACACACAACACAAGGAAGTTACTGAGAATTCTTCTGTCTAGCAGAATATGAAGAAATCCGGTTTCCAACGAAGGCCACAAGATGTCAGTATATCCACTTACAGACTTTACAAACAGAGTGTTTCCTAACTGCTCTATGAACACAAAGGTTAAACTCTGTGAGTTGAACGAACACATCACAACGCAGTTTGTGGGAATGATTCTGTCTAGTTTTGAAACGAAGATATTTCCTTTTCTGCCGTTGACCTTAAAGCGCTTGAAATCTACACTTGGAAATTGCACAAATAGAGTGTTTCAAATCTGCTCTGTCTAAGGGAACGTTCAACTCTGTGAGTTGAATGCACACAACACAAGGAAGTTACTGGGAATTCTTCTGTCTAGCCTTACATGAAAAAACCCGTTTCCAACGAAGGCCTCTAAGTGGTCAAAATATCCACGTGCAGACTTTACAAACAGAGTGTTTCCAAACCGCTGAATGAAAAGAAAAGTTAAACTCTGAGAGTTGAACGCACACATCACGCAGCAGTTTCTGAGAATGATTCTGTCTAGTTTTTATACGAAGATATTTCCTTTTCTGCCTTTGGCCTCAAACCGCTTGAAATCTCCATTTGCAAATTCCACAAAAAGAGTGTTTCAAATCTGCTCTGTGTAAATGAAAGTTCAACTCTGTGAGTTGAACACACACAACACATGGAAGTTACTGGGAATTCTTCTGTCTAGCATAATATGAAGAAATCCCGTTTCCAACGAAGGCCTCAAAGAGGTCTGAATATCCACTTGCAGACTTTACAAACAGAGTGTTTCCTAACGGCTCTATGAAAAGAAAAGTTAAACTCTGTGAGATGAACGCACACATCACAAAGGAGTTTCTGAGAATCATTCTGTCTAGTTTTTATACGAAGATATTTCCTTTTCTACCATTGACCTCAAAGCGGCTGAAATCTCCACTTGCAAATTCAACAAAAAGAGTGTTTCAAGTCTGCTCTGTGTAAAGGATCGTTCAACTCTGTGAGTTGAATACACACAACACAAGGATGTTACTGAGAATTCTTCTGTCTAGCAGAATATGAAGAAATCCCGTTTCCAACGAAGGCCTCAAGGAGGTCTGAATATCCACTTGCAGACATTACAAACAGAGTGTTTCCTAACTGCTCTATGAAAAGAAAAGTTAAACTCTGTGAGTTGAACGCACACATCACAAAGGAGTTTATGAGAATCATTCTGTCTAGTTTTGAAACGAAGATATTTCCTTTTCTGCCATTGACCTTAAAGCGCTTGAAATCTCCATTTGCCAATTGCAGAAAAAGAGTCTTTCAAATCTGCTCTGTCTAAGGGAACGTTCAACTCTGTGAGTTGAATGTACACAACACAAGGAAGTTACTGGGAATTCTTCTGTCTAGCCTTACAGGAAAAAATACTCGTTTCCAACGAAGGCCTCTAAGTGGTCAAAATATCCACGTGCAGACTTTACAAACAGAGTGTTTCCAAACTGCTGAATGAAAAGAAAAGTTAAACTCTGAGAGTTGAACGCACACATCGCAGAGCAGTTTCTGAGAATGATTCTGTCTAGTTTTTATAAGAAGATATTTCCTTTTCTGCCTTTGGCCTCAAAGCGCTTGAAATCTCCATTTGCAAATTATACAAAAAGAGTGTTTCAAATCTGCTCTGTGTAAATGAAAGTTCAACTCTGTGAGTTGACCACACACAACTCAAGGAAGTTACTGGGAATTCTTCTGTCTAGCAGAATATGAAGAAATCCCGTTTCCAACGAAGGCCTCAAGGAGGTCTGAATATCCACTTGCAGACTTTACAAACAGAGTGTTTCCTAACTGCTCTATGAAAAGGAAGGTTAAACTCTGTGAGTTGAACGGACACATCACAAAGGAGATTATGAGAATCATTCTGTCTAGTTTTTATACGAAGATATTTCCTTTTCTACCATTGACCTCAAAGCGGCTGAAATCTCCACTTGCAAATTCCACAAAAGGAGTGTTTCAAGTCTGCTCTGTGTAAAGGATCGTTCAACTCTGTGAGTTGAAAACACACAACACAAGGAAGTTTCTGAGAATTCTTCTGTCTAGCATAATATGAAGAAATCCCGTTTCCAACGAAGGCCACAAGATGTCAGAATTTCCACTTACAGACTTTACAAACAGAGTGTTTCCTAACTGCTCTATGAACAGAAAGGTTAAACTCTGTGAGTTTAACGAACACATCACAACGCAATTTTTGGGAATGATTCTGTCTAGTTTTGAAACGAAGATATTTCCTTTTCTGCCATTGACCTCAAAGCGCTTGAAATCTCCACTTGCCAATTGCACAAAAAGAGTGTTTCAAATCTGCTCTGTCTAAGGGAACGTTCAACTCTGTGAGTTGAATGTACACAACACAAGGAAGTTACTGGGAATTCTTCTGTCTAGCCTTACATGAAAAAAACCCGTTTCCAACGAAGGCCTCTAAGTGGTCAAAATATCCACGTGCAGACTTTACAAACAGAGTGTTTCCAAACCGCTGAATGAAAAGAAAAGTTAAACTCTGAGAGTTGAACGCACACATCACGCAGCAGTTTTCTGAGAATGATTTCTGTCTAGTTTTTATACGAAGATATTTCGTTTTCTGCCTTTGGCCCCAAAGCGCTTGAAATCTCCACTTGCAAATTCCACAAAAACAGTGTTTCAAATCTGCTCTCTCTAAATGAAAGTTCAACTCTGTCAGTTGAATACGCACAACACAAGGAAGTTACTGAGAATTCTTCTGTCTAGCAGAATATGAAGAAATCCCGTTTCCAACGAAAGCCTCAAAGATGTCTGAATATCCACTTGCAGACTTTACAAACAGAGTGTTTCCTAACTGCTCTATGAAAAGAAAGGTTAGACTCTGTGAGTTGAACGCACACATCACAAAGGAGTTTCTGAGAATCATTCTGTCTAGTTTTTATACGAAGATATTTCCTTTTCTACCATGGACCTCAAAGCGGCTGAAATCTCCACTTGCAAATTCCACAAAAAGAGTGTTCCAAGTCTGCTCTGTGTAAAGGATCGTTCAACTCTGTGAGTTGAATACACACAACACAAGGAAGTTACTGAGAATTCTTCTGTGTAGCAGAATATGAAGAAATCCTGTTTCCAACGAAGGCCACAAGATGTCAGAATATCCACTTACAGAATTTACCAACAGAGTGTTTCCTAACTGCTCTATGAAAAGAAAGGTTAAACTCTGTGAGTTGAACGAACACATCACAACGCAGTTTGTGGGAATGATTCTGTCTAGTTTTGAAACGAAGATATTTCCTTTTCTGCCATTGACCTTAAAGCGCTTGAAATCTCCACTTGCCAATTGCACAAATAGAGTGTTTCAAATCTGCTCTGTCTAAGGGAACGTTCAACTCTGTGAGTTGAATGTACACAACACAAGGAAGTTACTGGGAATTCTTCTGTCTAGCCTTACAGGAAAAAACCCGTTTCCAACGAAGGCCTCTAAGTGGTCAAAATATCCACGTGCAGACTTTACAAACAGAGTGTTTCCAAACTGCTGAATGAAAAGAAAAGTTAAACTCTGAGAGTTGAACGCACACATCGCAGAGCAGTTTCTGAGAATGATTCTGTCTAGTTTTGAAACGAAGATATTTCCTTTTCTGCCTTTGGCCTCAAAGCGCTTGAAATCTCCACTTGCAAAGTCCACAAAAAGAGTGTTTCAAATCTGCTCTGTGTAAATCAAAGTTCAACTCTGTGAGTTGAACACACACAACACAAGGAAGTTACTGGGAATTCTTCTGTCTAGCCTTATATGAAAAAAACCCGTTTCCAACGAAGGCCTCAAAGAGGTCTGAATATCCACTTGCAGACTTTACAAACAGAGTGTTTCCTAACTGCTCTATGAATAGAAAGGTTAAACTCTGTGAGTTGAACGCACACATCACAAAGGAGTTTCTGAGAATCATTCTGTCTAGTTGTTATACGAAGATATTTCCTTTTCTACCATGGACCTCAAAGCGGCTGAAATCTCCACTTGCAAATTCCAGAGAAAGAGTGTTTCAAATCTGCTCTGTGTAAACAATCGTTCAACTGTGTGAGTTGAATACACACAACACAAGGAAGATTCTGAGAATTCTTCTGTCTAGCAGAATATGAAGAAATCCCGTTTCCACTGAAGGCCACAAGGATGTCAGAATATCCACTTACAGAATTTACCAACAGAGTGTTTCCTAACTGCTCTATGAAAAGAAAGGTTAAACTCTGTGAGTTGAACGAACACATCACAACGCAGTTTGTGGGAATGATTCTGTCTAGTATTGAAACGAAGATATTTCCTTTTCTGCCATTGACCTTAAAGCGCTTGAAATCTACACTTGCAAATTGCACAAATAGAGTGTTTCAAATCTGCTGTGTCTAAGGGAACGTTCAACTCTGTGAGTTGAATGCACACAACACAAGGAAGTTACTGGGAATTCTTCTGTCTAGCCTTACATGAAAAAAACCCGTTTCCAACGAAGGCCTCTAAGTGGTCAAAATATCCACGTGCAGACTTTACAAACAGAGTGTTTCCAAACCGCTGAATGAAAAGAAAAGTTAAACTCTGAGAGTTGAACGCACACATCACACAGCAGTTTCTGAGAATGATTCTGTCTAGTTTTTATACGAAGATATTTCCTTTTCTGCCTTTGGCCTCAAAGCGCTTGAAATCTCCACTTACAAATTCCACAAAAAGAGTGTTTCAAATCTGCTCTGTGTAAATGAAAGTTCAACTCTGTAAGTTGAACACACACAACACAAGGAAGTTACTGGGAATTCTTCTGTCTAGCCTTATATGAAAAAAACCCGTTTCCAACGAAGGCCTCAAAGAGGTCTCAATATCCACATGCAGACTTTACAAACAGAGTGTTTCCTAACTGCTCTATGAAAAGAAAGGTTAAACTCTGTGAGTTGAACGTACACATCACAAAGGAGTTTCTGAGAATCATTCTGTCTACTTTCTATAGGAAGATATTTCCTATTCTACCATTGAACTCAAAGCGGCTGAAATCTCCACTTGCAAATTCCACAAAAGGAGTGTTTCAAGTCTGCTCTGTGTAAAGGATCGTTCATCTCTGTGAGTTGAAAACACACAACACAAGGAAGTTTCTGAGAATTCTTCTGTCTATCAGAATATGAAGAAATCCCGTTTCCAAAGAAGGCCTCAAGGAGGTCTGAATATCCACTTGCAGACTTTACAAACAGAGTGTTTCCTAACTGCTCTATGAAAAGAAAGGTTAAACTCTGTGAGTTGAACGCACACATCACAAAGGAGTTTATGAGAATCACTCTGTCTAGTTTCTATAGGAAGATATTTCCTATTCTACCGTTGACCTCAAAGCGGCTGAAATCTCCACTTGCAAATTCCACAAAAAGAGTGTTTCAAGTCTGCTCTGTGTAAAGGATCGTTCAACTCTGTGAGTTGAATACACACAACACAAGGAAGTTACTGAGAATTCTTCTGTCTAGCATAATATGAAGAAATCCCGTTTCCAACGAAGGTCTCAAGGAGGTCTGAATATCCACTTGCAGACTTTACAAACAGAGTGTTTCCTAACTACTCTATGAAAAGAAAGGTTAAACTCTGTGAGTTGAACGCACACATCACAAAGGAGTTTCTGAGAATCATTCTGTCTAATTTTTATACGAAGATATTTCCTTTTCTACCATTGACCTCAAAGCGGCTGAAATCTCCACTTGCAAATTACACAAAAAGAGTGTTTCAAGTCTACTCTGTGTAAAGCATCGTTCAACTCTGTGATTTGAAAACACACAACACAAGGAAGTTTCTGAGAATTCTTCTGTCTAGCCTTACAGGAAAAAAACCCGTTTCCAACGAAGGCCTCAAAGTGGTCAAATTATCCACGTGCAGACTTCACAAACAGAGTGTTTCCAAACTGCTGAATGAAAAGAAAAGTTAAACTCTGAGAGTTGAACGCAAACATCACAGATCAGTTTCTGAGAATGATTCTGTCTAGTTTGTATAGGAAGATATTTCCTTTTCTACCTTTGACGTCAAAGCGGCTGAAATCTCCACTTGCAAATTCCACAAAAAGAGTGTTACAAGTCTGCTCTGTGTAAAGGATCGTTCAACTCTGTGAGTTGAATACACACAACACAAGGAAGTTACTGAGAATTCTTCTGTCTAGCATAGTATGAAGAAATCCCGTTTCCAACGAAGGCCTCAAACAGGTCTGAATATCCACTTGCAGAGTTTACAAACAGAGTGTTTCCTAACTGCTCTATGAAAAGAAAGGTTAAATTCTGTGAGTTGAACGCACACATCACAAAGAAGTTTCTGAGAATCATTCTGTCTAGTTTTTATAGGAAGATATTTCCTTTTCTACCTTTGACTTCAAAGCTGCTGAAATCTCCACTTGCGAATTCCACAAAAAGAGTGTTACAAGTCTGCTCTGTGTAAAGGATCGTTCAACTCTGTGAGTTGAATACACACAACACAAGGAAAGTTACTGAGAATTCTTCTGTCTAGCAGAATATGAAGAAATCCCGTTTCCAACTAAGGCCACAAGATGTCAGAATATCCACTTACAGAATTTACAAACAGACTGTTTCCTAACTGCTCTATGAAAAGAAAGGTTAAACTCTGTGAGTTGAACGAACACCTCACAACGCAGTTTGTGGGAATGATTCTGTCTAGTTTTGAAACGAAGATATTTCCTTTTCTGCCATTGACCTTAAAGCGCTTGAAATCACCACTTGCCAATTTCACAAAAAGAGTGTTTCAAATCTGCTCTGTCTAAGGGAACGTTCAACTCTGTGAGTTGAATGTACACAACACAAGGAAGTTACTGGGAATTCTTCTGTCTAGCCTTACATGAAAAAAACCCGTTTCCAACGAAGGCCTCTAAGTGGTCAAATTATCCACGTGCAGACTTTACAAACAGAGTGTTTCCAAACTGCTGAATGAAAAGAAAAGTTAAACTGTGAGAGTTGAACACACACATCGCAGAGCAGTTTCTGAGAATGATTCTGTCTAGTTTTTATACAAAGATATTTCCTTTTCTGCCTTTGGCCCCATAGCGCTTGAAATCTCCACTTGCAAATTCCACAAAAACAGTGTTTCAAATCTGCTCTCTCTAAATGAAAGTTCAACTCTGTCAGTTGAATACACACAACACAAGGAAGTTACTGAGAATTCTTCTCTCAGGCATAATATGAAGAAATCCCGTTTGCAACGAAGGCCTCAAAGAGGTCTGAATATCCACTTGCAGAGTTTACAAACAGAGTGTTTCCTAACTGCTCTATGAAAAGAAAGGTTAAACTCTGTGAGTGGAACGCACACATCACAAAGAAGTTTCTGAGAATCATTCTGTCTAGTTTTTATACGAAGATATTTCCTTTTCTACCATTGACCTCAAAGCGGCTGAAATCTCCACTTGCAAATTCCACAAAAAGAGTGTTTCAAATCTGCTCTGTGTAAACCATCGTTCAATTCTGTGAGTTGAATACACACAACACAAGGAAGATTCCGAGAATTCTTCTGTCTAGCAGAATATGAAGAAATCCCGTTTCCAACGAAGGCCACAAGATGTCAGAATATCCACTTACAGAATTTACAAACAGAGTGTTTCCTAACTGCTCTATGAAAAGAAAGGTTAAACTCTGGTGAGTTGAACGAACACATCACAACGCAGTTTGTGGGAATGATTCTGTCTAGTTTTGAAACGAAGATATTTCCTTTTCTGCCATTGACCTTAAAGCGCTTGAAATCTCCACTTGCCAATTGCACAAAAAGAGTGTTTCACATCTGCTCTGTCTAAGGGAACGTTCAACTCTGTGAGTTGAATGTACACAACACAAGGAAGTTACTGGGAATTCTACTGTCTAGCCTTACAGGAAAAAAACCCGTTTCCAACGAAGAGCCTCTAAGTGGTCAAAATATCCACGTGCAGACTTTACAAACAGAGTGTTTCCAAACTGCTGAATGAAAAGAAAAGTTAAACTCTGAGAGTTGAACGCACACATCGCAGAGCAGTTTCTGAGAATGATTCTGTCTAGTTTCTATAGGAAGATATTTCCTATTCTACCGTTGACCTCAAAGCGGCTGAAATCTCCACTTGCAAATTCCACAAAAAGAGTGTTTCAAGACTGTTCTGTGTAAAGGATCATTCAACTCTGTGAGTTGAATACACACAACACAAGGAAGTTACTGAGAATTCTTCTTTCTAGCAGAATATGAAGAAATCCCGTTTCCAACGAAAGCCTCAAGGATGTCTGAATATCCACTTACAGACTTTACAAACAGAGTGTTTCCTAACTGCTCTATGAAAAGAAAGGTTAAACTCTGTGAGTTGAACGCACACATCACAAAGGAGTTTCTGAGAATCATTCTGTCTAGTTTCTATAGGAAGATATTTCCTATTCTACCATTGACCTCAAAGCGGCTGAAATCTGCACTTGCAAATTCCACAAAAAGAGTGTTTCAAGTCTGCTCTGTGTAAAGGATCGTTCAACTCTGTGAGTTGAATACACACAACACAAGGAAGTTACTGAGAATTCTTCTGTCTAGCAGAATATGAAGAAATCCCGTTTCCAACGAAGGCCTCACGGAGGTCTGAATATCCACTTGCAGACTTTACAAACAGAGTGTTTCCTAACTGCTCTATGAACAGAAAGGTTAAACTGTGTGAGTTGAACAAACACATCACAACGCAGTTTGTGGGAATGATTCTGTCTAGTTTTGAAACGAAGATATTTCCTTTTCTGCCTTTGGCCCCAAAGTGCTTGAAATCTCCAATTGCAAATTCCACAAAAACAGTGTTTCAAATCTGCTCTCTCTAAATGAAAGTTCAACTCTGTCAGTTGAATACACACAACACAAGGAAGTTACTGAGAATTCTTCTGTCTAGCCTTACATGAAAAAAACCCGTTTCCAACGAAGGCCTCTAAGTGGTCAAATTATCCACGTGCAGACTTTACAAACAGAGTGTTTCCAAACTGCTGAATGAAAACAAAAGTTAAACTCTGAGAGTTGAACGCACACATCGCAGAGCAGTTTCTGAGAATGATTCTGTCTAGTTTTTATACGAAGATATTTCCTTTTCTGCCTTTGGCCTCAAAGCGCTTGAAATCTCCACTTGCAAATTCCACAAAAAGAGTGTTTCAAATCTGCTCTGTGTAAATGAAAGCTCAACTCTGTGAGTTGAACACACACAACACAAGGAAGTTACTGGGAATTCTTTCTGTCTAGCCTTATATGAAAAAAACCCGTTTCCAACGAAGGCCTCAAAGAGGTCTGAATATCCACTTGCAGACTTTACAAACAGAGTGTTTCCTAACTGCTCTATGAAAAGAAAGGTTAAAGTCTGTGAGTTGAACGCACACATCACAAAGGAGTTTCTGAGAATCATTCTGTCTAGTTTCTACAGGAAGATATTTCCTATTCTACAATTGACCTCAAAGCGGCAGAAATCTCCACTTGCAAATTCCACGAAAAGAGTGTTTCAAGTCTGCTCTGTGTAAAGGATCGTTCAACTCTGTGAGTTGAATGCACACAACACAAGGAAGTTACTGAGAATTCTTCTGTCTAGCAGAATATGAAGAAATCCCATTTCCAACGAAGGCCTCAAAGAGGTCTGAATATCCACTTGCAGACTTTACAAACAGAGTGTTTCCTAACTGCTCTATGAAAAGAACGGTTAAAATCTGTGAGTTGAACGCACACATCACAAAGGAGTTTCTGAGAATCATTCTGTCTAGTTTCTATAGGAAGATATTTGCTATTCTACCATTGACCACATAGCGGCTGAAATCTCCACTTGGAAATTCCACAAAAAGAGTGTTTCAAGTCTGCTCTGTGTAAAGGATCGTTCAACTCTGTGAGTTGAATACACACAACACAAGGAAGTTACTGAGAATTCTTCTGTCTAGCCTTACATGAAAAAAACCCGTTTCCAACGAAGGTCTCTAAGTGGTCAAATTATCCACGTGCAGACTTTACAAACAGAGTGTTTCCAAACTGCTGAATGAAAAGAAAAGTTAAACTCTGAGAGTTGAACGCACACATCGCAGAGCAGTTTCTGAGAATGATTCTGTCTAGTTTCTATAGGAAGATATTTCCTATTCTACCATTGAACTCAAAACGGCTGAAATCTCCACTTGCAAATTCCACAAAAAGAGTGTTTCAAGTCTGCTCTGTGTAAAGGATCATTCAACTCTGTGAGTTGAATACACACAACACAAGGAAGTTACTGAGAATTCTTCTGTCTAGCATAATAGGAAGAAATCCCGTTTCCAACGAAGGCCTCAAGGAGGTCTGAATATCCACTTGCAGACTTTACAAACAGAGTGTTTCCTAACTGCTCTATGAAAAGAAAGGTTAAACTCTGTGAGTTGAACGCACACATCACAAAGGAGTTTCTCAGAATCATTCTGTCTTGTCTTTATACGAAGATAGTTTCCTTTTCTACCATTGACCTCAAAGCGGCTGAAATCTCCACTTGCAAATTCCACAAAAAGAGTGTTTCAAGTCTGCTCTGTGTAAAGGATCGTTCAACTCTGTGAGTTGAATACACACAACACAAGGAAGTTACTGAGAATTATTCTGTCTAGCAGAATATGGAGAAATCCCGTTTCCAACGAAGGCCTCTAGGAGGTCTGAATATCCACTTGCAGACTTTACAAACAGAGTGTTTCCTAACTGCTCTATGAACAGAAAGGTTAAACTCTGTGAGTTGAACGAACACATCACAACGCAGTTTGTGGGAATGATTCTGTCTAGTTTTGAAACGAAGATATTTCCTTTTCTGCCATTGACCTTAAAGCGCTTGAAATCTACACTTGCAAATTGCACAAATAGAGTGTTTCAAATCTGCTCTAAGGGAACGTTCAACTCCGTGAGTTGAATGCACACAACACAAGGAAGTTACTGGGAATTCTTCTGTCTAGCCTTACATGAAAAAAACCCGTTTCCAACGAAGGCCTCTAAGTGGTCAAATTATCCACGTGCAGACTTTACAAACAGAGTGTTTCCAAACTGCTGAATGAAAAGCAAAGTTAAACTCTGAGAGTTGAACGCACACATCGCAGAGCAGTTTCTGAGAATGATTCTGTCTAGTTTTTATACGAAGATACTTCCTTTTCTGCCTTTGGCCTCAAAGCGCTTGAAATCTCCATTTGCAAATTCCACAAAAAGAGTGTTTCAAATCTGCTCTGTGTAAATGAAAGTTCAACTCTGTGAGTTGAACACACACAACACAAGGAAGTTACTGGGAATTCTTCTGTCTAGCAGAATATGAAGAAATCCCGTTTCCAACGAAGGCCTCAAGGAGGTCTGAATATCCACTTGCAGACTTTACAAACAGAGTGTTTCCTAACTGCTCTATGAACAGAAAGGTTAAACTCTGTGAGTTGAACACACACATCACAAAGGAGTTTCTGAGAATCATTCTGTCTAGTTTCTATAGGAAGATATTTCCTATTCTACCATTGACGTCAAATCGGCTGAAATCTCCACTTGCAAATTCCACAAAAAGAGTGTTTCAAGTCTGCTCTGTGTAAAGGATCGTTCAACTCTGTGAGTTGAATACACACAACACAAGGAAGTTACTGAGAATTCTTCTGTCTAGCAGAATATGAAGAAATCCCGTTTCCAACGAAGGCCACAAGATGTCAGAATATCCACTTACAGAATTGACAAACAGACTGTTTCCTAACTGCTCTATGAAAAGAAAGGTTAAACTCTGTGAGTTGAACGAACACATCACAACGCAGTTTGTGGGAATGATTTCTGTCTAGTTTTGAAACGAAGATATTTCCTTTTCTGCCATTGAACTTAAAGCGCTTGAAATCTCCATTTGCCAATTGCACAAAAAGAGTGTTTCAAATCTGCTCTGTCTAAGGGAACGTTCAACTCTGTGAGTTGAATGTACACAACACAAGGAAGTTACTGGGAATTCTTCTGTCTAGCCTTACAGGAAAAAAACCCGTTTCCAACGAAGTCCTCTAAGTGGTCAAGTTATCCACGTGCAGACTTTACAAACAGAGTGTTTCCAAACTGCTGAATGAAAAGAAAAGTTAAACTCTGAGAGTTGAACGCACACATCGCAGAGCAGTTTCTGAGAATGATTTCTGTCTAGTTTTTATACGAAGATATTTCCTTTTCTGCCTTTGGCCTCAAAGAGTTTGAAATCTCCATTTGCAAATTCCACAAAAAGAGTGTTTCAAATCTACTCTGTGTAAATGAAAGTTCAACTCTGTGAGTTGAACACACACAACACATGGAAGTTACTTGGGAATTCTTCTGTCTAGCATAATATGAAGAAAACCCGTTTCCAACGAAGGCCTCAAAGAGGTCTGAATATCCACTTGCAGACTTAACAAACAGAGTGTTTCCTAACTGCTCTATGAAAAGAAAGGTTAAACTCTGTGAGTTGAACGCACACATCACAAAGGAGTTTCTGAGAATCATTCTGTCTAGTCTTTATACGAAGATATTTCCTTTTCTACCATTGACCTCAAAGCGGCTGAAATCTCCACTTGCAAATTCCACAAAAAGAGTGTTTAAAGTCTGCTCTCTATAAAGGATCGTTCAACTCTGTGAGTTGAATACACACAACACAAGGAAGTTACTGAGAATTCTTCTGTCTAGCAGAATATGAAGAAATCCCGTTTCCAACGAAGGCCACAAGATGTCAGAATATCCACTTACAGAATTGACAAACAGACTGTTTCCTAACTGCTCTATGAAAAGAAAGGTTAAACTCTGTGAGTTGAACGAACACATCACAACGCAGTTTGTGAGAATGATTCTGTCTAGTTTTGAAACTAAGATATTTCCTTTTCTGCCATTGACCTTAAAGCGCTTGAAATCTACACTTGCAAATTGCACAAATAGAGTGTTTCAAATCTGCTCTGTCTAAGGGAACGTTCAACTCTGTGAGTTGAATGCACACAACACAAGGAAGTTACTGGGAATTCTTCTGTCTAGCCTTACATGAAAAAAACCCGTTTCCAAAGAAGACCTCTAAGTGGTCAAAATGTCCACGTGCAGACTTTACAAACAGAGTGTTTCCAAACCGCTGAATGAAAAGAAAAGTTAAACTCTGAGAGTTGAACGCACACATCACGCAGCAGTTTCTGAGAATGATTCTGTCTAGTTTTTATACGAAGATATTTCGTTTTCTGCCTTTGGCCCCAAAGCGCTTGAAATATCCACTTGCAAATTCCACAAAAACAGTGTTTCAAATCTGCTCTCTCTAAATGAAAGTTCAACTCTGTCAGTTGAATACACACAACACAAGGAAGTTACTGAGAATTCTTCTGTCTAGCAGAATATGAAGAAATCCCGTTTCCAACGAAGGCCTCAAGGAGGTCTGAATATCCACTTGCAGACTTTACAAACAGAGTGTTTCCTAACTGCTCTATGAAAAGAAAGGTTAAACTCTGTGAGTTGGACGCACACATCACAAAGGAGTTTATGAGAATCATTCTGTCTAGTTTTTATAGGAAGATATTTCCTTTTCTACTTTGACTTCAAAGCGGCTGAAATCTCCACTTGCAAATTCCACAAAAAGAGTGTTACAAGTCTGCTCTGTGTAAAGGATAGTTCAACTCTGTGAGTTGAATACACACAACACAAGGAAGTTACTGAGAATTCTTCTGTCTAGCAGAATATGAAGAAATCCCGTTTCCAACCAAGGCCACAAGATGTCAGAATATCCACTTACAGAATTTACAAACAGACTGTTTCCTAACTGCTCTATGAAAAGAAAGGTTAAACTCTGTGAGTTGAACGAACACATCACAACGCAGTTTGTGGGAATGATTCTGTCTAGTTTTGAAACGAAGATATTTCCTTTTCTGCCGTTGACCTTAAAGCGCTTGAAATCTACACTTGCAAATTGGACAAATAGAGTGTTTCAAATCTGCTCTGTCTAAGGGAACGTTCAACTCTGTGAGTTGAATGCACACAACACAAGGAAGTTACTGGGAATTCTTCTGTCTAGCCTTACATGAAAAAAAGCCGTTTCCAACGAAGGCCTCTAAGTGATCAAATTATCCACGTGCAGACTTTACAAACAGAGTGTTTCCAAACTGCTGAATGAAAAGAAAAGTTAAACTCTGAGAGTTGAACGCACACATCGCAGAGCATTTTCTGAGAATGATTCTGTCTAGTTTTTATACCAAGATATTTCCTTTTCTGCCTTTGGCCCCAAAGCGCTTGAAATCTCCACTTGCAAATTCCACAAAAACAGTGTTTCAAATCTGCTCTCTCTAAATGAAAGTTCAACTCTGTCAGTTGAATACACACAACACAAGGAAGTTACTGAGAATTCTTCTGTCTAGCATAATATGAAGAAATCCCGTTTCCAACGAAGGCCTCAAAGAGGTCTGAATATCCACTTGCAGACTTTACAAACAGAGTGTTTCCTAACTGCTCTATGAAAAGAAAAGTTAAACTCTGTGAGTTGAACGCACACATCACAAAGGATTTTCTGATAATCATTCTGTCTAGTTTCTATAAGAAGATATTTCCTATTCTACCATTGACCTCAAAGCGGCTGAAATCTCCACTTGCAAATTCGACAAAAAGAGTGTTTCAAGCCTGCTCTCTGTAAAGGATCCTTCAACTCTGTGAGTTGAGTACACACAACACAAGGAAGTTACTGAGAATTCTTCTGTCTAGCAGAATAGGAAGAAATCCCGTTTCCAACGAAGGCCACAAGATGTCTGAATATCCACTTACAGACTTTACAAACAGAGTGTTTCCTAACTGCTCTATGAACAGAAATGTTAAACTCTGTAAGTTGAACGAACACATCACAACGCAGTTTGTGGGAATGATTCTGTCTAGTTTTGAAACGAAGATATTTCCTTTTCTCCCATTGACCTTAAAGCGCTTGAAATCTACACTTGCAAATTGCACAAATAGAGTGTTTCAAATCTGCTCTGTCTAAGGGAACGTTCAACTCTGTGAGTTGAATGCACACAACACAAGGAAGTTACTGGGAATTCTTCTGTTTAGCCTTATATGTAAAAAACCCGTTTCCAACGAAGGCCTCAAAGAGGTCTGAATATCCACTTGCAGACTTTACAAACAGAGTGTTTCCAAACTGCTGAATGAAAAGAAAAGTTAAACTCTGAGAGTTGAACGCACACATCGCAGAGCAGTTTCTGAGAATGATTCTGTCTAGTTTTTATACGAATACATTTCCTTTTCTGCCTTTGGCCTCAAAGCGCTTGAAATCTCTACTTGCAAATTCCACAAAAAGAGTGTTTCAAATCTGCTCTGTGTAAATGAAAGTTCAACTCTGTGAGTTGAACACACACAACACAAGGAAGTTACTGGGAATTCTTCTGTCTAGCAGAATATGAAGAAATCCCGTTTCCAACGAATGGCCTCAAGGAGGTCTGAATATCCACTTGCAGACTTTACAAACAGAGTGTTTCCTAACTGCTCTATGAAAAGAAAAGTTAAACTCTGTGAGTTGAACGCACACATCACAAAGGAGTTTATGAGAATCATTCTGTCTAGTTTTTATACGAAGATATTTCCTTTTCTACCATTGACCTCAAAGCGGCTGAAATCTCCACTTGCAAATTCCACAAAAAGAGTGTCTCAAGTCTGCTCTGTGTAAAGGATCGTTCAACTCTGTGAGTTGAATGCACACAACACAAGGAAAGTTACTGAGAATTCTTCTGTCTAGAAGAATATGAAGAAATCCCGTTTCCAAAGAAAGCCTCAAAGATGTCTGAATATCCACTTGCAGACTTTACAAACAGAGTGTTTCCTAACTGCTCTATGAAAAGAAAGGTTAAACTCTGTGAGTTGAACGAACACATCACAACGCAGTTTGTGACAATGATTCTGTCTAGTTTTGAAACCAAGATATTTCCTTTTCTGCCGTTGACCTTAAAGAGCTTGAAAACTACACTTGCAAATTGCACAAATAGAGTGTTTCAAATCTGCTCTGTCTAAGGGAACGTTCATCTCTGTGAGTTGAATGCACACAACACAAGGAAGTTACTGGGAATTCTTCTGTCTAGCCTTACATGAAAAAAACCCGTTTCCAACGAAGGCCTCTAAGTGGTCAAAATATCCACGTGCAGACTTTACAAACAGAGTGTTTCCAAACCGCTGAATGAAAAGAAAAGTTAAACTCTGAGAGTTGAACGCACACATCACACAGCAGTTTCTGAGAATGATTCTGTCTAGTTTTTATACGAAGATATTTCCTTTTCTGCCTTTGGCCCCAAAGCGCTTGAAATCTCCACTTGCAAATTCCACAAAAAGAGTGTTTCAAGTCTGCTCTGTGTAAAGGATCGTTCAACTCTGTGAGTTGAATACACACAACACAAGGAAGTTACTGAGAATTCTTCTGTCTAGCAGAATATGAAGAAATCCCGCTTCCAACGAAAGCCTCAAAGAAGTCTGAATATCCACTTGCAGACATTACAAACAGAGTGTTTCCCAACTGCTCTATGAAAAGAAAGGTTGAACTCTGTGAGTTGAACGCACACATCACAAAGGAGTTTCTGAGAATCATTCTGTCTAGTCTTTATACGAAGATATTTACTTTTCTACCATTGACCTCAAAGCGGCTGAAACCTCCACTTGCAAATTCCACAAAAAGAGTGTTTCAAGTCTGCTCTGTGTAAAGGATCATTCAACTCTGTGAGTTGAATAAACACAACAGAAGGAAGTTACTGAGAATTCTTCTGTCTAGCAGAATATGAAGAAATCCCGTTTCCAACGAAGGCCACAAGATGTCAGAATATCCACTTACAGAATTTACAAACAGACTGTTTCCTAACTGCTCTATGAAAAGAAAGGTTAAACTCTGTGAGTTGAACGAACACCTCACAACGCAGTTTGTGGGAATGATTCTGTCTAGTTTTGAAACGAAGATATTTCCTTTTCTGCCATTGAACTTAAAGCGCTTGAAATCTCCACTTGCCAATTGCACAAAAAGAGTGTTTCAAATCTGCTCTGTCTAAGGGAACGTTCAACTCTGTGAGTTGAATGTACACAACACAAGGAAGTTACTGGGAATTCTTCTGTCTAGCCTTACATGAAAAAATCCCGTTTCGAACGAAGGCCTCTAAGTGGTCAAAATATCCACGTGCAGACTTTACAAACAGAGTGTTTCCAAACCGCTGAATGAAAAGAAAAGTTAAACTCTGAGAGTTGAACGCACACATCACGCAGCAGTTTCTGAGAATGATTCTGTCTAGTTTTTATACGAAGATATTTCCTTTTCTGTCTTTGGCCTCAAAGCGCTTGAAATCTCCTCTTGCAAATTCCACAAAAAGAGTGTTTCAAATCTGCTCTGTGTAAATGAAAGTTCAACTCTGTGAGTTGAACACACACAACACAAGGAAGTTACTGGGAATTCTTCTGTCTAGCAGAACATGAAGAAATCCCGTTTCCAACGAAGGCCTCAAAGATGTCTGAATATCCACTTGCAGACTTTACAAACAGAGTGTTTCCTAACTGCTCTATGAAAAGAAACGTTAAACTCTGTGAGTTGAACGCACACATCACAAAGGAGTTTCTGAGAATCATTCTGTCTAGTCTTTATACGAAGATATTTACTTTTCTACCATTGACCTCAAAGCGGCTGAAATCTCCACTTGCAAATTCAATAAAAAGAGTGTTTCAAGTCTGCTCTGTGTAAAGGATCATTCAACTCTGTGAGTTGAATAAACACAACACAAGGAAGTTACTGAGAATTCTTCTGTCTAGCAGAATATGAAGAAATCCCGTTTCCAACGAAGGCCTCAAGGAGGTCTGAATATCCACTTGCAGACTTTACAAACAGAGTGTTTCCTAACTGCTCTATGAAAAGAAAGGTTAAACTCTGTGAGTTGAACGCACACATCACAAAGGAGTTTCTGAGAAACGTTCTGTCTAGTTTTGAAACGAAGATATTTCCTTTTCTGCCATTGACCTTAAAGCGCTTGAAATCTACACTTGCAAATTGCACAAATAGAGTGTTTCAAATCTGCTCTGTCTAAGGGAACGTTCAACTCTGTGAGTTTAATGCACCCAACACAAGGGAAGTTACTGGGAATTCTTCTGCCTAGCCTTACGTGCAAAAAACCCGTTTCCAACGAAGGCCTCTAAGTGGTCAAATTATCCACGTGCAGACATTACAAACAGAGTGTTTCCAAACCGCTGAATGAAAAGAAAAGTTAAACTCTGAGAGTTGAACGCACACATCACGCAGCAGTTTCTGAGAAGGATTCTGTCTAGTTTTGAAACGAAGATATTTCCTTTTCTGCATTTGGCCTCAAAGCGCTTGAAATCTCCACTTGCAAATTCCACAAAAAGAGTGTTTCAAATCTGCTCTGGGTAAATGAAAGTTCAACTCTGTGAGTTGAACACACACAACACAAGGAAGTTACTGGGAATTCTTCTGTATAGCAGAATATGAAGAAATCCCGTTTCCAACGAAAGCCTCTAGGATGTCTGAATATCCACTTGCAGACTTTACAAACAGAGTGTTTCCTAACTGCTCTATGAAAAGAAAGGTTAAACTCTGTGAGTTGAACGCACACATCACAAAGGAGTTTCTGAGAATCATTCTGTCTAGTTTTTCTACGAAGATATTTCCTTTTCTACTATTGACCTCATAGCGGCTGAAATCTCCACTTGCAAATTCCACAAAAAGAGTGTTTCAAGTCTGCTCTGTGTAAAGGATCGTTCAACTCTGTGAGTTGAATACACACAACACAAGGAAGTTATTGAGAATTCTTCTGTCTAGCAGAATATGAAGAAATCCCGTTTCCAACGAAGGCCTCAAAGAGGTCTGAATATCCACCTGCAGACTTTACAAACAGAGTGTTTCCTAACTGCTCTATGAAAAGAAAAGTTAAACTCTATGAGTTGAACGCACACATCTCAAAGGAGTTTCTGAGAATCATTCTGTCTAGTTTTTATACGAAGATATTTCCTTTTCTACCATTGACCTCAAAGCGGCTGAAATCACCACTTGCCAATTGCACAAAAAGAGTGTTTCAAATCTGCTCTGTCTAAGGGAACGTTCAACTCTGTGAGTTGAATGTACACAACACAAGGAAGTTCCTGGGAATTCTTCTGTCTAGCGTTACATGAAAAAAACCCGTTTCCAACGAAGGCCTCTAAGTGGTCAAAATATCCACGTGCAGACTTTACAAACAGAGTGTTTCCAAACCGCTGAATGAAAAGAAAAGTTAAACTCTGAGAGTTGAACGCACACATCACGCAGCAGTTTCTGATAATGATTCTGTCTAGTTTTGAAACGAAGATATTTCCTTTTCTGCCTTTGGCCTCAAAGCGCTTGAAATCTCCACTTGCAAATTCCACAAAAAGAGAGTTTCAAATCTGCTCTGTGTAAATGAAAGTTCAACTCTGTGAGTTGAACACACACAACACAAGGAAGTTACTGGGAATTCTTCTGTCTAGCATAATATGAAGAAATCCCATTTCCAACGAAGGCCTCAAAGAGGTCTGAATATCCACTTGCAGACTTTACAAACAGAGTGTTTCCTAACTGCTCTATGAAAAAAAAGGTTAAACTCTGTGAGTTGAACGCACACATCACAAAGGACTTTCTCAGAATCATTCTGTCTAGTTTCTATAAGAAGATATTTCCTATTCTACCATTGACCTCAAAGCGGCTGAAATCTCCACTTGCAAATTCGACAAAAACAGTGTTTCAAGCCTGCTCTCTGTAAAGGATCCTTCAACTCTGTGAGTTGAATACACACAACACAAGGAAGTTACTGAGAATTATTCTGTCTAGCAGAATATGAAGAAATCCCGTTTCCAACTAAGGCCACAAGATGTCAGAATATCCACTTACAGAAATGACAAACAGACTGTTTCCTAACTGCTCTATGAAAAGAAAGGTTAAACCCTGTGAGTTGAACGAACACATCACAACGCAGTTTGTGGGAATGATTCTGTCTAGTTTTGAAACGAAGATATTTCCTTTTCTGCCATTGACCTTAAAGCGCTTGAAATCTACACTTGCAAATTGCAGAAATAGAGTGTTTCAAATCTGCTCTGTCTAAGGGAACGTTCAATTCTGTGAGTTGAATGCACACAACACATGGAAGTTACTGGGAATTCTTCTGTCTAGCCTTACATGAAAAAAACCCGTTTCCAAAGAAGGCCTCTAAGTGGTCAAAATATCCACGTGCAGACTTTACAAACAGAATGTTTCCAAACCGCTGAATGAAAAGAAAAGTTAAACTCTGAGAGTTGAACGCACACATCACGCAGCAGTTTCTGAGAATGATTCTGTCTAGTTTTGAAACGAAGATATTTCCTTTTCTGCCTTTGGCCTCAAAGCGCTTGAAATCTCCACTTGCAAATTCCACAAAAAGAGTGTTTCAAATCTGCTCTGGGTAAATGAAAGTTTAACTCTGTGAGTTGAACACACACAACACAAGGAAGTTACTGGGAATTCTTCTGTCTAGCATAATATGAAGAAATCCCGTTTCCAACGAATGCCTCAAGGAGGTCTGAATATCCACCTGCAGACTTTACAAACAGAGTGTTTCCTAACTGCTCTATGAAAAGAAAGGTTAAACTGTGTGAGTTGAACGCACACATCACAAAGGAGTTTCTGAGAATCATTCTGTCTAGTTTTTATACGAAGATATTTCCTTTTCTACCATTGACCTCAACGCGGCTGAAATCTCCACTTGCAAATTCCACAAAAAGAGCGTTTCAAGTCTGCTCTGTGTAAAGTATCGTTCAACTGTGTGAGTTGAATACACACAACACAAGGAAGATTCTGAGAATTCTTCTGTCTAGCAGAATATGAAGAAATCCCGTTTCCAACGAAGGGCACAAGATGTCAGAATATCCACTTACAAAATTTACAAACAGACTGTTTCCTAACTGCTCTATGAAAAGAAAGGTTAAACTCTGTGAGTTGAACGAACACATCACAACGCAGTTTGTGGGAATGATTCTGTCTAGTTTTTATACGAAGATATTTCCTTTTCTACCATTGACCTCAAAGCGGCTGAAATCACCACTTGCCAATTGCACAAAAAGAGTGTTTCAAATCTGCTCTGTCTAAGGGAACGTTGAACTCTGTGAGTTGAATGTACACAACACAAGGAAGTTACTGGGAATTCTTCTGTCTAGCCTTACAGGAAAAAAACCCGTTTCCAACGAAGGCCTCTAAGTGGTCAAAATATCCACGTGCAGACTTTACAAACAGAGTGTTTCCAAACTGCTGAATGAAAAGAAAAGTTAAACTCTGAGAGTTGAAAGCACACATCGCAGAGCAGTTTCTGAGAATGATTCTGTCTAGTTTTGAAACGAAGATATTTCCTTTTCTACCATTGACCTCAACGCGGCTGAAATCTCCATTTGCAAATTCCACAAAAAGAGTGTTTCAAATCTGCTCTGTGTAAAGGAAAGTTCAACTCTGTGAGTTGAACACACACAACACAAGGAAGTTACTGGGAGTTCTTCTGTCTAGCCTTATATGAAAAAAACCCGTTTCCAACGAAGGCCTCAAAGACGTCTGAATATCCACTTGCAGACTTTACAAACAGAGTGTTTCCTAACTGCTCTATGAAAAGAAAGGTTAAACTCTGTGAGTTGAACGCACACATCACAAAGGAGTTTCTGAGAATCATTCTGTCTAGTTTTTATAGGAAGATATTTCCTTTTCTACCTTTGACTTCAAAGCGGCTGAAATCTCCACTTGCAAATTACACAAAAAGAGTGTTACAAGTCTGCTCTGTGTAAAGGATCGTTCAACTCTGTGAGTTGAATACACACAACACAAGGAAGTTACTGAGAATTCTTCTGTCTAGGAGAATATGAAGAAATCCCATTTCCAATGAAGGCCACAAAATGTCAGAATATCCACTTACAGACTTTACAAACAGAGTGTTTCCTAACTGCTCTATGAACAGAAAGGTTAAACTCTGTGAGTTGAACGAACACATCACAGCGCAGTTTGTGGGAATGATTCTGTCTAGTTTTGAAACGAAGATATTTCCTTTTCTGCCATTGACCTTAAAGCGCTTGAAATCTACACTTGCAAATTGCACGAATAGAGTGTTTCAAATCTGCTCTGTCTAAGGAACGTTCAACTCTGTGAGTTGAATGCACACAACACAAGGAAGTTACTGGGAATTCTTCTGTCTAGCCTTACAGGAAAAAAACCCGTTTCCAAAGACGGCCTCTAAGTGTTCAAAATATCCACGTGCAGACTTCACAAACAGAGTGCTTCCAAACTGCTGAATGAAAAGAAAAGTTAAACTCTGAGAGTTGAACACACACATCGCAGAGCAGTTTCTGAGAATGATTCTGTCTAGTTTTTATACGAAGATATTTCCTTTTCTAACATTGACCTCAAAGCGGCTGAAATCTCCACTTGCAAATACCACAAAAAGAGTGTTTCAAGTCTGCTCTGTGTAAAGCATCGTTCAACTCTGTGAGTTGAATACACACAACACAAGGAAGTTACTGAGAATTCTTCTGTCTAGCTGAATATGAAGAAATCCCGCTTCCAAGGAAGGCCTCAAAGAAGTCTGAATATCCACTTGCAGACTTTACAAACAGAGTGTTTCCCAACTGCTCTATGAAAAGAAAGGTTGAACTCTGTGAGTTGAACGCACACATCACAAAGGAGTTTCTGAGAATCATTCTGTCTAGTTTTTATACGAAGATATTTCCTTTTCTACCATTGACCTCAAAGCGGCTGAAATCTCCACTTGCAAATTCCACAAAAAGAGTGTTTCATGTCTGCTCTGTGTAAAGGATCGTTCAACTCTGTGAGTTGAATACACACAACACAAGGAAGTTACTGAGAATTCTTCTGTCTAGCAGAATATGAAGAAATCCCGTTTCCAACGAAGGCCACAAGATATCAGAATATCCACTTACAGACTTTACAAAGAAAGTGTTTCCTAACTGCTCTATGAACAGAAAGGTTAAACTCTGTGAGTTGAACGAACACATCACAACGCAGTTTGTGGGAATGATTCTGTCTAGTTTTGAAACGACGATATTTCCTTTTCTGCCATTGACCTTAAAGCGCTTGAAATCTACACTTGCAAATTGCACAAATAGAGTGTTTCAAATCTGGTCTGTCTAAGGGAACGTTCAACTCTGTGAGTTGAATGCACACAACACAAGGAAGTTACTGGGAATTCTTCTGTCTAGCCTTACATGAAAAAAACCCGTTTCCAACGAAGGCCTCTAAATGGTCAAAATTTCCACGTGCAGACTTTAGAAACAGAGTGTTTCCAAACCGCTGAATGAAAAGAAAAGTTAAACTCTGAGAGTTGAACGCACACATTACGCAGCAGTTTCTGAGAATGATTCTGTCTAGTTTTTATACGAAGATATTTCCTTTTCTACCTTTGGCCACAAAGCGCTTGAAATCTCCACTTGCAAATTCCACAAAAACAGTGTTTCAAATCTGCTCTCTCTAAATGAAAGTTCAACTCTGTCAGTTGAATACACACAACACAAGGAAGTTACTGAGAATTCTTCTGTCTAGCCTTATATGAAAAAAACCCGTTTCCAACGAAGGCCTCAAAGAGGTCTGAATATCCACTTGCAGACTTTACAAACAGAGTGTTTCCTAACTGCTCTATGAAAAGAAAGGTTAAACTCTGTGAGTTGAACGTACACATCACAAAGGAGTTTCTGAGAATCATTCTGTCTAGTTTCTATAGGAAGATATTTCCTATTCTACCATTGACCTCAAAGCGGCTGAAATCTCCACTTGCAAATTCCACAAAAAGAGTGTTTCAAGTCTGCTCTGTGTAAAGGATCGTTCAACTCTGTGAGTTGAAATCACACAACACAAGGAAGTTTCTGAGAATTCTTCTGTCTAGCAGAATATGAAGAAATCCCTTTTCAAACGAAGGCCACAAGGATGTCAGAATATCCACTTACAGACTTTACAAACAGAGTGTTTCCTAACTGCTCTATGAACAGAAAGGTTAAACTCTGTGAGTTGAACGAACACATCACAACGCAGTTTGTGGGAATGATTCTGTCTAGTTTTGAAACGAAGATATTTCCTTTTCTGCCATTGACCTTAAAGCGCTTGAAATCTACACTTGCAAATTGCACAAATAGAGTGTTTCAAATCTGCTCTGTCTAAGGGAACGTTCAACTCTGTGAGTGGAATGCACACAACACAAGGAAGTTACTGGGAATTCTTCTGTCTAGCCTTACATGAAAAAAACCCGTTTCCAACGAAGGCCTCTAAGTGGTCAAAATATCCACGTGCAGACTTTACAAACAGAGTATTTCCAAAATGCTGAATGAAAAGAAAAGTGAAACTCTGAGAGTTGAACGCACACATCACAGAGCAGTTTCTGAGAATGATTCTGTCTAGTTTTTATACGAATATATTTCCTTTTCTGCCTTTGGCCCCATAGCGCTTGAAATCTCCACTTGCAAATTCCACAAAAACTGTGTTTCAAATCTGCTCTCTCTAAATGAAAGTTCAACTCTGTCAGTTGAATACACACAACACAAGGAAGTTACTGAGAATTCTTCTGTCTAGAATAATATGAAGAAATCCCGTTTCCAACGAAGGCCTCAAAGGGGTCTGAATATCCACTTGCAGACTTTATAAACAGAGTGTTTACTAACTGCTCTATGAAAAGAAAGGTTAAACTCTGTGAGTTGAACACACACATCACAAAGGAGTTTCTGAGAATGATTCTGTCTAGTTTCTATAGGAAGATATTTCCTATTCTACCATTGACCTCAAAGCGGCTGAAATCTCCACTTGCAAATTCCACAAAAGGAGTGTTTCAAGTCTGCTCTGTGTAAAGGATCGTTCAACTCTTGTGAGTTGAAAACACACAACACAAGGAAGTTACTGAGAATTCTTCTGTCTAGCAGAATATGAAGAAATCCCGTTTCCAACGAAGGCCACAAGATGTCAGAATATCCACTTACAGAATTTACAAACAGACTGTTTCCTAACTGCTCTATGAAAAGAAAGGTTAAACTCTGTGAGTTGAACGAACACCTCACAACGCAGTTTGTGGGAATGATTCTGTCTAGTTTTGAAACGAAGATGTTTCCTTTTCTGCCATTGACCTTAAAGCGCTTGAAATCTACACTTGTAAATTACACAAATAGAGTGATTCAAATCTGCTCTGTCTAAGGGAATGTTCATCTCTGTGAGTTGAATGCACACAACTCAAGGAAGTTACTGGGAATTCTTCTGTCTAGCCTTACATGAAAAAAACCCGTTTCCAACGAAGGCCTCTAAGTGGTCAAAATATCCACGTGCAGACTTTAGAAACAGAGTGTTTCCAAACCGCTGAATGAAAAGAAAAGTTAAACTCTGAGAGTTGAACGCACACATCACGCAGCAGTTTCTGAGAATGATTCTGTCTAGTTTTTATACGAAGATATTTCCTTTTCTGCCTTTGGCCCCCAAGCGCTTGAAATCTCCACTTGCAAATTCCACAAAAACAGTGTTTCAAATCTGCTCTCTCTAAATGAAAGTTCAACTCTGTCAGTTGAATACACACAACACAAGGAAGTTGCTGAGAATTCTTCTGTCTAGCCTTATATGAAAAAAACCCGTTTCCAACGAAGGCCTCAAAGAGGTCTGAATATCCACTTGCAGACTTTACAAACAGAGTGTTTCCTAACTGCTCTAAGAAAAGAAAGGTTAAACTCTGTGAGTTGAACGTACACATCACAAAGGAGTTTCTGAGAATCATTCTGTCTAGTTTTTATACGAAGATATTTCCTTTTCTACCATGGACCTCAAAGCGGCTGAAATCTCCACATGCAAATTCCACAAAAAGAGTGTTTCAAGTCTGCTCTGTGTAAAGGATCGTTCAACTCTGTGAGTTGAATACACACAACACAAGGGAAGATTCTGAGAATTCTTCTGTCTAGCAGAATATGAAAAAATCCCGTTTCCAACGAAGGCCACAAGATGTCAGAATATCCACTTACAGACTTTACAAACAGAGTGTTTCCTAAGTGCTCTATGAACAGAAAGGTTAAACTCTGTGAGTTGAACGAACACATCACAACGCAGTTTCTGGGAATGATTCTGTCTAGTTTTGAAACGAAGATATTTCCTTTTCTGCCATTGACCTTAAAGCGCTTGAAATCTCCATTTGCCAATTGCACAAAAAGAGTGTTTCAAATCTGCTCTGTCTAACGGAACGTTCAACTCTGTGAGTTGAATGTACACAACACAAGGAAGTTACTGGGAATTCTTCTGTCTAGCCTTACATGAAAAAAACCCGTTTCCAACGAAGGCCTCTAAGTAGTCAATTTATCCACGTGCAGACTTTACAAACAGAGTGTTTCCAAACTGCTGAATGAAAAGAAAAGTTAAACTCTGAGAGTTGAGCGCACACATCGCAGAGCAGTTTCTGAGAATGATTCTGTCTAGTTTTTATACGAAGATATTTCCTTTTCTGCCTTTGGCCTCAAAGCGCTTGAAATCTCCACTGGCAAATTCCACAAAAAGAGTGTTTCCAATCTGCTCTGTGTAAATGAAAGTTCAACTCTGTGAGTTGAACACACACAACAAAAGGAAGTTACTGGGAATTCTTCTGTCTAGCAGAATATGAAGAAATCCCGCTTCCAACGAAGGCCTCAAAGAAGTCTGAATATCCACTTGCAGACTTTACAAACAGAGTGTTTCCCAACTGCTCTATGAAAAGAATGGTTGAACTCTGTGAGTTGAACGCACACATCACAAAGGAGTTTCTCAGAATCATTCTGTCTAGTTTCTATAGGAAGATATTTCCTATTCTACCATTGACCTCAAAGCGGCTGAAATCTCCACTTGCAAATTCCACAAAAAGAGGGTTTCAAGACTGTTCTGTGTAAAGGATCATTCAACTCTGTGAGTTGAATACACACAACACAAGGAAGTTACTGAGAATTCTTCTGTCTAGCCTTATATGAAAAAACCCGTTTCCAACGAACGCTTCAAAGAGGTCTGAATATCCACTTGCAGACTTTACAAACAGAGTGTTTCCTAACTGCTCTATGAAAAGAAGGGTTAAACTCTGTGAGTTGAACGCACACATCACAAAGGAGTTTCTGAGAATCATTCTGTCTAGTCTGTATAAGAAGATATTTCCTTTTCTACCATTGACCTCAAAGCGGCTGAAATCTCCACTTGCACATTCCACAAAAAGAGTGTTTCAAGTCCGCTCTGTGTAAAGGATCGTTCAACTCTGTGAGTTGAATACACACAACACAAGGAAGTTACTGAGAATTCTTCTGTCTAGCAGAATATGAAGAAATCCCGTATCCAACGAAGGCCACAAGGATGTCAGAATATCCACTTACAGACTTTACAAACAGAGTGTTTCCTAACTGCTCTATGAACAGAAAGGTTAAACTCTGTGAGTTGAACGAACACATCACAACGCAGTTTGTGGGAATGATTCTGTCTAGTTTTGAAACGAAGATATTTCCTTTTCTGCCATTGACCTTAAAGCGCTTGAAATCTCCATTTGCCAATTGCACAAAAAGAGTGTTTCAAATCTGCTCTGTCTAAGGGAACGTTCAACTGTGTGAGTTGAATGTACACAACACAAGGAAGTTACTGGGAATTCTTCTGTCTACCCTTACATGAAAAAAACCCGTTTCCAACGAAGGCCTCTAAGTGGTCAAAATATCCACGTGCAGACTTTACAAACAGAGTGTTTCCAAACTGCTGAATGAAAAGAAAAGTTAAACTCTGAGAGTTGAACGCACACATCACAGAGCACTTTCTGAGAATGATTCTGTCTAGTTTTTATACGAAGATATTTCCTTTTCTGCCTTTGGCCCAAAAGCGCTTGAAATCTCCACTTGCAAATTCCACAAAAACAGTGTTACAAATCTGCTCTCTCTAAATGAAATTTCAACTCTGTCAGTTGAATACACACAAAACAAGGAAGTTACTGAGAATTCTTCTGTCTAGCACAGTATGAAGAAATCCCGTTTCCAACGAAGGCCTCAAAGAGGTGAGAATATCGACTTGCAGAGTTTACAAACAGAGTGTTTCCTAACTGCTGTATGAAAAGAAAGGTTAAACTCTGTGAGTTGAACGCACACATCACAATGAAGTTTCTGAGAATCATTCTGTCTAGTTTCTATAGGAAGATATTTCCTATTCTACCATTGACCCCTTAGCGGCTGAAATCTCCACTTGCAGATTCCTCAAAAAGAGTGTTTCAAGTATGCTCTGTGTAAAGGATCGTTCAACTCTGTGAGTTGAATACAGACAACACAAGGAAGTTACTGAGAATTTTTCTGTGTAGCATAATATGAAGAAATCCCGTTTCCAACGAAGGCCTCAAAGAGGTCTGAATATCCACTTGCAGACTTTACAAACAGAGTGTTTCCTAACTGCTCTATGAACAGAAAGGTTAAACTCTGTGAGTTGAACGAACACATCACAACGCAGTTTGTGGGAATGATTCTCTCTAGTTTTGAAACGAAGATATTTCCTTTTCTGCCATTGACCTTAAAGCGCTTGAAATCTACACTTGCAAATTGCACCAATAGACTGTTTCAAATCTGCTCTGTCTAAGGGAACGTTCAACTCTGTGAGTTGAATGCACACAACACAAGGAAGTTACTGGGAATTCTTCTGTCTAGCCTTACATGAATAAATCCCGTTTCCAACGAAGGCCTCTAAGTGGTCAAAATATCCACGTGCAGACTTTACAAACAGAGTGTTTCCAAACCGCTGAATGAAAAGAAAAGTTAAACTCTGAGAGTTGAACGCACACATCACGCAGCAGTTTCTGACAATGTTTCTGTCTAGTTTTTATACGAAGATATTTCCTTTTCTGCCTTTGGCCCCAAAGCGCTTGAAATCTCCACTTGCAAATTCCACAAAAACAGTGTTTCAAATCTGCTCTCTCTAAATGAAAGTTCAACTCTGTGAGTTGTATACACACAACACAAGGAAGTTACTGAGAATTCTTCTGTCTAGCAGAATATGAAGAAATCCCGTTTCCAACGAAGGCCTCAAGGAGGTCTGAATATCTGCTTGCAGACTTTACAAACAGTGTGTTTCCTAACAGCTCTATGAAAAGAAAGGTTAAACTCTGTGAGTTGAACGCACACATCACAAAGGAGTTTATGAGAATCATTCTGTCTAGTTTCTATACGAAGATATTTCATTTTCTACCATTAACCTCAAAGAGGCAGAAATCTCCACTTGCAAATTCCACAAAAAGAGTGTTTCAAGTCTAATCTGTGTAAAGGATCATTCAACTCTGTGAGTTGAATAAACACAACACAAGGAAGTTACTGAGAATTCTTCTGTCTAGCAGAATATGAAGAAATCCTGTTTCCAACGAAGGCCACAAGATGTCAGAATATCCACTTACAGAATTGACAAACAGACTGTTTCCTAACTGCTCTATGAAAAGAAAGGTTAAACTCTGTGAGTTGAACGAACACATCACAACGCAGTTTGTGGGAATGATTCTGTCTAGTTTTGAAACGAAGATATTTCCTTTTCTCCCATTGACCTTAAAGCGCTTGAGATCTACACTTGCAAATTGCACAAATAGAGTGTTTCAAATCTGCTCTGTCTAAGGGAACGTTCAACTCTGTGATTTGAATGCACACAACACAAGGAAGTTACTGGGAATTCTTCTGTCTAGCCTTACATGAAAAAAACCCGTTTCCAACGAAGGCCTCTAAGTGGTCAAAATATCCACGTGCAGACTTTACAAACAGAGTGTTTCCAAACCGCTGAATGAAAAGAAAAGTTAAACTCTGAGAGTTGAACGCACACATCACGCAGCAGTTTACTGAGAATGATTCTCTGTCTAGTTTTCATACGAAGATATTTCCTTTTCTGCCTTTGGCCTGAAAGGGCTTGAAATCTCCATTTGCAAATTCCACAAAAAGAGTGTTTCAAATCTGCTCTGTGTAAATGAAAGTTCAACTCTGTGAGTTGAATACACACAACTCAAGGAAGTTACTGGGAATTCTTCTGTCTAGCATAATATGAAGAAATCCCGTTTCCAACGAAGGCCTCAAGGAGGTCTGAATATCCACTTGCAGACTTTACAAACACAGTGTTTCCTAACTTCTCTATGAAAAGAAAGGTTAAACTCTGTGAGTTGAACGCACACATCACAAAGGAGTTTCTGAGAATCATTCTGACTAGTTTTTCTACGAAGATATTTCCTTTTCTACTATTGACCTCAAAGCCGCTGAAATCTCCACTTGCAAATTCCACAAAAAGAGTGTTTCAAGTCTGCTCTGTGTAAAGGATCGTTCAACTCTGTGAGTTGAATACACACAACACAAGGAAGTTACTGAGAATTCTTCTGTCTAGCAGAATATAAAGAAATCCCGTTTCCAACGAAAGCCTCAAAGAGGTCTGAATATCCACTTGCAGACTTTACAAACAGAGTGTTTCCTAACTGCTCTATGAAAAGAAAGGTTAAACTCTGTGAGTTGAACGCACACATCACAAAGGAGTTTCTGAGAATCATTCTGTCTAGTTTTGAAACGAAGATATTTCCTTTTCTGCCGTTGACCTTAAAGCGCTTGAAATCTATACTTGCAAATTGCACAAATAGAGTGTTTCAAATCTGCTCTGTCTAAGGGAACGTTCAACTCTGTGAGTTGAATGCACACAACACAAGGAAAGTTACTGGGAATTCTTCTGTCTAGCCTTACATGAAAAAAACCCGTTTCCAACGAAGGCCTCTAAGTGGTCAAAATATCCACGTGCAGACATTACAAACAGAGTGTTTCCAAACCGCTGAATGAAAAGAAAAGTTAAACTCTGAGAGTTGAACGCACACATCACGCAGCAGTTTCTGAGAATGATTCTGTATAGTTTCTATAGGAAGATATTTCCTATTCTACCATTGACCTCAAAGCGGCTGAAATCTCCACATGCAAATTCCACAAAAAGAGTGTTTCAAGTCTGCTCTGTGTAAAGGATCGTTCAACTCTGTGAGTTGAATACACACAACACAAGGAAGTTACTGACAATTCTTCTGTCTAGCATAATATGACGAAATCCCGTTTCCAACGAAGGCCTCAAAGAGGTCTGAATATCCACTTGCAGACTTTACAAACAGAGTGTTTCCTAACTGCTCTATGAGAAGAAAAGTTAAACTCTGTGAGTTGAACGCACACATCACAAAAGATTTTCTGAGAATCATTCTGTCTAGTTTTTATACGAAGATATTTCCTTTTCTACCATTGACCTCAAAGCGGCTGAAATCTCCACTTGCAAATTCCACAAAAAGAGTGTTTCAAGTCTGCTCTGTTTAAAGGATCGTTCAACTCTGTGAGTTGAATACACAAAACACAAGGAAGTTTCTGAGAATTCTTCTGTATAGCAGAATATGAAGAAATCCCGTTTCCAACGAAGGCCTAAAGGAGGTCTGAATATGCACTTGCAGACTTTACAAACAGAGTGTTTCCTAACTGCTCTATGAAAAGAAAGGTTAAACTCTGTGAGTTGAACGCAGACATCACAAAGGAGTTTCTGAGAATCACTCTGTCTAGTTTTGAAACGAAGATATTTCCTTTTCTGCCATTGACCTTAAAGCGCTTGTAATCTCCACTTGCCAATTGCACAAAAAGAGTGTTTCAAATCTGCTCTGTCTAAGGGAACGTTCAACTCTGTGAGTTGAATGTACACAACACAAGGAAGTTACTGGGAATTCTTCTGTTTAGCCTTACAGGAAAAAAACCCGTTTCCAACGAAGGCCTCTAAGTGGTCAAAATATCCACGTGCAGACTTTACAAACAGAGTGTTTCCAAACTGCTGAATGAAAAGAAAAGTTAAACTCTGAGAGTTGAAGGCACACATCGCAGAGCAGTTTCTGAGAATGATTCTGTCTAGTTTTTATACGAAGATATTTCCTTTTCTACCGTTGACCTCAAAGCGGCAGAAATCTCCACTTGCAAATTCCACAAAAAGAGTGTTTCAAGTCTGCTCTGTGTAAAGGATCGTTCAACTCTGTGAGTTGAATACACACAACACAAGGAAGTTACTGAGAATTCTTCTGTCTAGCATAATATGAAGAAATCCCGTTTCCAACGAAGGCCACAAAGAGGTCTGAATATCCACTTGCAGACTTTACAAACAGAGTGTTTCCTAACTGCTCTATGAAAAGAAAGGTTAAACTCTGTGAGTTGAACGCACACATCACAAAGGAGTTTCTGAGAATCATTCTGTCTAGTTTCTATAGGAAGATATTTCCTATTCTACCATTGAACTCAAAGCGGCTGAAATCTCCACTTGCAAAATCCACAAAAAGAGTGTTTCAAGTCTGCTCTGTGTAAAGGATCGTTCAACTCTGTGAGTTGAATACACACAACACAAGGAAGTTACTGAGAATTCTTCTGTCTAGCAGAATATGAAGAAACCCCGTTTCCAACGAAGGCCACAAGATGTCAGAATATCCACTTACAGAATTTACAAACAGACTGTTTCCTAACTGCTCTATGAAAAGAAAGGTTAAACTCTGTGAGTTTACCGAACACCTCACAACGCAGTTTGTGGGAATGATTCTGTCTAGTTTTGAAACGAAGATATTTCCTTTTCTGCCGTTGACCTTAAAGCGCTTGAAATCTACACTTGCAAATTGCACAAATAGAGTGTTTCAAATCTGCTCTGTCTAAGGGAACGTTCAACTCTGTGAGTTGAATGCACACAACACAAGGGAAGTTACTGGGAATTCTTCTGTCTAGCCTTACATGAAAAAAACCCGTTTCCAACGAAGGCCTCTAAGTGGTCAAAATTTCCACGTGCAGACTTTACAAACAGAGTGTTTCCAAACCGCTGAATGAAAAGAAAAGTTAAAATCTGAGAGTTGAACGCACACATCACGCAGCAGTTTCTGAGAATGATTCTGTCTAATTTTTATACGAAGATATTTCCTTTTCTGCCTTTGGCCCCAAAGCGCTTGAAATCTCCACTTGCAACTTCCACAAAAACAGTGTTTCAAATCTGCTCTCTCTAAATGATAGTTCAACTCTGTCAGTTGAATACACACAACACAAGGAAGTTACTGAGAATTCTTCTGTCTAGCCTTATATGAAAAAAACCCGTTTCCAACGAAGGCCTCAAAGAGGTCTGAATATCCACTTGCAGACTTTACAAACAGAGTGTTTCCTAACTGCTCTATGAAAAGAAAGGTTAAACACTGTGAGTTGAACGCACACATCACAAAGGAGTTTCTGAGAATCATTCTGTCTAGTCTTTATACGAAGATATTTCCTTTTCTACCATTGACCTCAAAGCGGCTGAAAACTCCACTTGCAAATTCCACAAAAAGAGTGTTTCAAGTCTGCTCTCTGTAAAGGATCGTTCAACTCTGTGAGTTGAACACACACAACACAAGGAAGTTACTGAGAATTCTTCTGTCTAGCAGAATATGAAGAAATCCCGTTTCCAACGAATGCCACAAGATGTCAGAATATCCACTTACAGAATTGACAAACAGACTGTTTCCTAACTGCTCTATGAAAAGAAAGGTTAAACTCTGTGAGTTGAACGAACACATCACAACGCAGTTTGTGGGAATGATTCTGTCTAGTTTTGAAACGAAGATATTTCCTTTTCTGCCATTGACCTTAAAGCGCTTGAAATCTCCACTTGCCAATTGCACAAAAAGAGTGTTTCAAATCTGCTCTGTCTAAGGGAACGTTCAACTCTGTGAGTTGAATGTACACAACACAAGGAAGTTAGTGGGAATTCTTCTGTCTAGCCTTACATGAAAAAAACCCGTTTCCAACGAAGGCCTCTAAGTGGTCAAATTATCCACGTGCAGACTTTACAAATAGAGTGTTTCCAAACTGCTGAATGAAAAGAAAAGTTAAACTCTGAGAGTTGAACGCACACATCGCAGAGCAGTTTCTGAGAATGATTCTGTCTAGTTTTTATACGAAGACATTTCCTTTTCTACCATTGACCTCAAAGCGGCTGAAATCTCCACTTGCAAATTCCACAAAAAGAGTGTTTCAAGTCTACTCTGTGTAAAGCATCGTTCAACTGTGTGAGTTGAAAACACACAACAGAAGGAAATTTCTGAGAATTCTTCTGTATAGCAGAATATGAAGAAATCACGGTTTCCAACGAAGGCCTCAAAGATGTCTGAATATCCACTTGCAGACTATAAAAACAGAGTGTTTCCTAACTGCTCTATGAAAAGAAAGGTTAAACTCTGTGAGTTGAACGCACACATCACAAAGGAGTTTCTGAGAATCATTCTGTCTAGTTTCTATAGGGAGATACTTCCTATTCTACCATTGACCTCAAAGCGGCTGAAATCTCCACTTGCAAATTCCACAAAAAGAGTGTTTCAAGTATGCTCTGTGTAAAGGATCGTTTAACTCTGTGAGTTGAATACACACACTACAAGGAACTTACTGAGAATTCTTCTGTCTAGCATAATATGAAGAAATCCCGTTTCCAACGAAGGCCTCAAGGAGGTCTGAATATCCACTTGCAGACTTTACAAACAGAGTGTTTCCTAACTGCTCTATAAAAAGAAAGGTTAAACTCTGTGAGTTGAACGCACACATCACAAAGGAGTTTCTGAGAATCATTCTGTCTAGTTTTTATAGGAAGATATTTCCTTTTCTACCATTGACCTCAAAGCGGCTGAAATCTCCACTTGCAAATTCCAGAAAAAGAGTGTTTCAAGTCTGCTCTGTGTAAAGGATCGTTGAACTCTGTGAGTTGAATACACACAACACAATGAAGTTACTGAGAATTCTTCTGTCTAGCCTTACATGAAAAAAACCCGTTTCCAACGAAGGCCTCTAAGTGGTCAAGTTATCCACGTGCAGACTTTACAAACAGAGTGTTTCCAAACTGTTGAATGAAAAGAAAAGTTAAACTCTGAGAGTTGAACGCACACATCGCAGAGCAGTTTCTGAGAATGATTCTGTCTAGTTTTTATACGAAGATATTTCCTTTTCTGCCTTTGGCCCCAAAGCGCTTGAAATCTCCACTTGCAAATTCCACAAAACAGTGTTTCAAATCTGCTCTCTCTAAATGATAGTTCAACTCTGTCAGTTGAATACACACAACACAAGGAAGTTACTGAGAATTCTTCTGTCTAGCATAGTATGGAGAAATCCCGTTTCCAACGAAGGCCTCAAACAGGTCTGAATATCCACTTGCAGACTTTACAAACAGAGTGTTTCCTAACTGCTCTATGAAAAGAAAGGTTAAACTCTGTGAGTTGAACGCACACATCACAAAGAAGTTTCTGAGAATCATTCTGTCTAGTTTTTATATGAAGATATTTACTTTTCTACCATTGACCTCAAAGCGGCTGAAATCTCCACTTGCAAATTCCACAAAAAGAGTGTTTCAAATCTGCTCTGTGTAAACCATCGTTCAACTCTGTGAGTTGAATACACACAACACAAGGAAGATTCTGAGAATTCTTCTGTCTAGCAGAATATGAAGAAATCCCGTTTCCAACGAAGGCCTCAAGGAGGTCTGAATATCCACTGGCAGACTTTACAAACAGAGTGTTTCCTAACTGCTCTATGAACAGAAAGGTTAAACTCTGTGAGTTGAACGAACACATCACAACGCAGTTTGTGGGAATGAATCTGTCTAGTTTTGAAACGAAGATATTTCCTTTTCTGCCGTTGACCTTAAAGCGCTTGAAATCTACACTTGCAAATTGGACAAATAGAGTGTTTCAAATCTGCTCTGTCTAAGGGAACGTTCAACTCTGTGAGTTGAATGCACACAACACAAGGAAGTTACTGGGAATTCTTCTGTCTAGCCTTACATGAAAAAAACCCGTTTCCAACGAAGGCCTCTAAGTAGGTCAAGTTATCCACGTGCAGACTTTACAAACAGAGTGTTTCCAAACTGCTGAATGAAAAGAAAAGTTAAACTCTGAGAGTTGAACGCACACATCGCATAGCAGTTTCTGAGAATGATTCTGTCTAGTTTTTATACGAAGATATTTCCTTTTCTGCCTTTGGCCTCAAAGCACTTGAAATCTCCACTTGCAAATTCCACAAAAAGAGTGTTTCAAATCTGCTCTGTGTAAATGAGAGTTCAACTCTGTGAGTTGAACACACACAACACAAGGAAGTTACTGGGAATTCTTCTGTCTAGCATAACATGAAGAAATCCCGTTTCCAACGAAGGCTTCAAAGAGGTCTGAATATCCCCTTGCAGGCTTTACAAACAGAGTGTTTCCTAACTGCTCTATGAAAAGAACGGTTAAACTCTGTGAGTTGAACGCACACATCGCAAAGGAGTTTCTGAGAATCATTCTGTCTAGTTTCTATAGGAAGATATTTCCTATTCTACCATTGACCTCAAAGCGGCTGAAATCTCCACTTGCAAATTCCACAAAAAGAGTGTTTCAAGTCTGCTCTGTGTAAAGGATCATTCAACTCTGTGAGTTGAATACACACAACACAAGGAAGTTACTGAGAATTCTTCTGTCTAGCAGAATATGAAGAAATCCCGTTTCCAACGAAGGCCTCAAGGAGGTCTGAATATCCACTTGCAGACTTTACAAACAGAGTGTTTCCTAACTGCTCTATGAACGGAAAGGTTAAACTCTGTGAGTTGAACGCACACATCACAAAGGAGTTTCTGAGAATCATTCTGTCTAGTCTTTATACGAAGATATTTACTTTTCTACCATTGACCTCAAAGCGGCTGAAATCTCCAACTGCAAATTCCACAAAAAGAGTGTTTCAAGTCTGCTCTGTGTAAAGGATCATTCAACTCTGTGAGTTGAATAAACACAACAGAAGGAAGTTACTGAGAAATCTTCTGTCTAGCCTTACATGAAAAAAACCCGTTTCCAACGAAGGCCTCTAAGTGGTCAAAATATCAACGTGCAGACTTTACAAACAGAGTGTTTCCAAACCGCTGAATGAAAAGAAAAGTTAAACTCTGAGAGTTGAACGCACACATCACGCAGCAGTTTCTGAGAATGATTCTGTCTAGTTTTTATACGAAGATATTTCCTTTTCTGCCTTTGGCCCCAATGCGCTTGAAATCTCCACTTGCAAATTCCACAAAAACAGTGTTTCAAATCTGCTCTCTCGAAATGAAAGTTCAACTCTGTCAGTTGAATACACACAACACAAGGAAGTTACTGAGAATTCTTCTGTCTAGCCTTATATGAAAAAATCCCGTTTCCAACGAAGGCCTCAAAGAGGTCAGAATATCCACTTGCAGACTTTACAAACAGAGTGTTTCCTAACTGCTCTATGAAAAGAAAGGTTAAACTCTGTGAGTTGAACGCACACATCACAAAGGAGTTTCTGAGAATCAGTCTGTCTAGTTTCTATAAGAAGATATTTTCTATTCTACCATTGACCTCAAAGCGGCTGAAATCTCCACTTGCAAATTCGACAAAAAGAGTGTTTCAAGCCTGCTCTCTGTAAAGGATCCTTCAACTCTGTGAGTTGAATACACACAACACAAGGAAGTTACTGAGAATTATTCTGTCTAGCAGAATATGAAGAAATCCCGTTTCCAACGAAGGCCACAAGATGTCAGAATATCCACTTACAGAATTTACAAACAGACTGTTTCCTAACTGCTCTATGAAAAGAAAGGTTAAACTCTGTGAGATTAACGAACACATCACAACGCAGTTTTTGGGAATGATTCTGTCTAGTTTTGAAACGAAGATATTTCCTTTCCTGCCATTGACCTTAAAGCGCTTGAAATCTCCATTTGCCAATTGCACAAAAAGAGTGTTTCAAATCTGCTCTGTCTAAGGGAACGTTCAACTGCTGTGAGTTGAATGTACACAACACAAGGAAGTTACTGGGAATTCTTCTGTCTAGCCTTACATGAAAAAAACCCGTTTCCAACGAAGGCCTCTAAGTGGTCAAAATATCCACGTGCAGTCTTTACAAACAGAGTGTTTCCAAACCGCTGAATGAAAAGAAAAGTTAAACTCTGAGAGTTGAACGCACACATCACGCCGCAGTTTCTGAGAATGATTCTGTCTAGTTTTGAAACGAAGACATTTCCTTTTCTGCCTTTGGCCACAAAGCCCTTGAAATCTCCACTTGCAAATTCCACAAAAAGAGGGTTTCAAATCTGCTCTGTGTAAATGAAAGTTCAACTCTGTGAGTTGAACACACACAACACAAGGAAGTTACTGGGAATTCTTCTGTCTAGCAGAATATGAAGAAATCCCGTTTCCAACGAAGGCCTCAAAGAGGTCTGAATATCCACTTGCACACTTTACAAACAGAGTGTTTCCTAACTGCTCTATGAAAAGAAAGGTTAAACTCTGTGAGTTGAATGCACACATCACAAAGGAGTTTCTGAGAATCGTTCTGTCTAGTTTTTATAGGAAGTTATTTCCTTTTCTAACTTTGACTTCAAAGCGGCTGAAATCTCCACTTGCAAATTCCACAAAAAGAGTGTTACAAGTCCGCTCTGTGTAAAGGATCGTTCAACTCTGTGAGTTGAATACACACAACACAAGGAAGTTACTGAGAATACTTCTGTCTAGCCTTACATGAAAAAAACCCGTTTCCAACGAAGGCCTCTAAGTGGTCAAGTTATCCACGTGCAGACTTCACAAACAGAGTGTTTCCAAACTGCTGAATGAAAAGAAAAGTTAAACTCTGAGAGTTGAACGCACACATCGCAGAGCAGTTTCTGAGAATGATTCTGTCTAGTTTTGAAACGAAGATATTTCCTTTTCTGCCGTTGACCTTAAAGAGCTTGAAAACTACACTTGCAAATTGCACAAATAGAGTGTTTCAAATCTGCTCTGTCTAAGGGAACGTTCAACTCTGTGAGTTGAATGCACACAACACAAGGAAGTTACTGGGAATTCTTCTGTCTAGCATAGTATGAAGAAATCCCGTTTCCAACGAAGGCCTCAAAGAGGTTTGAATATCCACTTGCAGAGTTTACAAACAGAGTGTTTCCTAACTGATCTATGAAAAGAAAGGTTAAACTCTGTGAGTTGAACGCACACATCACAAAGAAGTTTCTGAGAATCATTCTGTGCTAGTTTTTATACGAAGATATTCCCTTTTCTACCATTGACCTCAACGCGGCTGAAATCTCCACTTGCAAATTCCACAAAACGAGTGTTTCAAGTCCGCTCTGTGTAAAGGATCGTTCAACTCTGTGAGTTGAATACACACAACACAAGGAAGTTACTGAGAATTCTTCTGTCTAGCATAGTATGAAGAAATCCCGTTTCCAACGAAGGCCTCAAAGAGGTCTGAATATCCACTTGCAGAGTTTACAAACAGAGTGTTTCCTAACTGCTCTATGAAAAGAAAGGTTAAACTCTGTGAGTTGAACGCACACATCACAATGAAGTTTCTGAGAATCATTCTGTCTAGTTTTTATACGAAGATATTTCCTTTTCTACCATTGACCTCAACGCGGCTGAAATCTCCACTTGCAAATTCCACAAAAAGAGTGTTTCAACTCCGCTCTGTGTAAAGGATCGTTCAACTCTGTGAGTTGAATACACACAACACAAGGAAGTTACTGAGAATTCTTCTGTCTAGCACAGTATGAAGAAACCCCGTTTCCAACGAAGGCCTCAAAGAGGTCTGAATATCCACTTGCAGAGTTTACAAACAGAGTGTTTCCTAACTGCTCTATGAAAAGAAAGGTTAAACTCTGTGAGTTGAACGCACACATCACAATGAAGTTTCTGAGAATCATTCTGTCTAGTTTTTATAGGAAGATATTTCCTTTTCTACCTTTGACTTCAAAGCGGCTGAAATCTCCACTTGCAAATTCCACAAAAAGAGTGTTACAAGTCTACTCTGTGTAAAGGATCGTTCAACTGTGTGAGTTGAATACACACAACACAAGGAAGTTAATGAGAATTCTTCTGTCTAGCCTTACATGAAAAAAACCCGTTTCCATCGAAGGCCTCTACGTGGTCAAATTATCCACGTGCAGACTTTACAAACAGAGTGTTTCCAAACTGCTGAATGAAAAGAAAAGTTAAACTCTGAGAGTTGAACGCACACATCGCAGAGCAGTTTCTGAGAATGATTCTGTCTAGTTTTTATACGAAGATATTTCCTTTTCTGCCTTTGGCCTCAAAGCGCTTGAATTCTCCACTTGCAAATTCCACAAAAAGAGTGTTTCAAATCTGCTCTGGGTAAATGAAAGTTCAACTCTGTGAGTTGAACACACACAACACAAGGAAGTTACTGGGAATTCTTCTGTCTAGCCTTATATGAAAAAAACCCGTTTCCAACGAAGGCCTCAAAGAGGTCTGAATATCCACTTGCAGACTTCACAAACAGAGTGTTTCCTAACTGCTCTATGAAAAGAAAGGTTAAACTCTGTTAGTTGAACGCACACATCACAAAGGAGTTTCTGAGAATCATTCTGTCTAGCTTTTATACGAAGATATTTCCTTTTCTACCATTGACCTCAACGCGGCTGAAATCTCCACTTGCAAATTCCACAAAACGTGTGTTTCAAGTCCGCTCTGTGTAAAGGATCGTTCAACTCTGTGAGTTGAATACACACAACACAAGGAAGTTACTGAGAATTCTTCTGTCTAGCAGAATATGAAGAAATCCCGTTTCCAACGAAGGCCACAAGATGTCAGAATATCCTCTTACAGAATTTACAAACAGACTGTTTCCTAACTGCTCTATGAAAAGAAAGGTTAAACTCTGTGAGTTGAACGAACACGTCACAACGCAGTTTGTGGGAATGATTCTGTCTAGTTTTTATACGAAGATATTTCCTTTTCTACCATTGACCTCAAAGCGGCTGAAATCACCACTTGCCAATTGCACAAAAAGAGTGTTTCAAATCTACTCTGTCTAAGGGAACGTTCAAATGTGTGAGTTGAATGTACGCAACACAAGGAAGTTCCTGGGAATTCTTCTGTCTAGCCTTACATGAAAAAAACCCGTTTCCAAGGAAGGCCTCTAAGTGGTCAAATTATCCACGTGCAGACTTTACAAACAGAGTGTTTCCAAACTGCTGAATGAAAAGAAAAGTTAAACTCTGAGAGTTGAACGCACACATCGCAGAGCAGTTTCTGAGAATGATTCTGTCTAGTTTTTATACGAAGATATTTCCTTTTCTGCCTTTGGCCTCAAAGCGCTTGAAATCTCCACTTGCAAATTCCACAAAAAGAGTGTTTCAAATATGCTCTTTGTAAATGAAAGTTCAACTCTGTGAGTTGAACACACACAACACAAGGAAGTTACTGGGAATCCTTCTGTCTAGCCTTATATGAAAAAAACCCGTTTCCAACGAAGGCCTCATAGAGGTCTGAATATCCACTTGCAGAGTTTACAAACAGAGTGTTTCCTAACTGCTCTATGAAAAGAAAGGTTAAACTCTGTGAGTTGAACACACACATCACAAAGAAGTTTCTGAGAATCATTCTGTCTAGTTTTTATAGGAAGTTAATTCCTTTTCTACCTTTGACTTCAAAGTGGCTGAAATCTCCACTTGCAAATTCCACAAAAAGAGTGTTACAAGTCTGTTCTGTGTAAAGGATCGTTCAACTCTGTGAGTTGAATACACACAACACAAGGAAGTTACTGAGAATTCTTCTGTCTAGCAGAATATGAAGAAATCCCGTTTCCAACGAAGGCCACAAGATGTCAGAATATCCACTTACAGAATTTACAAACAGACTGTTTCCTAACTGCTCTATGAAAAGAAAGGTTAAACTTCTGTGAGTTGAACGAACACATCACAACGCAGTTTGTGGGAATGATTTCTGTCTAGTTTTGAAAGGAAGATATTTCCTTTTCTGCCATTGACCTCAAAGCGCTTGAAATCTCCACTTGCCAATTGCACAAAAAGAGTGTTTCAAATCTGCTCTGTCTAAGGGAACGTTCAACTCTGTGAGTTGAATGTACACAACACAAGGAAGTTACTGGGAATTCTTCTGTCTAGCCTTACAGGAAAAAAACCCGTTTGCAACGACGGCCTCTAAGTGGTCAAAATATCCACGTGCAGACATTACAAACAGAGTGTTTCCAAACTGCTGAATGAAAAGAAAAGTTAAACTCTGAGAGTTGAACGCACACATCGCAGAGCAGTTTCTGAGAATGATTCTGTCTAGTTTCTATAGGAAGATATTTCCTATTCTACCATTGAACTCAAAGCGGCTGAAATCTCCACTTGCAAATGCCACAAAAAGAGTGTTTCAAGTCTGCTCTGTGTAAAGGATCGTCCAACTCTGTGAGTTGAATACACACAACACAAGGAAGTTACTGAGAATTCTTCTGTCTAGCAGAATATGATGAAATCCCGTTTCCAACGAAAGTCTCAAAGATGTCTGAATATCCACTTGCAGACTTTACAAACAGAGTGTTTCCTAACTGCTCTATGAAAAGAAAGGTTAAACTCTGTGAGTAGAACGCACACATCACAAAGGAGTTTCTGAGAATCATTTCTGTCTAGTTTCTATAGGAAGATATTTCTTATTCTACCATTGACCTCAAAGCGGCTGAAATCTCCACTTGCAAATTCCACAAAAAGAGTGTTTCAAGTCTGCTCTGTGTAAAGGATCGTTCAACTCTGTGAGTTGAATACACACAACACAAGGAAGTTACTGAGAATTCTTCTGTCTAGCATAATATGAAGAAATCCCTTTTCCAACGAAGGCCTCAAGGAGGTCTGAATATCCAATTGCAGACTTTACAAACAGAGTGTTTCCTAACTGCTCTATGAAAAGAAAGGTTAAACTCTGTGAGTTGAATGCACACATCACAAAGGAGTTTCTGAGAATCATTCTGTCTAGTTTTTATACGAAGATATTTCCTTTTCTACCATTGACCTCAAAGCGGCTGAAATCTAAACTTGCAAATTCCATAAAAAGAGTGTTTCAAGTCTGCTCTGTGTAAAGGATCGTTCAACTCTGTGAGTTGAATACACACAACACAAGGAAGTTACTGAGAATTCTTCTGTCTAGCCTTACATGAAAAAAACCCGTTTCCAACGAAGACCTCAGAGAAGTCCAAATATCCACATGCAGACTTTACAAACAGAGTGTTTCCTAACTGCTCTATGAAAAGAAAGGTTAAACTCTGTGAGTTGAACGCACACATCACAAACCAGTTTCTGAGAATCATTCTGTCTAGTTTTGAAACGAAGACATTTCCTTTTCTGCCTTTGGCCTCAAAGCCCTTGAAATCTCCACTTGCAAATTCCACAAAAAGAGTGTTTCAAATCTGCTCTGTGTAAATGAAAGTTCAACTCTGTGAGTTGAACACACACAACACAAGGAAGTTACTGGGAATTCTTCTGTCTAGCAGAATATGAAGAAATCCCGTTTCCAACGAAAGCCTCAAAGAGGTCTGAATATCCACTTGCAGACTTTACAAACAGAGTGTTTCCTAACTGCTCTATGAAAAGAAAGGTTAAACTCTGTGTGTTGAACGCACACATCACAAAGGAGTTTCTGAGAATCATTCTGTCTAGTTTTTATAGGAAGATATTCCCTTTTCTACCTTTGACTTCAAAGCGGCTGAAATCTCCACTTGCAAATTCCACAAAAAGAGTGTTACAAGTCTGCTCTGTGTAAAGGATCGGTCAACTCTGTGAGTTGAATACACACAACACAAGGAAAGTTACTGAGAATTCTTTTGTCTAGCAGAATATGAAGAAATCCCGTTTCCAACGAAGGCCACAAGATGTCAGAATATCCACTTTCAGACTTTACAAACAGAGTGTTTCCTAACTGCTCTATGAACAGAAAGGTTAAACTCTGTGAGTTGAACGAACACATCACAACGCAGTTTGTGGGAATGATTCTGTCTAGTTTGGAAACGAAGATATTTCCTTTTCTGCCATTGACCTTAAAGCGCTTGAAATCTCCATTTGCCAATTGCACAAAAAGAGTGTTTCAAATCTGCTCTGTCTAAGGGAACGTTCAACTCTGTGAGTTGAATGTACACAACACAAGGAAAGTTACTGGGAATTCTTCTGTCTAGCCTTACAGGAAAAAAACCCGTTTCCAACGAAGGCCTCAAAGAGGTCTGAATATCCACGTGCAGTCTTTACAAACAGAGTGTTTCCTAACTGCTCTATGAAAAGAAAGTTTTAACTACTGTGAGTTGAACGCACACATCACAAAGAAGTTTCTGAGAATCATTTTGTCTAGGTTCTATAAGAAGATATTTCCTATTCTACCATTGACCTCAAAGTGGCTGAAATCTCCACTTGCAAATTCGACAAAAAGAGTGTTTCAAGCCTGCTCTCTCTAAAGGATCCTTCAACTCTGTGAGTTGAATACACACAACACAAGGAAGTTACTGAGAATTATTCTGTCTAGCAGAATATGAAGAAATCCCGTTTCCAACGAAGGCCTCAAAGAGGTCTGAATATCCACTTGCAGACTTTACAAACAGAGTGTTTCCGAACTGCTCTATAAAAAGAAAGGTTAAACTCTGTGAGCTGAACGCACACATCACAAAGGAGTTTCTGAGAATCATTCTCTGTCTAGTTTTTATACGAAGATATTTCCTTTTCTACCATTGACCTCAAAGCGGCTGATATCTCCACTTGCAAATTCCACAAAAAGAGTGTTTCAAGTCTGCTCTGTGTAAAGGATCGTTCAACTCTGTGAGTTGAATACACACAACACAAGGAAGTTACTGAGAATTCTTCTGTCTAGCAGAATATGAAGAAATCCCGTTTCCAACGAAGGCCACAAGATGTCTGAATATCCACTTACAGACTTTACAAACAGAGTGTTTCCTAACTGCTCTATGAACAGAAAGGTTAAACTTCTGTGAGTTGTACGAACACATCACAACGCAGTTTGTGGGAATGATTCTGTCTAGTTTTGAAACGAAGATATTTCCTTTTCTGCCGTTGACCTTAAAGCGCTTGAAATCTACACTTGGAAATTGCACAAATAGAGTGTTTCAAATCTGCTCTGTCTAAGGGAACGTTCAACTCTGTGAGTTGAATGCGCACAACACAAGGAAGTTACTGGGAATTCTTCTGTCTAGCCTTACATGAAGAAAACCCGTTTCCAACGAAGGCCTCTAAGTGGTCAAAATATCCATGTGCAGACTTTACAAACAGAGTGTTTCCAAACCGCTGAATGAAAAGAAAAGTTAAACTCTGAGAGTTGAACGCACACATCACGCAGCAGTTTCTGAGAATGATTCTGTCTAGTTTTGAAACGAAGATATTTCCTTTTCTGCCTTTGGCCTCAAAGCGCTTGAAATCTCCACTTGCAACTTCCACAAAAAGAGAGTTTCAAATCTGCTCTGTGTAAATGAAAGTTCAACTCTGTGAGTTGAATACACACAACACAAGGAAGTTACTGAGAATTCTTCTGACTAGCATAGTATGAAGAAATCCCGTTTCCAACGAAGGCCTCAAAGAGGTCTGAATATCCACTTGCAGACTTTACAAACAGAGTGTTTCCTAACTGCTCTATGAAAAGAAAGGTTAAACTCTGTGAGTTGAACGCACACATCACAAAGAAGTTTCTGAGAATCATTCTGTCTAGTGTTTCTACGAAGATATTTCCTTTTCTACTATTGACCTCAAAGCGGCTGAAATCTCCACTTGCAAATTCCACAAAAAGAGTGTTTCAAGTCTGCTCTGTGTAAAGGATCGTTCAACTCTGTGAGTTGAATACACACAACACAAGGAAGTTACTGAGAATTCTTCTGTCTAGCAGAATATGAAGAAATCCCGTTTCCAACGAAGGCCACAAGATGTCAGAATATCCACTTACAGAATTTACAAACAGACTGTTTCCAAACTGCTCTATGAAAAGAAAGGTTAAACTCTGTGAGTTGAACGCACACATCACAATGAAGTTTCTGAGAATCATTCTGTCTAGTTTTTATACGAAGATATTTCCTTTTATACCATTGACCTCAAAGCGGCTGAAATCACCACTTGCCAATTGCACAAAAAGAGTGTTTCAAATCTGCTCTGTCTAAGGGAACGTTCAACTCTGTGAGTTGAATGTACACAACACAAGGAAGTTACTGGGAATTCTTCTGTCTAGCCTTACAGGAAAAAAACCCGTTTCCAACGAAGGCCTCTAAGTGGTCAAAATATCCACGTGCAGACTTTACAAAGAGAGTGTTTCCAAACTGCTGAATGAAAAGAAAAGTTAAACTCTGAGAGTTGAACGCACACATCGCAGAGCAGTTTCTGAGAATGATTCTGTCTAGTTTTGAAACGAAGATATTTCCTTTTCTGCTTTGGCCTCAAAGCGCTTGAAATCTCCACTTGCAAATTCCACAAAAAGAGTGTTTCAAATCTGCTCTGTGTAAATGAAAGTTCAACTCTGTGAGTTGAACACACACAACACAAGGAAGTTACTGGGAATTCTTCTGTCTAGCATAATATGAAGAAATCCCGTTTCCAACGAAGGCCCCAAAGGGGTCTGAATATCCACTTGCAGACTTTATAAACAGAGTGTTTACTAACTGCTCTATGAAAAGAAAGGTTAAACTCTGTGAGGTGAACACACACATCACAAAGGAGTTTCTGAGAATCATTCTGTCTAGTTTTTATACGAAGATATTACCTTTTCTACCATTGACCTCAACGCGGCTGAAATCTCCACTTGGAAATTCCACAAAAAGAGTGTTCCAAGTCTGCTCTGTGTAAAGGATCGTTCAACTCTGTGAGTTGAATACACACAACACAAGGAAGTTACTGAGAAATCTTCTGTCTAGCAGAATATGAAGAAATCCCTTTTCCAACGAAGGCCACAAGATGTCAGAATATCCACTTACAGACTTTACAAACAGAGTGTTTCCTAACTGCTCTATGAACAGAAAGGTAAAACTCTGTGAGTTGAACGAACACATCACAACGCAGTTTGTGGGAATGATTCTGTCTAGATTGAAACGAAGATATTTCCTTTTCTGCCATTGACCTCAAAGCGCTTGAAATCTCCACTTGCAAATTCCACAAAAAGAGTGTTTCAAATCTGCTCTGTGTAAATGAAAGTTCAACTCTGTGAGTTGAACACACACAACACAAGGAAGTTACTGGGAATTCTTCTGTATAGCAGAATATGAAGAAATCCCGTTTCCAACGAAAGCCTCAAAGATGTCTGAATATCCACTTGCAGACTTTACAAACAGAGTGTTTCCTAACTGCTCTATGAAAAGAAAGGTTAAACTCTGTGAGTTGAACGCACACATCACAAAGGAGTTTCTGACAATCATTCTGTCTAGTTTTTATACGAAGATATTTCCTTTTCTACCATTGACCTCAAAGCGGCTGAAATCTCCACTTGCAAATTACACAAAAAGAGTGTTTCAAGTCTACTCTGTGTAAAGCATCGTTCAACTCTGTGAGTTGAAAACACACAACACTAGGAAGTTTCTGAGAATTCTTCTGTATAGCAGAATATGAAGAAATCCCGTTTCCAACGAAGGCCTCAAAGATGTCTGAATATCCACTTGCAGACTATAAAAACACAGTGTTTCCTAACTGCTCTATGAAAAGAAAGGTTAAACTCTGTGAGTTGAACGCACACATCACAAAGGAGTTTCTGAGAATCATTCTGTCTAGTTTTTATACGAAGATATTTCCTTTTCTACCATTGACCTCAAAGCGGCTGAAATCTCCACTTGCAAATTCCACAAAAAGAGTGTTTCAAATCTGCTCTGTGTAATCCATCGTTCAACTCTGTGAGTTGAATACACACAACACAAGGAAGATTCTGAGAATTCTTCTGTCTAGCAGAATATGAAGAAATCCCATTTCCAACGAAGGCCACAAGATGTCAGAATATCCACTTACAGAATTTACAAACAGACTGTTTCCTAACTGCTCTACGAAAAGAAAGGTTAAACTCTGTGAGATGAACGAACACATCACAACGCAGTTTGTGGGAATGATTCTGTCTAGTTTTGAAACGAAGATATTTCCTTTTCTGCCATTGACCTCAAAGCGCTTGAAATCTCCACTTGCCAATTGCACAAAAAGAGTGTTTCAAATCTGCTCTGTCTAAGGGAACGTTCAACTCTGTGAGTTGAATGTACACAACACAAGGAAGTTACTGGGAATTCTTCTGTCTAGCCTTACAGGAAAAAAACCCGTTTCCAACGAAGGCCTCTAAGTGGTCAAGTTATCCACGTGCAGACTTTACAAACAGAGTGTTTCCAAACTGCTGAATGAAAAGAAAAGTTAAACTTCTGAGAGTTGAACGCACACATCGCAGAGCAGTTTCTGAGAATGATTCTGTCTAGTTTTTATACGAAGGTATTTCCTTTTCTGCCTTTGGCCTCAAAGCGCTTGAAATCTCCACTTGCAAATTCCACAAAAAGAGTGTTTCAAATCTGCTCTGTGTAAATGAAAGTTGAACTCTGTGAGTTGAACACACACAACACAAGGAAGTTACTGGGAATTCTTCTGTCTAGCATAGTATGAAGAAATCCCGTTTCCAACGAAGGCCTCAAACAGGTCTGAATATCCACTTGCAGAGTTTACAAACAGAGTGTTTCCTAACTGCTCTATGAAAAGAAAGGTTAAACTCTGTGAGTTGAACGCACACATCACAAAGAAGTTTCTGAGAATCGTTGTGTCTAGTTTTTATACGAAGATATTTCCTTTTCTACCATTGACCTCAACGCGGCTGAAATCTCCACTTGCAAATTCCACAAAAAGAGTGTTTCAAATCTGCTCTGTGTAAACCATCGTTCAACTGTGTGAGTTGAATACACACAACACAAGGAAGATTCTGAGAATTCTTCGGTCTAGCAGAATATGAAGAAATCCCGTTTCCAACGAAGGCCTCAAGGAGGTCTGAATATCCACTTGCAGACTTTTCAAACAGAGTGTTTCCTAACTGCTCTATGAACAGAAAGGTTAAACTCTGTGAGTTGAACGAACACATCACAACGCAGTTTGTGGGAATGATTCTGTCTAGTTTTGAAACGAAGATATTTCCTTTTCTGCCATTGACCTTAAATCGCTTGAAATCTCCACTTGCCAATTGCACAAAAAGAGTGTTTCAAATCTGCTCTGTCTAAGGGAACGTTCAACTCTGTGAGTTGAATGTACACAACACAAGGAAGTTACTGGGAATTCTTCTGTCTAGCCTTACATGAAAAAAACCCGTTTCCAACGAAGGCGTCTAAGTGGTCAAAATATCCACGTGCAGACTTTACAAACAGAGTGTTTCCAAACCGCTGAATGAAAAGAATAGTTAAACTCTGAGCGTTGAACGCACACATCACGCAGCAGTTTCTGAGAATGATTCTGTCTAGTTTTTAAACGAAGATATTTCCTTTTCTGCCCTTGGCCCCAAAGCGCTTGAAATCTCCACTTGCATATTCCACAAAAACAGTGTTTCAAATCTGCTCTCTCTAAATGAAAGTTCAACTCTGTCAGTTGAATACACACAACACAAGGAAGTTACCGAGAATTCTTCTGTCTAGCATAATATGAAGAAATCCCGTTTCCAACGAAGGCCTCAAAGAGGTCTGAATATCCACTTGCAGACTATACAAACAGAGTGTTTCCTAACTGCTCTATGAGAAGAAAAGTTAAACTCTGTGAGTTGAACGCACACATCACAAAAGATTTTCTGAGAATCATTCTGTCTATTTTCTATAGGAAGATATTTCCTATTCTACCATTGACCTCAAAGCGGCTGAAATCTCCACTTGCAAATTCCACAAAAAGAATGTTTCAAGTCTGCTCTGTGTAAAGGATCGTTCAATTCTGTGAGTTGAATACACACAACACAAGGAAGTTACTGAGAATTCTTCTGTCTAGCAGAATATGAAGAAATCCCGTTTCCAATGAAGGCCACAAGATGTCAGAATATCCACTTACAGAATTTTCAAACAGACTGTTTCCTAACTGCTCTATGAAAAGAAAGGTTAAACTCTGTGAGTTGAACGAACACATCACAACGCAGTTTGTGGGAATGATTCTGTCTAGTTTTGAAACGAAGATATTTCCTTTTCTGCCATTGACCTTAAAGCGCTTGAAATCTCCACTTGCCAATTGCACAAAAAGAGTGTTTCAAATCTGCTCTGTCTAAGGGAACGTTCAACTCTGTGAGTTGAATGTACACAACGCAAGGAAGTTACTGGGAATTCTTCTCTCTAGCCTTACAGGAAAAAAACCCGTTTCCAACGAAGGCCTCTAAATGGTCAAAATATCCACGTGCAGACTTTACAAAGAGAGTGTTTCCAAACTGCTGAATGAAAAGAAAAGTTAAACTCTGAGAGTTGAACGCACACATCGCAGAGCAGTTTCTGAGAATGATTCTGTCTAGTTTCTATAGGAAGATGTTTCCTATTCTACCATTGACCTCAAAGCGGCTGAAATCTCCACTTGCAAACTCCACAACAAGAGTGTTTCAAGTATGCTCTGTGTAAAGGATCGTTCAACTCTGTGAGTTGAATACACACAACACAAGGAAGTTACTGAGAATTCTTCTGTCTAGCATAATATGAAGAAATCCCATTTCCAACGAAGGCCTCAAGGAGGTCTGAATATCCACTTGCAGACTTTACAAACAGAGTGTTTCCTAACTGCTCTATGAAAAGAAAGGTTAAACTCTGTGAGTTGAACGCACACATCACAAAGGAGTTTCTGAGAATCATTCTGTCTAGTTTTTCTACGAAGATATTTCCTTTACTATTATTGACCTCAAAGCGGCTGAAATCTCCACTTGCAAGTCCCACAAAAAGAGTGTTTCAAGTCTGCTCTGTATAAAGGATCGTTCAACCCTGTGAGTTGAATACACACAACACAAGGAAGTTACTGAGAATTCTTCTGTCTAGCAGAATATGAAGAAATCCCGTTTCCAACGAAGGCCACAAGATGTCAGAATATCCACTTACAGAATTTACAAACAGACTATTTCCTAACTGCTCTATGAAAAGAAAGGTTAAACTCTGTGAGTTGAACGAACACATCACAACGCAGTTTGTGGGAATGATTCTGTCTAGTTTTGAAACGAAGATATTTCCTTTTCTGCCATTGACCTTAAAGCGCTTGAAATCTCCACTTGCCAATTGCACAAAAAGAGTTTTTCAAATCTGCTCTGTCTAAGGGAACGTTCAACTCTGTGAGTTGAATGTACACAACACAAGGAAGTTACTGGGAATTCTTCTGTCTAGCCTTACATGAAAAAAACCCGTTTCCAACGAAGGCCTCTAAGTGGTCAAGTTATCCACGTGCAGACTTTACAAACAGAGTGTTTCCAAACTACTGAATGAAAAGAGAAGTTAAACTCTGAGAGTTGAACGCACACATCGCAGAGCAGTTTCTGAGAATGATTCCGTCTAGTTTTGAAACGAAGATATTTCCTTTTCTGCCTTTGGCCTCAAAGCGCTTGAAATCTCCATTTGCAAATTCCACAAAAAGAGTGTTTCAAATCTGCTCTGTGTAAATGAAAGTTCAGCTCTGTGAGTTGAACACACACAACACAAGGAAGTTACTGGGAATTCTTCTGTCTAGCATAATATGAAGAAATCCCGTTTCCAACGAAGGCCTCAAAGAGGTCTGAATATCCACTTGCAGACTTTACAAACAGAGTGTTTCCTAACTGCTCTATGAAAAGAAAAGTTAAACTCTGTGAGTTGCACGCACACATCACAAAGGAGTTTCTGAGAATCATTCTGTCTAGTTTTTATACGAAGATATTTCCTTTTCTACCATTGACCTCAACGCGGCTGAAATCTCCACTTGCAAATTCCACAAAAAGTGTGTTTCAAGTCCGCTCTGTGTAAAGGATCGTTCAACTCTGTGAGTTGAATACACACAACACAAGGAATTTACTGAGAATTCTTCTGTCTAGCAGAATACGAAGAAATCCCGTTTCCAACGAAGGCCACAAGATGTCAGAATATCCACTTACAGACTTTACAAACAGAGTGTTTCCTAACTGCTCTATGAACAGAAAGGTTAAACTCTGTGAGTTGAACGAACACATCACAACGCAGTTTGTGGGAATGATTCTGTCTAGTTTTGAAACGAAGATATTTCCTTTTCTGCCATTGACCTTAAAGCGCTTGAAATCTCCATTTGCCAATTGCACAAAAAGAGTGTTTCAAATCTGCTCTGTCTAAGGTAACGTTCAACTCTGTGAGTTGAATGTACACAACACAAGGAAGTTACTGGGAATTCTTCTGTCTAGCCTTACAGGAAAAAAACCCGTTTCCAACGAAGGCCTCTAAGTGGTCAAAATATCCACGTGCAGACTTTACAAACAGAGTGTTTCCACACTGCTGAATGAAAAGAAAAGTTAAACTCTGAGAGTTGAACGCACACATCCCAGAGCAGTTTCTGAGAATGATTCTGTCTAGTTTTTATACGAAGATATTTCCTTTTCTACCATTGACCTCAAAGCGGCTGAAATCTCCACTTGCAAATTCCACAAAAAGAGTGTTTCAAGTCTGCTCTGTGTAAAGGATCGTTCAACTCTGTGAGTTGAATACACACAACACAAGGAAATTACTGAGAATTCTTCTGTCTAGCATAGTATGGAGAAATCCCGTTTCCATCGAAGGCCTCAAAGAGGTCTGAATATCCACTTGCAGAGTTTACAAACAGAGTGTTTCCTAACTGCTCTATGAATAGAAAGGTTAAACTCTGTGAGTTGAACGCACACATCACAAAGAAGTTTCTGAGAATCATTCTGTCTAGTTTTTATAGGAAGATATTTCCTTTTCTACCTTTGACTTCAAAGCGGCTGAAATCTCCACTTGCAAATTCCAGAAAAAGAGTGTTACAAGTCTGCTCTGTGTAAAGGATCGTTCAACTCTGTGAGTTGAATACACACAACACAAGGAAGTTACTGAGAATTCTTCTGTCTAGCAGAATATGAAGAAATCCCGTTTCCAACGAAGGCCACAAGATGTCAGAATATCCACTTACAGAATTTACAAACAGACTGTTTCCTAAGTGCTCTATGAAAAGAAAGGTTAAACTCTGTGAGTTGAACGAACACATCACAACGCAGTTTGTGGGAATGATTCTGTCTAGTTTTGAAACGAAGATATTTCCTTTTCTGCCGTTGACCTTAAAGCGCTTGAAATCTACACTTGCAAATTGGACAAATAGAGTGTTTCAAATCTGCTCTGTCTAAGGGAACGTTCAACTCTGTGAGTTGAATGCACACAACACAAGGAAGTTACTGGGAATTCTTCTGTCTAGCCTTACAGGAAAGAAACCCGTTTCCAACGAAGGCCTCTAAGTGGTCAAAATATCCACGTGCAGACTTTACAAACAGAGTGTTTCCAAACTGCTGAATGAAAAGAAAAGTTAAACTCTGAGAGTTGAACGCACACATCTCAAAGGAGTTTCTGAGAATGATTCTGTCTAGTTTCTATAAGAAGATATTTCCTATTCTACCATTCACCTCAAAGCGGCTGAAATCTCCACTTGCAAATCCGACAAAAAGAGTGTTTCAAGCCTGCTCTCTGTAAAGCATCCTTCAACTCTGTGAGTTGAATACACACAACATAAGGAAGTTAGTGAGAATTCTTCTGTCTAGCAGAATATGAAGAAATCCCGTTTCCAACGAAGGCCTCAAAGAGGTCTGAATATCCACTTGCAGACTTTACAAACAGAGTGTTTCCTAACTGCTCTATGAGAAGAAAAGTTAAACTCTGTGAGTTGAACGCACACATCACAAAAGATTTTCTGAGAATCATTCTGTCTAGTCTTTATACGAAGATATTTACTTTTCTACCATTGACCTCAAAGCGGCTGAAATCTCCACTTGCAAATTCCACAAAAAGAGTGTTTCAAGTCTGCTCTGCGTAAAGGATCATTCAACTCTGTGCGTTGAATAAACACAACACAAGGAAGTTACTGAGAATTCTTCTGTCTAGCAGAATATTTAGAAATCCCGTTTCCAACGAAGGCCACAAGATGTCAGAATATCCACTTACAGAATTTACCAACAGAGTGTTTCCTAACTGCTCTATGAAAAGAAAGGTTAAACTCTGTGAGTTGAACGAACACATCACAACGCAGTTTGTGGGAATGATTCTGTCTAGTTTTGAAACGAAGATATTTCCTTTTCTGCCATTGACCTTAAAGCGCTTGTAATCTCCACTTGCCAATTGCCCAAAAAGAGTGTTTCAAATCTGCTCTGTCTAAGGGAACGTTCAACTCTGTGAGTTGAATGTACACAACACAAGGAAGTTACTGGGAATTCTTCTGTCTAGCCTTACATGAAAAAAACCCGTTTCCAACGAAAATCTCTAAGTGGTCAAATTATCCACGTGCAGACTTTACAAACAGAGTGTTTCCAAACTGCTGAATGAAAAGAAAAGTTAAACACTGAGAGTTGAACGCACACATCGCAGAGCAGTTTCTGAGAATGATTCTGTCTAGTCTTTATACGAAGATATTTCCTTTTCTACCATTGACCACAAAGCGGCTGAAATCTCCACTTGCAAATTCCACAAAAAGAGTGTTTCAAGTCTGCTCTGTGTAAAGGATCATTCAACTCTGTGAGTTGCATAAACACAACACAAGGAAGTTACTGAGAATTCTTCTGTCTAGCAGAATATGAAGAAATCCCGTTTCCAACGAAGGCCTCAACGAGGTCTGAATATCCACTTGCAGACTTTACAAGCAGAGTGTTTCCTAACTGCTCTATGAAAAGAAAGGTTAAACTCTGTGAGTTGAACACACACATCACAAAGGAGTTTCTGAGAATCATTCTGTCTAGTTTTTCTACGAAGATATTTCCTTTTCTACTATTGACCTCAAAGCGGCTGAAATCTCCACTTGCAAATTCCACAAAAAGAGTGTTTCAAGTCTCCTCTGTGTAAAGGATCATTCAACTCTGTGAGTTGAATACACACAACACAAGGAAGTTACTGAGAATTCTTCTGTCTAGCATAATATGAAGAAATCCCGTTTCCAAAGAAGGCCTCAAAGAGGTCTGAATATCCACTTGCAGACTTTACAAACAGAGTGTTTCCTAACTGCTCTATGAAAAGAAAAGTTAAACTCTGTGAGTTGAACGCACACATCACAAAGGAGTTTATGAGAATCATTCTGTCTAGTTTTTATACGAAGATATTTCCTTTTCTACCATTGACCTCAAAGCGCCTGAAATCTCCACTTGCAAATTCCACAAAAAGAGTGTTTCAAGTCTACTCTGTGTAAAGCATCGTTCAACTCTGTGAGTTGAAGACACACAACACAAGGAAGTTTCTGAGAATTCTTCTGTCTAGCAGAATATGAAGAAATCCCATTTCCAACGAAGGCCACAAGATGTCAGAATATCCACTTACAGAATTTACAAACAGACTGTTTCCTAACTGCTCTATGAAAAGAAAGGTTAAACTCTGTGAGTTGAACGAACACATCACAACGCAGTTTGTGGGAATGATTCTGTCTAGTTTTGAAAGGAAGATATTTCCTTTTCTGCCATTGACCTTAAAGCGCTTGAAATCTCCACTTGCCAATTGCACAAAAAGAGTGTTTCAAATCTGCTCTGTCTAAGGGAACGTTCAACTCTGTGAGTTGAATGTACACAACACAAGGAAGTTACTGTGAATTCTTCTGTCTAGCCTTACATGAAAAAAAAACCGTTTCCAACGAAGGCCTCTAAGTGGTCAAATTATCCACGTGCAGACTTTACAAACAGAGTGTTTCCAAACTGCTGAATGAAAAGAAAAGTTAAACTCGGAGAGTTGAACGCACACATCGCAGAGCAGTTTCTGAGAATGATTCTGTCTAGTTTTCATACGAAGATATTTCCTTTTCTGCCTTTGGCCTGAAAGGACTTGAAATCTCCATTTGCAAATTCCACAAAAAGAGTGTTTCAAATCTGCTCTGTGTAAATGAAAGTTCAACTCTGTGAGTTGAATACACACAACTCAAGGAAGTTACTGGGAATTCTTCTGTCTAGCCTTATATGAAAAAAACCCGTTTCCAACGAAGGCCTCAAAGAAGTCTGAATATCCACTTGCAGACTTTACAAACAGAGTGTTTCCTAACTGCTCTATGAAAAGAAAGGTTAAACTCTGTGAGTTGAACGCACACATCACAAAGGAGTTTCTGAGAATCATTCTGTCTAGTTTCTATAGGAAGATATTTCCTATTCTACCATTGACCTCAAAGCGGCTGAAATCTCCACTTGCCAATTCCACAAAAAGAGTGTTTCAAGTCTGCTCTGTGTAAAGGATCGTTCAACTCTGTGAGTTGAATACACACAACACAAGGAAGTTACTGAGAATTCTTCTGTCTAGCATAATATGAAGAAATCCCGTTTCCAACGAAGGCCACAAGATGTCAGAATATCCACTTACAGACTTTACAAACAGAGTGTTTCCTAACTGCTCTATGAACAGAAAGGTTAAACTCTGTGAGTTGAACGAACACATCACAACGCAGTTTGTGGGAATGATTCTGTCTAGTTTTGAAACGAAGATATTTCCTTTTCTGCCATTGAACTTAAAGCGCTTGAAATCTCCATTTGCCAATTGCACAAAAAGAGTGTTTCAAATCTGCTCTGTCTAAGGGAACGTTCAACTCTGTGAGTTGAATGTACACAACACAAGGAAGTTACTGGGAATTCTTCTGTCTAGCCTTACAGGAAAGAAACCCGTTTCCAACGAAGGCTTCTAAGTGGTCAAAATATCCACGTGCAGACTTTACAAACAGAGTGTTTCCAAACTGCTGAATGAAAAGAAAATTTAAACTCTGAGAGTTGAACGCACACATCGCAGAGCAGTTTCTGAGAATGATTCTGTCTAGTTTTTATACGAAGATATTTCCTTTTCTGCCTTTGGCCCCAAAGCGCTTGAAATCTCCCCTTGCAAATTCCACAAAAAGAGTGTTTCAAGTCTGCTCTGTGTAAAGGATCGTTCAACTCTGTCAGTTGAATACACACAACACAAGGAAGTTACTGAGAATTCTTCTGTCTAGCCTTATATGAAAAAAACCCGTTTCCAACGAAGGCCTCAAAGAGGTCTGAATATCCACTTGGAGACTTTACAAACAGAGTGTTTCCTAACTGCTCTATGAAAAGAAAGGTTAAACTCTGTGAGTTGAACGCACACATCACAAAGGAGTTTCTGAGAATCATTTCTGTCTAGTTTCTATAGGAAGATATTTCCTATTCTACCATTGACCTCAAAGCGGCTGAAATCTCCACTTGCAAATTCCAGAAAAAGAATGTTTCAAGTCTGCTCTGTGTAAACGATCGTTCAACTCTGTGAGTTGAATACACACAACACAAGGAAGTTACTGAGAATTCTTCTGTCTAGCAGAATATGAAGAAATCCCGTTTCCAACGAAGGCCACAAGATGTCAGAATATCCACTTACAGACTTTACAAACAGAGTGTTTCCTAACTGCTCTATGAACAGAAAGGTTAAACTCTGTGAGTTGAACGAACACATCAGAACGCAGTTTGTGGGAATGATTCTGTCTAGTTTTGAAACGAAGATATTTCCTTTTCTGCCATTGACCTTAAAGCGCTTGAAATCTCCATTTGCCAATTGCACAAAAAGAGTGTTTCAAATCTGCTCTGTCTAAGGGAACGTTCAACTCTGTGAGTTGAATGTACACAACACAAGGAAGTTACTGGGAAAACTTCTGTCTAGCCTTACATGAAAAAAACCCGTTTCCAACGAAGGCCTCTAAGTGGTCAAGTTATCCACGTGCAGACTTTACAAACAGAGTGTTTCCAAACTGCTGAATGAAAAGAAAAGTTAAACTTCTGAGAGTTGAACGCACACATCGCAGAGCAGTTTCTGAGAATGATTCTGTCTAGTTTTGATACGAAGATATTTCCTTTTCTGCCTTTGGCCTCAAAGCGCTTGAAATCTCCACTTGCAAATTCCACAAAAAGAGTGTTTCAAATCTGCTCTGTGTAAATGAAAGTTCAACTCTGTGAGTTGAACACACACAACACAAGGAAGTTACTGGGAATTCTTCTGTCTAGCAGAATATGAAGAAATCCCGTTTCCAACGAAGGCCTCAAAGAAGTCTGAATATCCACTTGCAGACTTTACAAACAGAGTGTTTCCCAACTGCTCTATGAAAAGAAAGGTTGAACTCTGTGAGTTGAACGCACACATCACAAAGGAGTTTCTGAGAATCATTCTGTGTAGTTTTTATACGAAGATATTTCCTTTTCTAACGTTGACCTCAAAATGGCTGAAATCTCCACTTGCAAATTCCACAAAAAGAGTGTTTCAAGTCTGCTCTGTGTAAAGGATCGTTGAACTCTGTGAGTTGAAAACACACAACACAACGAAGTTTCTGAGAATTCTTCTGTCTAGCAGAATATGAAGAAATCCCGTTTCCAACGAAGGCCACATGATGTCAGAATATCCACTTACAGAATTTACAAACAGACTGTTTCCTAACTGCTCTATGAAAAGAAAGGTTAAACTCTGTGAGTTGAACGAACACATCACAACGCAGTTTGTGGGAATGATTCTGTCTAGTTTTGAAACGAAGATATTTCCTTTTCTGCCATTGAACGTAAAGCGCTTGAAATCTCCTTTTGCCAATTGCACAAAAAGAGTGTTTCAAATCTGCTCTGTCTAAGGGAACGTTCAACTCTGTGAGTTGAATGTACACAACACAAGGAAGTTACTGGGAATTCTTCTGTCCAGCCTTACATGAAAAAAACCCGTTTCCAACGAAGGCCTCAAAGAAGTCCAAGTATCCACGTGCAGACTTAACAAACAGAGTGTTTCCTAACTGCTCTATGAAAAGAAAGGTTAAACTCTGTGAGTTGAACGCACACATCACAAAGAAGTTTCTGAGAATCATTCTGTCTAGTTTTTATACGAAGATATTTCCTTTTCTACCATTGACCTCAAAGCGGCTGAAATCTCCACTTGCAAATTCCTCAAAAAGAGTGTTTCAAGTCCTCTCTGTGTAAAGGATCGTTCAACTCTGTGAGTTGAATACACACAACACAAGGAAGTTACTGGGAATTCTTCTGTCTAGCAGAATATGAAGAAATCCCGTTTCCAACGAAGGCCTCAAAGGGGTCTGAATATCCACTTGCAGACTTTACAAACAGAGTGTTTCCTAACTGCTCCATGAGAAGAAAAGTTAAACTCTGTGAGTTGAACGCACACATCACAAAAGATTTTCTGAGAATCATTCTGTCTAGTTTTTATACGAAGATATTTCCTTTTCTACCATTGACCTCAAAGCGCCTGAAATCTCCACTTGCAATTTCCACAAAAAGAGTGTTTCAAGTCTGCTCTGTGTAAAGGATCGTTCAACTCTGTGAGTTGAATACACACAACACAAGGAAGTTTCTGAGAATTCTTCTGTCTAGCAGAATATGAAGAAATCCCGTTTCCAACGAAGGCCTCAAAGAGGTCTGAATATCCACTTGCAGACTTTACAAACAGAGTGTTTCCTAACTGCTCTATGAAAAGAAAAGTTAAACTCTGTGAGTTGAACGCACACATCACAACGCAGTTTGTGGGAATGATTCTGTCTAGTTTTCAAACGAAGATATTTCCTTTTCTGCTATTGACCTTAAAGCGCTTGAAATCTACACTTGCAAATTGCACAAATAGAGTGTTTCGAATCTGCTCTGTCTAAGGGAACGTTCAACTCTGTGAGTTGAATGCACACAACACAAGGAAGTTACTGGGAATTCTTCTGTCTAGCCTTACAGGAAAAAAACCCGTTTCCAACGAAGGCCTCTAAGTAGTCAAATTATCCACGTGCAGACTTTACAAACAGAGTGTTTCCAAACAGCTGAATGAAAAGAAGAGTTAAACTCTGAGAGTTGAACGCACACATCGCAGAGCAGTTTCTGAGAATGATTCTGTCTAGTTTTTATACGAAGATATTTCCTTTTCTGCCTTTGGCCTCAAAGCCCTTAAAATCTCCACTTGCAAATTCCACAAAAAGAGTGTTTCAAATCTGCTCTGTGTAAATGAAAGTTCAACTCTGTGAGTTGAACACACACAACACAAGGAAGTTACTGGGAATTCTTCTGTCTAGCAGAATATGAAGAAATCCCGCTTCCAACGAAGGCCTCAAAGAAGTCTGAATATCCACTTGCAGACTTTACAAACAGAGTGTTTCCCAACTGCTCTATGAAAAGAAAGGTTGAACTCTGTGAGTTGAACGCACGCATCACAAAGGAGTTTCTGAGAATCATTCTGTCTAGTTTTTATACGAAGATATTTCTTTTTCTACCATTGACCTCAAAGCGGCTGAAATCTCCACTTGCAAATTCCACAAAAAGGGTGCTTCAAGTCTGCTCTGTGTAAAGGATCGTTCAACTCTGTGAGTTGAATACACACAACACAAGGAAGTTACTGAGAATTCTTCTGTCTAGCGGAATATGAAGAAATCCCGTTTCCAACGAAGGCCACAAGATGTCAGAATATCCACTTACAGAATTGACAAACAGACTGTTTCCTAACTGCTCTATGAAAAGAAAGGTTAAACTCTGTGAGTTGAACGAACACATCACAACGCAGTTTGTGGGAATGATTCTGTCTAGTTTTGAAACGACGATATTTCCTTTTCTGCCATTGACCTTAAAGCGCTTGAAATCTCCATTTGCCAATTGCACAAAAAGAGTGTTTCAAATCTGCTCTGTCTAAGGGAACGTTCAACTCTGTGAGTTGAATGTACACAACACAAGGAAGTTACTGGGAATTCTTCTGTCTAGCCTTACAGGAAAAAAAACCGTTTCCAACAAAGGCCACTAAGTGGTCAAAATATCCACGTGCAGACTTTACAAACAGAGTGTTTCCAAACTGCTGAATGAAAAGAAAAGTTAAACTCTGAGAGTTGAACGCACACATTGCAGAGCAGTTTCTGAGTATGATTCTGTCTAGTTTTTGTACGAAGATATTTCCTTTTCTGCCTTTGGCCTCAAAGCGCTTGAAATCTCCACTTGCAAATTCCACAAAAAGAGTGTTTCAAGTCTGCTCTGTGTAAAGGATCGTTCAACTCTGTGAGTTGAATACACACAACACAAGGAAGTTACTGAGAATTCTTCTCTCTAGCAGAATATGAAGAAATCCCGTTTTCAACGAAGGCCTCAAAGAGGTATGAATATCCACTTGCAGACTTTACAAACAGTGTGTTTCCTAACTGCTCTATGAAAAGAAAGGTTAAACTCTGTGAGTTGAACGCACACATCACAAAGGAGTTTCTGAGAATCATTCTGTCTAGTTTCTATAGGAAGATATTTCCTATTCTACCATTGACCTCAAAGCGGCTGAAATCTCCACTTGCAAATTCCACAAAAAGAGTGTTTCAAGACTGATCTGTGTAAAGGATCATTCAACTCTGTGAGTTGAATACACACAACACAAGGAAGTTACTGAGAATTCTTCTGTCTAGCAGAATATGAAGAAATCCCGTTTCCAACGAAGGCCACAAGATGTCAGAATATCCACTTACAGAATTGACAAACAGACTGTTTCCTAACTGCTCTATGAAAAGAAAAGTTAAACTCTGTGAGTTGAACGAACACATCACAACGCAGTTTGTGGGAATGATTCTGTCTAGTTTTGAAACGAAGATATTTCCTTTTCTGCCATTGACCTTAAAGCGCTTGAAATCTCCACTTGCCAATTGCACAAAAAGAGTGTTTCAAATCTGCTCTGTCTAAGGGAACGTTCAACTCTGTGAGTTGAATGTACACAACGCAAGGAAGTTACTGGGAATTCTTCTGTCTAGCCTTACAGGAAAAAAATCCGTTTCCAACGAAGGCCTCTAAGTGGTCAAAATATCCACGTGCAGACTTTACAAACAGAGTGTTTCCAAACTGCTGAATGAAAAGAAAAGTTAAACTCTGAGAGTTGAACGCACACATCGCAGAGCAGTTTCTGAGAATGATTCTGTCTAGTTTCTATTGGAAGATATTTCCTATTCTACCATTGACCTCAAAGCGGCTGAAATCTCCACTTGCAAATTCCACAAAAAGAGTGTTTCAAGACTGTTCTGTGTAAAGGATCATTCAACTCTGTGAGTTGAATACACACAACACAAGGAAGTTACTGAGAATTCTTCTTTCTATCAGAATATGAAGAAATCCCGTTTCCAACGAAAGCCTCAACGATGTCTGAATATCCACTTGCAGACTTTACAAACAGAGTGTTTCCTAACTGCTCTATGAAAAGAAAGGTTAAACTCTGTGAGTTCAACGCACACATCACAAAGGAGTTTCTGAGAAACATTCTGTCTAGTTTCTATATGAAGATATTTCCTATTCTACCATTGACCTCAAAGCGGCTGAAATCTCCACTTGCAAATTCCACAAAAAGAGTGTTTCAAGTCTGCTCTGTGTAAAGGATCGTTCAACTCTGTGAGTTGAATACACACAACACAAAGAAGTTACTGAGAATTCTTCTGTCTAGCAGAATATGAAGAAATCCCGTTTCCAACGAAGGCCACAAGATGTCAGAATATCCACTTACAGACTTTACAAACAGAGTGTTTCCTCACTGCTCTATGAACAGAAAGGTTAAACTCTGTGAGTTGAACGAACACATCACAACGCAGTTTGTGGGAATGATTCTGTCTAATTTTGAAACGACGATATTTCCTTTTCTGCCATTGACCTTAAAGCGCTTGAAATCTACACTTGCAAATTGCACAAATAGAGTGTTTCAAATCTGCTCTGTCTAAGGGAACGTTCAACTCTGTGAGTTGAATGCACACAACACAAGGAAGTTACTGGGAATTCTTCTGTCTAGCCTTACATGAAAAAAACCCGTTTCCACGAAGGCCTCTAAGTGGTCAAAATTTCCACGTGCAGACTTTACAAACAGAGTGTTTCCAAACCGCTGAATGAAAAGAAAAGTTAAACTCTGAGAGTTGAACGCACACATCACGCAGCAGTTTCTGAGAATGATTCTGTCTAGTTTTTATACGAAGATATTTCCTTTTCTGCCTTTGGCCCCAAAGCGCTTGAAATCTCCACTTGCAAATTCCACAAAAACAGTGTTTCAAATCCGCTCTCTCTAAATGAAAGTTCAACTCTGTCAGTTGAATACACACAACACAAGGAAGTTACTGAGAATTCTTCTGTCTAGCATAATATGAAGAAATCCCGTTTCCAACGAAGGCCTCAAAGAGTTCTGAATATCCACTTGCAGACTTTACAAACAGAGTGTTTCCTAACTGCTCTATGAAAAGAAAAGTTAAACTTTGTGAGTTGAACGCACACATCACAAAGGAGTTTATGAGAATCATTCTGTCTAGTTTCTATAGGAAGATATTTCCTATTCTACCATTGACCTCAAAGCGGCAGAAATCTCCACTTGCAAATTCCACAAAAAGAGTGTTTCAAGACTGTTCTGTGTAAAGGATCATTCAACTCTGTGAGTTGAATACACACAACACAAGGAAGTTACTGAGAATTCTTCTGTCTAGCAGAATATGAAGAAATCCCGTTTCCAACGAAGGCCACAAGATGTCAGAATATCCACTTTCAGACTTTACAAACAGAGTGTTTCCTAACTGCTCTATGAACAGAAAGGTTAAACTCTGTAAGTTGAACGAACACATCACAACGCAGTTTGTGGGAATGATTCTGTCTAGTTTTGAAACGAAGATATTTCCTTTTCTGCCGTTGACCTTAAAGAGCTTGAAAACTACACTTGCAAATTGCAGAAATAGAGTGTTTCAAATCTGCTATGTCTAAGGGGACGTTCAACTCTGTGAGTTGAATGCACACAACACAAGGAAGTTACTGGGAATTCTTCTGTCTAGCCTTACAGGAAAAAAACCCGTTTGCAACGAAGGCCTCTAAGTGGTCAAAATATCCACGTGCAGACTTTACAAACAGAGTGTTTCCAAACTGCTGAATGAAAAGAAAAGTTAAACTCTGAGAGTTGAACGCACACATCGCAGAGCTGTTTCTGAGAATGATTCTGTCTAGTTTTTATAGGAAGATATTTCCTTTTCTGCCTTTGGCCACAAAGCGCTTGAAATCTCCACTTGCAAATTCCACAAAAACAGTGTTTCAAATCTGCTCTCTCTAAATGAAAGTTCAACTCTGTCAGTTGAATACACACAACACAAGGAAGTTACTGAGAATTCTTCTGTCTAGCAGAATATGAAGAAATCCTGTTTCCAACGAAGGCCTCAAGGAGGTCTGAATATCCACTTGCCGCCTTTACAAACAGAGTGTTTCCTAACTGCTCTATGAAAAGAAAGGTTAAACTCTGTGAGTTGAACGCACACTTCACAAAGGAGTTTATGAGAATCATTCTGTCTAGTTTCTATAAGAAGATATTTCCTATTCTACCATTGACCTCAAAGCGGCTGAAATCTCCACTTGCAAATTCGACAAAAAGAGTGTTTCAAGCCTGCTCTCTGTAAAGGATCCTTCAACTCTGTGAGTTGAATACACACAGCACAAGGAAGTTACTGAGAATTATTCTGTCTAGCATAATATGAAGAAATCCCGTTTCCAACGAAGGCCTCAAAGAGGTCTGAATATCCACTTGCAGACTTTACAAACAGAGTGTTTCCTACCTGCTCTATGAGAAGAAAAGTTAAACTCTGTGAGTTGAACGCACACATCACAAAAGATTTTCTGAGAATCATTTCTGTCTAGTTTTTATACGAAGATATTTCCTTTTCTACCATTGACCTCAAAGCGGCTGAAATCTCCACTTGCAAATTCCACAAAAAGAGTGTTTCAAATCTGCTCTGTCTAAGGGAACGTTCAACTCTGTGAGTTGAATGTACACAACACAAGGAAGTTACTGGGAATTCTTCTGTCTAGCCTTACATGAAAAAAACCCGTTTCCAACGAAGGCCTCTAAGTGGTCAAATTATCCACGTGCAGACTTTACAAACAGAGTGTTTCCTAACTGCTGAATGAAAAGAAAAGTTAAACTGTGAGAGTTGAACACACACATCGCAGAGCAGTTTCTGAGAATGATTCTGTCTAGTTTTTATACGAAGATATTTCCTTTTCTGCCTTTGGCCTCAAAGCGCTTGAAATCTCCATTTGCAAATTCCACAAAAAGAGTGTTTCAAATCTGCTCTGTGTAAATGAAAGTTCAACTCTGCGAGTTGAACACACACAACACAAGGAAGTTACTGGGAATTCTTCTGTCTAGCAGAATATGAAGAAATCCCGTTTCCAACGAAGGCCTCAAGGAGGTCTGAATATCCACTTGCAGACTTTATAAACAGAGTGTTTCCTAACTGCTCTATGAAAAGAAAGGTTAAACTCTGTGAGTTGAACGCACACATCACAAAGGAGTTTATGAGAATCATTCTGTCTAGTTTTGATACGAAGATATTTCCTTTTCTGCCATTGACCTTAAAGCGCTTGAAATCTACACTTGCAAATTCCACAAAAAGAGTGTTTCAAGTCTGCTCTGTGTAAAGGATCGTTCAACACTGTGAGTTGAATACACACAACACAAGGAAGTTACTGAGAATTCTTCTGTCTAGCAGAATATGAAGAAATCCCGTTTCCAACGAAGGCCACAAGATGTCAGAATATCCACTTACAGACTTTACAAACAGAGTGTTTCCTAACTGCTCTATGAACAGAAAGGTTAAACTCTGTGAGTTGAACGCACACATCACAAAGGAGTTTCTGAGAATCATTCTGTCTAGTTTTGAAACGAAGATATTTCCTTTTCTACCATTGACCTCAACGCGGGTGAAATCTCCATTTGCAAATTCCACAAAAAGAGTGTTTCAAATCTGCTCTGTGTAAATGAAAGTTCAACTCTGTGAGTTGAACACACACAACACAAGGAAGTTACTGGGAATTCTTCTGTCTAGCCTTACATGACAAAAACCCATTTCCAACGAAGGCCTCTAAGTGGTCAAAATATCCACGTGCAGACTTTACAAACAGAGTGTTTCCAAACTGCTGAATGAAAAGAAAAGTTAAACTCTGAGAGCTGAACGCACACATCGCAGAGCAGTTTCTGAGAATGATTCTGTCTAGTTTTTATACGAAGATATTTCGTTTTCTGCCTTTGGCCTCAAAGCGCTTGAAATCTCCACTTGCAAATTCCACAAAAACAGTGCTTCAAATCTGCTCTGTCTAAATGAAAGTTCAACTCTGTCAGTTGAATACACACAACACAAGGAAGTTACTGAGAATTCTTCTGTCTAGCCTTATATGAAAAAAACCCGTTTCCAACGAAGGCCTCAAAGAGGTCTGAATATCCACTTGCAGACTTTACAAACAGAGTGTTTCCTAACTGCTCTATGAAAAGAAAGGTTAAACTCTGTGAGTTGAACCCACACATCACAAAGGAGTTTCTGAGAATCATTCTGTCTAGTCTTTATACGAAGATATTTCCTTTTCTAGCATTGACCTCAAAGTGGCTGAAATCTCCACTTGCAAATTCCACAACAAGAGTGTTTCAAGTCTGCTCTGTGTAAAGGATCGTACAACTCTGTGAGTTGAATACACACAACACAAGGAAGTTACTGAGAATTCTTCTGTCTAGCAGAATATGAAGAAATCCCGTTTCCAACGAAGGTCTCAAGGAGGTCTGAATATCCACTTGCAGACTTTACAAACAGAGTGTTTCCTAACTGCTCTATGAACAGAAAGGTTAAACTCTGTGAGTTGAACGCACACATCACAAAAGAGTTTCTGAAAATCATTCTGTCTAGTCTTTATACGAAGATATTTCCTTTTGTACCATTGACATCAAAGCGGCTGAAATCTCCACTTGCAAATTCCACAAAAAGAGTGTTTCAAGTCTGCTCTGTGTAAAGGATCGTTCAACTCTGTGAGTTGAATACACACAACACGAGGAAGTTACTGAGAATTCTTCTGTCTAGCCTTACATGAAAAAAACCCGTTTCCAACGAAGGCCTCTAAGTGGTCAAAATATCCACGTGCAGTCTTTACAAACAGAGTGTTTCCAAACTTCTGAATGAAAAGAAAAGTTAAACTCTTGAGAGTTGAACGCACACATCGCAGAGCAGTTTCTGAGAATGATTCTGTCTAGTTTTTATACGAAGATATTTCCTTTTCTGCCTTTAGCCTCAAAGCGCTTGAAATCTCCACTTGCAAATTCCACAAAAAGAGTGTTTCAAATCTACTCTGTGTAAATGAAAGTTCAACTCTGTGAGTTGAACACACACAACACAAGGAAGTTACTGGGAATTCTTCAGTCTAGCATAATATGAAGAAATCCCGTTTCCAACGAAGGCCTCAAGGAGGTCTGAATATCCACTTGCAGACTTTACAAACAGAGTGTTTCCTAACTGCTCTATGAAAAGAATGGTTAAACTCTGTGAGTTAAACGCAGACATCACAAAGGAGTTTCTGAGAATCACTCTGTCTAGTCTTTATACGAAGATATTTCCTTTTCTACCATTGACCTCAAAGCGGCTGAAATCTCCACTTGCAAATTCCACAAAAAGAGTGTTTCAAGTCTGCTCTGTGGAAAGGATCGTTCAACTCTGTGAGTTGAATACACACAACACAAGGAAGTTACTGAGAATTCTTCTGTCTAGCATAATATGAAGAAATCCCGTTTCCAACGAAGGCCTCAAGGAGGTCTGAATATCCACTTGCAGACTTTTCAAACAGAGTGTTTCCTAACTGCTCTATGAAAAGAAAGGTTAAACTCTGTGAGTTGAACGCACACATCACAAAGGAGTTTCTGAGAATCATTCTGTCTAGTTTCTATAGGAAGATATTTCCTATTCTACCATTGACCTCAAAGCGGCTGAAATCTCCAATTGCAAATTCCACAAAAAGAGTGTTTCAAGACTGTTCTGTGTAAAGGATCAGTTCAACTCTGTGAGTTGAATACACACAACACAAGGAAGTTACTGAGAATTCTTCTGTCTAGCCTTACAGGAAAAAAACCCGTTTCCAACGAAGGCCTCTAAGTGGTCAGAATATCCACGTGCAGACTTTACAAACAGAGTTTTTCCACACTGCTGAATGAAAAGAAAAGTTAAACTCTGAGAGTTGAACGCACACATCGCAGAGCAGTTTCTGAGAATGATTCTGTCTAGTTTTTATACGAAGATATTTCCTTTTCTGCCTTTGGCCTCAAAGCGCTTGAAATCTCCACTTGCAAATTCCACAAAAAGAGTGTTTCAAATGTGCTCTGTGTAAATGAAAGTTCAACTCTGTGAGTTGAACACACACATCACAAGGAAAGTTACTGGGAATTCTTCTGTCTAGCCTTATATGAAAAAAACCCGTTTCCAACGAAGGCCTCAAAGAGGACTGAATATCCACTTGCAGACTTTACAAACAGAGTGTTTCCTAACTGCTCTATGAAAAGAAAGGTTAAACTCTGTGAGTTGAACGCACACATCACAAAGGAGATTCTGAGAATCATTCTGTCTAGTTTTTATACGAAGATATTTCCTTTTCTACCATTGACCTCAAAGCGGCTGAAATCTCCACTTGCAAATTCCACAAAAAGAGTGTTTCAAGTCTGCTCTGTGTAAAGGATCGTTCAACTCAGTGAGTTGAATACACACAACACAAGGAAGTTACTGAGAATTCTTCTGTCTAGCAGAATATGAAGAAATCCCGTTTCCAACGAAGGCCACAAGATGTCAGAATATCCACTTACAGACTTTACAAACAGAGTGTTTCCTAACTGCTCTATGAACAGAAAGGTTAAACTCTGTGTGTTGAACGCACACATCACAAAGGAGTTTATGAGAATCATTCTGTCTAGTTTCTATAGGAAGATATTTCCTATTCTACCATTGACCTCAAAGCGGCTGAAATCTCCACTTGCAAATTCCACAAAAACAGTGTTTCAAGTCTGCTCTCTGTAAAGGATCGTTCAAATCTGTGAGTTGAATACACACAACACAAGGAAGTTACTGAGAATTCTTCTGTTTAGCCTTACAGGAAAAAAACCCGTTTCCAACGAAGGCCTCTAAGTGGTCAAAATATCCACGTGCAGACTTTACAAACAGAGTGTTTCCAAACTGCTGAATGAAAAGAAAAGTTAAAATCTGAGAGTTGAACGCACACATCGCAGAGCAGTTTCTGAGAATGATTCTGTCTAGTTTTTATACGAAGATATTTCCTTTTCTACCATTGACCTCAACGCGGCTGAAATCTCCACTTGCAAATTCCACAAAACGAGTGTTTCAAGTCTGCTCTGTGTAAAGTATCGTTCAACTCTGTGAGTTGAATACACACAACACAAGGAAGTTACTGAGAATTCTTCTGTCTAGCAGAATATGAAGAAATCCCTTTTCCACCGAAGGCCTCAAGGAGGTCTGAATATCCACTTGCAGACTTTACAAACAGAGTGTTTCCTAACTGCTCTATGAACAGAAGGGTTAAACTCTGTGAGTTGAACGCACACATCACAAAGGAGTTTCTGAGAATCATCTGTCTAGTCTTTATACGAAGATATTTCCTTTTCTACCATTGACCTCAAATTGGCTGAAATCTGCACTTGCAAATTCCACAAAAAGAGTGTTTCAAGTCTGCTCTGTGTAAAGGATCGTTCAAATCTGTGAGTTGAATACACACAACACAAGGAAGTCACTGAGAATTCTTCTGTCTAGCAGAATATGAAGAAATCCCGTTTCCAACGAAGGCCTCAAGGAGGTCAGAATATCCTCTTGCAGACTTTACAAACAGAGTGTTTCCTAACTGCTCAATGAAAAGAAAGGTTAAACTCTGTGAGTTAAACGCACACATCATAAAGGAGTTTCTGAGAATCATTCTGTCTAGTTTTGAAACGAAGATATTTCCTTTTCTGCCATTGACCTTAAAGCGCTTGAAATCTCCACTTGCCAATTGCACAAAAAGAGTGTTTCAAATCTGCTCTGTCTAAGGGAACGTTCAACTCTGTGAGTTGAATGTACACAACGCAAGGAAGTTACTGGGAATTCTTCTGTCTAGCCTTACATGAAAAAAACCCGTTTCCAACGAAGGCCTCTAAGTGGTCAAAATTTCCACGTGCAGACTTTACAAACAGAGTGTTTCCAAACTGCTGAATGAAAAGAAAAGTTAAACTCTGAGAGTTGAACGCACACATCACGCAGCAGTTTCTGAGAATGATTCTGTCTAGTTTTTATACGAAGATATTTCCTTTTCTGCCTTTGGCCCCAAAGCACTTGAAATCTCCACTTGCAAATTCCACAAAAAGAGTGTTTCAAATCTGCTCTCTCTAAATGAAAGTTCAACTCTGTCAGTTGAATACACACAACACAAGGAAGTTACTGAGAATTCTTCTGTCTAGCATAATATGAAGAAATCCCGTTTCCAACGAAGGCCTCAAAGGGGTCTGAATATCCACTTGCAGACTTTATAAACAGAGTGTTTACTAACTGCTCTATGAAAAGAAAGGTTAAACTCTGTGAGTTCAACACACACATCACAAAGGAGTTTCTGAGAACCATTCTGTCTAGTTTCTATAGGAAGATATTTCCTATTCTACCATTGACCTCAAAGAGGCTGAAATCTCCACCTGCAAATTCCACAACAAGAGTGTTTCAAGTCTGCTCTGTGTAAAGGATCGTTCAACTCTGTGAGTTGAATACACACAACACAAGGAAGTTATTGAGAATTCTTCTGTCTAGCATAGTATGGAGAAATCCCGTTTCCATCGAAGGCCTCAAAGAGGTCTGAATATCCACTTGCAGAGTTTACAAACAGAGTGTTTCCTAACTGCTCTATGAAAAGAAAGGTTAAACTCTGTGAGTTGAACGAACACATCACAACGCAGTTTGTGGGAATGATTCTGTCTAGTTTTGAAACGAAGATATTTCCTTTTCTGCCGTTGACCTTAAAGCGCTTGAAATCTACACTTGCAAATTGCACAAATAGAGTGTTTCAAATCTGCTCTGTCTTAGGGAACGTTCAACTCCGTGAGTTGAATGCACACAACACAAGGAAGTTACTGGGAATTCTTCTGTCTAGCCTTACAGGAAAGAAACCCGTTTCCAACGAAGGCCTCTAAGTGGTCAAAATATCCACGTGCAGACTTTACAAACAGAGTGTTTCCAAACTGTTGAATGAAAAGAAAAGTTAAACTCTGAGAGTTGAACGCACACATCGCAGAGCAGTTTCTGAGAATGATTCTGTCTAGTTTTTATACGAAGATATTTCCTTTTCTGCCTTTGGCCCCAAAGCGCTTGAAATCTCCATTTGCAAATTCCACAAAAACAGTGTTTCAAATCTGCTCTCTCTAAATGAAAGTTCAACTCTGTCAGTTGAATACACACAACACAAGGGAAGTTACTGAGAATTCTTCTGTCTAGCATAATATGAAGCAATCCCGTTTCCAACGAAGGCCTCAAAGGGGTCTGAATATCCACTTGCAGACTTTATAAACAGAGTGTTTACTAACTGCTCTATGAAAAGAAAGGTTAAACTCTGTGAGTTGAACACACACATCACAAAGGAGTTTCTGAGAATCATTCTGTCTATTTTCTGTAGGAAGATATTTCCTATTCTACCTTTGACCTCAAAGCGGCTGAAATCTCCACTTCCAAATTCCACAAAAAGAGTGTTTCAAGTCTGCTCTCTGTAAAGGATCGTTCAACTCTGTGAGTTGAATACACACAACACAAGGAAGTTACTGAGAATTATTCTGTCTAGCAGAATATGAAGAAATCCCTTTTCCAACGAAGGCCACAAGATGTCAGAATATCCACTTACAGACTTTACAAACAGAGTGTTTCCTAACTGCTCTATGAACAGAAAGGTTAAACTCTGTGAGTTGAACGAACACATAACAACGCAGTTTGTGGGAATGATTCTGTCTAGTTTTGAAACGAAGATATTTCCTTTTCTGCCATTGACCTTAAAGCGCTTGAAATCTACACTTGCAAATTTCACAAATAGAGTGTTTCAAATCTGCTCTGTCTAAGGGAACGTTCAACTCTGTGAGTTGAATGCACACAACACAAGGAAGTTACTGGGAATTCTTCTGTCTAGCCTTACATGAAAAAAACCCGTTTCCAACGAAGGCGTCTAAGTGGTCAAAATATCCACGTGCAGACTTACAAACAGAGTGTTTCCAAACCGCTGAATGAAAAGAAAAGTTAAACTCTGAGAGTTGAACGAACACATCACGCAGCAGTTTCAGAGAATGATTCTGTCTAGTTTTGAAACGAAGATATTTCCTTTTCTGCCTTTGACCTCAAAGCGCTTGAAATCTCCACTTGCAAATTCCACAAAAAGAGTGTTTCAAATCTGCTCTGTGTAAATGAAAGTTCAACTCTGTGAGTTGAACACACACAACACAAGGAAGTTACTGGGAATTCTTCTGTCTAGCACAGTATGAAGAAATCCCGTTTCCAACGAAGGCCTCAAAGAGGTCTGAATATCCACTTGCAGAGTTTACAAACAGAGTGTTTCCTAACTGCTCTATGAAAAGAAAGGTTAAACACTGTGAGTTGAACGCACACATCACAAAGAAGTTTCTGAGAATCATTCTGTCCAGTTTTTATACGAAGATATTTCCTTTTCTACCATTGACCTCAACGCGGCTGAAATCTCCAGTTGCAAATTCCACAAAAAGAGTGTTTCAAGTCTGCTCTGTGTAAAGGATCGTTCAACTCTGTGAGTTGAATACACACAACACAAGGAAGTTACTGAGAATTCTTCTGTCTAGCATAGTATGAAGAAATCCCGTTTCCAACGAAGGCCTCAAAGAGGTCTGAATATCCACTTGCAGTGTTTACAAACAGAGTGTTTCCTAACTGTTCTATGAAAAGAAAGGTTAAACTCTGTGAGTTGAACGCACACATCACAAAGAAGTTTCTGAGAATCATTCTGTCTAGTTTTGAAACGAAGATATTTCCTTTTCTGCCATTGACCTTAAAGCGCTTGTAATCTCCACTTGCCAATTGCCCAAAAAGAGTGTTTCAAATCTGCTCTGTCTAAGGGAGCGTTCAACTCTGTGAGTTGAATGTACACAACAGAAGGAAGTTACTGGGAATTCTTCTTTTTAGCCTTACAGGAAAAAAACCCGTTTCCAACGAAGGCCTCTAAGTGGTCAAAATATCCACGTGCAGACTTTACAAACAGAGTGTTTCCAAAATGCTGAATGAAAAGAAAAGTTAAACTCTGAGAGTTGAACGCACACATCGCAGAGCAGTTTCTGAGAATGATTCTGTCTAGTTTTTATACGAAGATATTTCCTTTTCTGCCTTTGGCCTCAAATCGCTTGAAATCTCCACTTGCAAATTCCACAAAAAGAGTGTTTCAAATCTGCTCTGTGTAAATGAAAGTTCAACTCTGTGAGTTGAACACACACAACACAAGGAAGTTACTGGGAATTCTTCTGTCTAGCATAATATGAAGAAATCCCGTTTCCAACGAAGGCCTCAAAGGGGTCTGAATATCCACTTGTAGACTTTATAAACAGAGTGTTTACTAACTGCTCTATGAAAAGAAAGGTTAAACTCTGTGAGTTGAACACACACATCACAAAGGAGTTTCTGAGAATCATTCTGTCTAGTTTCTATAGGAAGATATTTCCTATTCTACCATTGACCTCAAAGCGGCTGAAATCTCCACTTGCAAATTCCACAAAAAGAATGTTTCAAGTCTGCTCTGTGTAAAGGATCGTTCAACTCTGTGAGTTGAATACACACAACACAAGGAAGTTACTGAGAATTATTCTGTCTAGCATAGTATGAAGAAATCCAGTTTCCAACGAAGGCCACAAGATGTCAGAATATCCATTTACAGAATTTACAAACAGACTGTTTCCTAACTGCTCTATGAAAAGAAAGGTTAAACTCCTGTGAGTTGAACGAACACATCACAACGCAGTTTGTGGGAATGATTCTGTCTAGTTTTGAAACGAAGATATTTCCTTTTCTGCCATTGACCTTAAAGCGCTTGAAATCTCCGCTTGCCAATTGCACAAAAAGAGTGTTTCAAATCTGCTCTGTCTAAGGGAACGTTCAACTCTGTGAGTTGAATGTACACAACACAAGGAAGTTACTGGGAATTCTTCTGTCTAGCCTTACAGGAAAAAAACCCGTTTCCAACGAAGGCCTCTAAGTGGTCAAAATATCCACGTGCAGACTTTAGAAACAGAGTGTTTCCAAACTGCTGAATGAAAAGAAAAGTTAAACTCTGAGAGTTGAACGCACACATTGCAGAGCAGTTTCTGAGAATGATTCTGTCTAGTTTTTATATGAAGATATTTCCTTTTCTGCCATTGACCTCAAAGCGCTTGAAATCTCCACTTGCAAATTCCACAAAAAGAGTGTTTCAAATCTGCTCTGTGTAAATGAAAGTTCAACTCTGTGAGTTGAACACACACAACACAAGGAAGTTACTGGGAATTGTTCTGTCTAGCAGAATATGAAGAAATCCCGTTTCCAACGAAGGCCTCAAGGAGGTCTGAATATCCACTTGCAGACTTTACAAATAGAGTGTTTCCTAACTGCTCTATGAAAAGAAAGGTTAAACTCTGTGAGTTGAACGCACACATCACAAAGGAGTTTATGAGAATCATTCTGTCTAGTTTTGAAACGAAGATATTTCCTTTTCTGCCTTTGGCCTCAACGCGGCTGAAATCTCCACTTGCAAATTCCACAAAAAGAGTGTTTCAAGTCCGCTCTGTGTAAAGGATCGTTCAACTCTGTGAGTTGAATACACACAACACAAGGAAGATTCTGAGAATTCTTCTGTCTAGCAGAATATGAAGAAATCCCGTTTCCAACGAAGGCCACAAGCTGTCAGAATATCCACTTACAGAATTGACAAACAGACTGTTTCCTAACTGCTCTATGAAAAGAAAGGTTAAACTCTGTGAGTTGAACGAACACATCACAACGCAGTTTGTGGGAATGATTCTGTCTAGTTTTGAAACGAAGATATTTCCTTTTCTGCCATTGACCTTAAAGCGCTTGAAATCTCCACTTGCCAATTGCACAAAAAGAGTGTTTCAAATCTGCTCTGTCTAAGGGAACGTTCAACTCTGTGACTTGAATGTACACAACACAAGGAAGTTACTGGGAATTCTTCTGTCTAGCCTTACAGGAAAGAAACCCGTTTCCAACGAAGGCCTCTAAGTGGTCAAAATATCCACGTGCAGACTTTACAAACAGAGTGTTTCCAAACTGCTGAATGAAAAGAAAAGTTAAACTCTGAGAGTTGAACGCACACATCGCAGAGCAGTTTCTGAGAATGATTCTGTCTAGTTTTTATACGAAGATATTTCATTTTCTGCCTTTGGCCCCAAAGCGCTTGAAATCTCCACTTGCAAATTCCACAAAAACAATGTTACAAATCTGCTCTCTCTAAATGAAAGTTCGACTTTGTCAGTTGAATACACACAACACAGGGAAGTTACTGAGAATTCTTCTGTCTAGCCTTATATGAAAAAAACCCGTTTCCAACGAAGGCCTCAAGGAAGTCTGAATATCCACTTGCAGACTTTACAAACAGAGTGTTTCCTAACTGCTCTATGAAAAGAAAGGTTAAACTACTGTGAGTTGAACGCACACATCACAAAGGAGTTTCTGAGAATCATTCTGTCTACTTTTTATACGAAGATAATTCCTTTTCTACCATGGACCTCAAAGCGGCTGAAATCTCCACTTGCAAATTCCACAAAAAGAGTGTTTCAAGTCTGCTCTGTGTAAAGGATCGTTCAACTCTGTGAGTTGAATACACACAACACAAGGAAGATTCTGAGATTTCTTCTGTCTAGCAGAATATGAAGAAATCCCGTTTCCAACGAAGGCCACAAGATGTCAGAATATCCACTTACAGACTTTACAAACAGAGTGTTTCCTAACTGCTCTATGAACAGAAAGGTTAAACTACTGTGAGTTGAACGAACACATCACAACGCAGTTTGTGGGAATGATTTCTGTCTAGTTTTGAAACGAAGATATTTCCATTTCTGCCGTTGACCTTAAAGCGCTTGAAATCTACACTTGCAAATTGCACAAATAGAGTGTTTCAAATCTGCTCTGTCTAAGGGAACGTTCAACTCTGTGAGTTGAATGCACACAACACAAGGAAGTTACTGGGAATTCTTCTGTCTAGCCTTACAGGAAAAAAACCCGTTTCCAATGAAGGTCTCTAAGTGGTCAAATTATCCACGTGCAGACTTTACAAACAGAGTGTTTCCAAACTGCTGAATGAAAAGAAAAGTTAAACTCTGAGAGTTGAACGCACACATTGCAGAGCAGTTTCTGAGAATGATTCTCTCTAGTTTTTATACGAAGATATTTCCTTTTCTGCCTTTGGCCCCAAAGCGCTTGAAATCTCCACTTGCAAATTCCACAAAAACAGTGTTTCAAATCTGCTCTCTCTAAATGAAAGTTCAACTCTGTCAGTTGAATACACACAACACAAGGAAGTTACTGAGAATTCTTCTCTCAGGCATAATATGAAGAAATCCCGTTTCCAACGAAGGCCTCAAAGAGGTCTGAATATCCACTTGCAGAGTTTACAAACAGAGTGTTTCCTAACTGCTCTATGAAAAGAAAGGTTAAACTCTGTGAGTTGAACGCACACATCACAAAGAAGTTTCTGAGAATCATTCTGTCTAGTTTTTATACGAAGACATTTCCTTTTCTACCATTGACCTCAAAGCGGCTGAAATCTCCACTTGCAAATTCCACAAAAAGAGTGTTTCAAATCTGCTCTGTGTAAACCATCGCTCAACTCTGTGAGTTGAAGACACACAACACAAGGAAGATTCTGAGAATTCTTCTGTCTAGCAGAATATGAAGAAATCCCGTTTCCAACGAAGGCCAAAAGATGTCAGAATATCCACTTACAGAATTTACAAACAGAGTGTTTCCTAACTGCTCTATGAAAAGAATGGTTAAACTCTGTGGGTTGAACGAACACATCACAACGCAGTTTGTGGGAATGATTCTGTCTAGTTTTGAAACGAAGATATTTACTTTTCTGCCATTGACCTTAAAGCGCTTGAAATCTCCACTTGCCAATTGCACAAAAAGAGTGTTTCAAATCTGCTCTGTCTAAGGGAACGTTCAACTCTGTGTGTTGAATGTACACAACACAAGGAAGTTACTGGGAATTCTTCTGTCTAGCCTTACATGAAAAAAACCCGTTTCCATCGAAGGAATCTAAGTGGTCAAAATAGCCACGTGCAGACTTTACAAACAGAGTGTTTCCAAACTGCTGAATGAAAAGAAAAGTTAAACTCTGTGAGTTGAACGCACACATCACAAAGGAGTTTCTGAGAATCATTCTGTCTAGTTTCTATAGGAAGATATTTCCTATTCTACCATTGACCTCAAAGCGGCTGAAATCTCCACTTGCAAATTCCACAAATAGAGTGTTTCAAGTCTGTTCTGTGTAAAGGATCGTTCAACTCTGTGAGTTGAATACACACAACACAACGAAGTTACTGAGAATTCTTCTCTCTAGCAGAATATGTAGAAATCCCGTTTCCAACGATGGCCTCAAAGATGTCTGAATATCCACTTTCAGACTTTACAAACAGAGTGTTTCCTAACTGCTCTATGAAAAGAAAGGTTAAACTCTGTGAGTTGAACGCACACATCACAAAGGAGTTTCTGTGAATCATTCTGTCTAGTTTCTATAGGAAGATATTTCCTATTCTACCATTGAACTCAAAGCGGGCTGAAATCTCCACTTCCAAATTCCACAAAAAGAGTGTTTCAAGTCTGCTCTGTGTAAAGGATCATTCAACTCTGTGAGTTGAATACACACAACACAAGGAAGTTACTGAGAATTCTTCTGTCTAGCAGAATATGAAGAAATCCCGCTTCCAACGAAGGCCTCAAAGAAGTCTGAATATCCACTTGCAGACTTTACAAACAGAGTGTTTCCCAACTGCTCTATGAAAACAAAGGTTGAACTCTGTGAGTTGAACGCACACATCACAAAGGAGTTTCTGAGAATCATTCTGTCTAGTTTTTATAGGAAGATATTTCCTTTTCTACCTTTGACTTCAAAGCGGCTGAAATCTCCACTTGCAAATTCCACAAAAAGAGTGTTACAAGTCTGCTCTGTTTAAGGGAACCTTCAACTCTGTGAGTTGAATGTACACAACACAAGGAAGTTACTGGGAATTCTTCTGTCTAGCCTTACAGGAAAAAAACCCGTTTCCAACGAAGGCCTCTAAGTGGTCAAAATATCCACGTGCAGACTTTACAAACAGAGTTTTTCCACACTGCTGAATGAAAAGAAAAGTTAAACTCTGAGAGTTGAACGCACACATCGCAGAGCAGTTTCTGAGAATGATTCTGTCTAGTTTTTATACGAAGATATTTCCTTTTCTGCCTTTGGCATCAAAGCGCTTGAAATCTCCACTTGCAAATTCCACAAAAAGAGTGCTTCAAATCTGCTCTGTGTAAATGAAAGTTCAACTCTGTGAGTTGAACACACACAACACAAGGAAGTTACTGGGAATTCTTCTGTCTAGCATAATATGAAGAAATCCCGTTTCCAACGAAGGCCTCAAGGAGGTCTGAATATCCACTTGCAGACTTTACAAACAGAGTGTTTCCTAACTGCTCTATGAAAAGAAAGGTTAAACTCTGTGAGGTGAACGCACACATCACAAAGGAGTTTCTCAGAATCATTCTGTCTAGTTTCTATAGGAAGATATTTCCTATTCTACCATTGACCTCAAAGCGGCTGAAATCTCCACTTGCAAATTCCACAAAAAGAGTGCTTCAAGTCTGCTCTCTGTAAAGGATCGTTCAACTCTGTGAGTTGAATACACACAACACAAGGAAGTTACTGAGAATTCTTCTGTCTAGCATAGTATGAAGAAATCCCGTTTCCAACGAAGACCTCAAAGAGGTCTGAATATCCACTTGCAGAGTTTACAAACAGAGTGTTTCCTAACTGCTCTATGAAAAGAAAGGTTAAACTCCGTGAGTTGAACGCACACATCACAAAGAAGTTTCTGAGAATCATTCTGTCTAGTTTTGAAAGGAAGATATTTCCTTTTCTGCCATTGACCTTAAAGCGCTTGAAATCTCCACTTGCCAATTGCACAAAAAGAGTGTTTCAAATCTGCTCTGTCTAAGGGAACGTTCAACTCTGTGAGTTGAATGTACACAACACAAGGAAGTTACTGGGAATTCTTCTGTCTAGCCTTACAAGAAAGAAACCCGTTTCCAACGAAGGCCTCTAAGTGGTCAAAATATCCACGTGCAGACTTTACAAACAGAGTGTTTCCAAAGTGCTGAATGAAAAGAAAAGTTAAAATCTGAGAGTTGAACGCACACATCGCAGAGCAGTTTCTGAGAATGATTCTGTCTAGTTTTGAAACGAAGATATTTCCTTTTCTGCCTTTGGCCTCAAAGCGCTTGAAATCTCCACTTGCAAATTCCACAAAAAGAGTGTTTCAAATCTGCTCTGTGTAAATGAAAGTTCAACTCTGTGAGTCGAACACCCACAACACAAGGAAGTTACTGGGAATTCTTCTGTCTAGCCTTATATGAAAAAAACCCGTTTCCAACGAAGGCCTCAAAGAGGGCTGAATATCCACTTGCAGACTTTACAAGCAGAGTGTTTCCTAACTGCTCTATGAAAAGAAAGGTTAAACTCTGTGAGTTGAACGCACACATCTCAAAGGAGTTTCTGAGAATCATTCTGTATAGTTTCTATAGGAAGATATTTCCTATTCTACTATTGACAACAAAGCGGCTGAAATCTCCACTTGCAAATTCCACAAAAAGAGTGTTTCAAGTCTGCTCTGTGTAAAGGATCGTTCAACTCTGTGAGTTGAATTCACACAACACAAGGAAGTTACTGAGAATTCTTCTGTCTAGCAGAATATGAAGAAATCCCGTTTCCAACGAAGGCCACAAGATGTCAGAATATCCACTTACAGAATTGACAAACAGACTGTTTAATAACTGCTCTATGAAAAGAAAGGTTAAACTCTGTGAGTTGAACGAACACATCACAACGCAGTTTGTGGGAATGATTCTGTCTAGTTTTGAAACGAAGATATTTCCTTTTCTGCCGTTGACCTTAAAGCGCTTGAAATCTACACTTGCAAATTGCACAAATAGAGTGTTTCAAATCTGCTCTGTCTAAGGGAACGTTCAACTCTGTGAGTTGAATGCACACAACACAAGGAAGTTAGTGGGAATTCTTCTGTCTAGCCTTACATGAAAAAAACACGTTTCCAACGTAGGCCTCAAAGAGGTCTGAATATCCACTTGCAGACTTTACAAACAGAGTGTTTCCTAACTGCTCTATGAACAGAAAGGTTAAACTCTATGAGTTGAACGCACACATCACAAAGGAGTTTCAGAGAATCGTTCTGTCTAGTTTTTATACGAAGATATTTCCTTTTCTGCCTTTGGCCCCAAAGCGCTTGAAATCTCCACTTGCAAATTCCACAAAAACAGTGTTTCAAAAATGCTCTCTCCAAATGAAAGTTCAACTCTGTCAGTTGAATACACACAACACAAGGAAGTTACTGAGAATTCTTCTGTCTAGCCTTATATGAAAAAAACCCGTTTCCAACGAAGGCCTCAAAGAGGTCTGAATATCCACTTGCAGACTTTACAAACAGAGTGTTTCCTAACTGCTCTATGAACAGAAAGGTTAAACTCTGTGAGTTGAACGCACACATCACAAAGGAGTTTCTGAGAATCTTTCTGTCTAGTTTTTATACGAAGATATTTCCTTTTCTACCATGGACCTCAAAGCGGCTGAAATCTCCACTTGCAAATTCCACAAAAAGAGTGTTTCAAGTCTGCTCTGTGTAAAGGATCGTTCAACTCTGTGAGTTGAATGTACAACAACACAAGGAAGTTACTGGGAATTCTTCTGTCTAGCAGAATATGAAGAAATCCCGTTTCCAACGAAGGCCACAAGATGTCAGAATATCCACTTACAGAATTTACAAACAGACTGTTTCCTAACTGCTCTATGAAAAGAAAGGTTAAACTCTGTGATTTGAACGAACACATCACAACGCAGTTTGTGGGAATGATTCTGTCTAGTTTTGAAACGAAGATATTTCCTTTTCTGCCGTTGACCTTAAAGCGCTTGAAATCTACACTTGGAAATTGCACAAATAGAGTGTTTCAAATCTGCTCTGTCTAAGGGAACGTTCAACTCTGTGAGTTGAATGCACACAACACAAGGAAGTTACTGGGAATTCTTCTGTCTAGCCTTACACGAAAAAAACCCGTTTCCAACGAAGGCCTCTAAGTGGTCAAAATATCCACGTGCAGACTTTACAAACAGAGTGTTTCCAAACTGCTGAATGAAAAGAAAACTTAAACTCTGAGAGTTGAACGCACACATCGCAGAGCAGTTTCTGAGAATGATTCTGTCTAGTTTTTATACGAACATATTTCCTTTTCTGCCTTTGGCCTGAAAGCGCTTGAAATCTCCACTTGCAAATTCCACAAAAAGAGTGTTTCAAATCTGCTCTGTGTAAATCAAAGTTCAACTCTGTGAGTTGAACACACACAACACAAGGAAGTTACTGGGAATTCTTCTGTCTAGCATAATATGAAGAAATCCCGTCTCCAACGAAGGCCTCAAAGGGGTCTGAATATCCACTTGCAGACTTTATAAACAGAGTGTTTACTAACTGCTCTATGAAAAGCAAGGTTAAACTCTGTGAGTTGAACACACACATCACAAAGGAGTTTCTGAGAATCATTTTGTCTAGGTTCTATAAGAAGATATTTCCTATTCTACCATTGACCTCAAAGCGGCTGAAATCTCCACTTGCAAATTCGACAAAAAGAGTGTTTCAAGCCTGCTCTCTGTAAAGGATCCTTCAACTCTGTGAGTTGAATACACACAACACAAGGAAGTTACTGAGAATTATTCTGTCTAGCAGAATATGAAGAAATCCCGTTTCCAACGAAGGCCACAATATGTCAGAATATCCACTTACAGACTTTACAAACAGAGTGTTTCCTAACTGCTCTATGAACAGAAAGGTTAAACTCTGTGAGTTGAACGAACACATCACAACGCAGTTTGTGGGAATGATTCTGTCTAGTTTTGAAACGAAGATATTTCCTTTTCTGCCTTTGAACTTAAAGCGCTTGAAATCTCCATTTGCCAATTGCACAAAAAGAGTGTTTCAAATCTGCTCTGTCTAAGGGAACGTTCAACTCTGTGAGTTGAATGAACACAACACAAGGAAGTTACTGGGAATTCTTCTGTCTAGCCTTACAGGAAAAAAACCCGTTTCCAACGAAGGCCTCTAAGTGGTCAAAATATCCACGTGCAGACTTTACAAACAGAATTTTTCCACACTGCTGAATGAAAAGAAAAGTTAAACTCTGAGAGTTGAACGCACACATCGCAGAGCAGTTTCTGAGAATGATTCTGTCTAGTTTTGAAACGAAGATATTTCCTTTTCTGCCTTTGGCCTCAAAGCGCTTGAAATCTCCACTTGCAACTTCCACAAAAAGAGTGTTTCAAATCTGCTCTGTGTAAATGAAAGTTCAACTCTGTGAGTTGAACACACACAACACAAGGAAAGTTACTGGGAATTCTTCTGTCTAGCAGAATATGAAGAAATCCCGTTTCCAACGAAGGCCACAAGGAGGTCTGAATATCCACTTGCAGACTTTTCAAACAGAGTGTTTCCTAACTGCTCTATGAAAAGAAAGGTTAAACTCTGTGAGTTGAACACACACATCACAAAGGAGTTTCTGAGAATCATTCTGTCTAGTTTCTATAGGAAGATATTTCCTATTCTACCATTGACCTCAAAGCGGCTGAAATCTCCACTTGCAAATTCCACAAGAAGAGTGTTTCAAGTATGCTCTGTGTAAAGGATCGTTCAACTCTGTGAGTTGAATACACACAACACAAGGAAGTTACTGAGAATTCTTCTGTCTAGCAGAATATGAAGAAATCCCGTTTCCAACGAAGGCCACAAGATGTCAGAATATCCACTTACAGAGTTTACAAACAGAGTGTTTCCTAACTGCTCTATGAACAGAAAGGTTAAACTCTGTGAGTTGAACGAACACATCACAACGCAGTTTGTGGGAATGATTCTGTCTAGTTTTGAAACGAAGATATTTCCTTTTCTGCCGTTGACCTTAAAGAGCTTGAAAACTACACTTGCAAATTGCACAAATAGAGTGTTTCAAATCTGCTCTGTCTAAGGGAACGTTCAACTCTGTGAGTTGAATGCACACAACACAAGGAAGTTACGGGGAATTCTTCTGTCTAGCCTTACATGAAAAAAACCCGTTTCCAACGAAGGCCTCTAAGTGGTCAAATTATCCACGTGCAGACTTTACAAACAGAGTGTTTCCAAACTGCTGAATGAAAAGCAAAGTTAAACTCTGAGAGTTGAACGCACACATCGCAGAGCACTTTCTGAGAATGATTCTGTCTAGTTTTTATACGACGATATTTACGTTTCTGCTTTTGGCCCCAAAGCGCTTGAAATCTCCACTTGCAAATCCAAAAAAACAGTGTTTCAAATCTGCTCTCTCTAAATGAAAGTTCAACTCTGTCAGTTGAATACACACAACACAAGGAAGTTACTGAGAATTCTTCTGTCTAGCAGAATATGAAGAAATCCCGTTTCCAACGAAGACCTCAAAGAGGTCTGAATATCCACTTGCAGACTTTACAAACAGAGTGTTTCCTAACTGCTCTATGAAAAGAAAAGTTAAACTCTGTGAGTTGAACGCACACATCACAAAGGAGTTTCTGAGAATCATTCTGTCTAGTTTTTATACGAAGATATTTCCTATTCTACCATTGACCTCAAAGCGGCTGAAATCTCCAATTGCAAATTCCACAGAAAGCGTGTTTCAAGTCTGCTCTGTGTAAAGGATCGTTCAACTCTGTGAGTTGAATTCACACAACACAAGGAAGTTACTGAGAATTCTTCTGTCTAGCAGAATATGAAGAAATCCCGTTTCCAACGAAGGCCACAAGATGTCAGAATATCCACTTACAGACTTCACAAACAGAGTGTTTCCTAACTGCTCTATGAAGAGAAAGGTTAAACTCTGTGAGTTGAACGAACACATCACAACGCAGTTTGTGGGAATGATTCTGTCTAGTTTTGAAAATAAGATATTTCCTTTTCTGCCATTGACCTTAAAGCGCTTGAAATCTCCACTTGCCAATTGCACAAAAAGAGTGTTTCAAATCTGCTCTGTCTAAGGGAACGTTCAACTCTGTGAGTTGAATGTACACAACACAAGGAAGTTACTGGGAATTCTTCTGTCTAGCCTTACAGGAAAAATCCCGTTTCCAACGAATGCCTCTAAGTGGTCAAAATATCCACGTGCAGACTTTACAAACAGAGTGTTTCCAAACTGCTGAATGAAAAGAAAAGTTAAACTCTGAGAGTTGAACGCACACATCGCAGAGAAGTTTCTGAGAATGATTCTGTCTAGTTTCTATAGGAAGATATTTCCTATTCTACCATTGACCTCAAAGCGGCTGAAATCTCCACTTGCAAATTCCACAAAAAGAATGTTTCAAGTCTGCTCTGTGTAAAGGATCGTTCAACTCTGTGAGTTGAATACACACAACACAAGGAACTTACTGAGAATTATTCTGTCTAGCATAATATAAAGAAATCCCGTTTCCAACGAAGGCCTCAAAGAGGTCTGAATATCCACTTGCACACTTTACAAACAGAGTGTTTCCTAACTGCTCTATGAAAAGAAAAGTTAAACTCTGTGAGTTGAACGCACACATCACAAAGGAGTTTATGAGAATCATTCTGTCTAGTTTTTATACGAATATATTTCCTTTTCTTCCATTGACCTCAAAGCGGCTGAAATCTCCACCCTGCCAATTCCACAAAAAGAGTGTTTCAAGTCTACTCTGTGTAAAGGATCGTTGAACTCTGTGAGTTGAATACACACAACACAAGGAAGTTACTGAGAATTCTTCTGTCTAGCAGAATATGAAGAAATCCCGCTTCCAACGAAGGCCTCAAAGAAGTCTGAATATCCACTTGCAGACTTTACAAACAGAGTGTTTCCCAACTGCTCTATGAAAAGAAAGGCTGAACTCTGTGAGTTGAACGCACACATCACAAAGGAGTTTCTGAGAATCATTCTGTCTAGTTTTGAAACGAAGATATTTCCTTTTCTGCCATTGACCTTAAAGCGCTTGAAATCTCCACTTGCCAATTGCACAAAAAGAGTGTTTCAAATCTGCTCTGTCTAAGGGAACGTTCAACTCCTGTGAGTTGAATGTACAGAACACAAGGAAGTTACTGGGAATTCTTCTGTCTAGCCTTACATGAAAAAAACCAGTTTCCAACGAAGGCCTCTAAGTGGTCAAAATATCCACGTGCAGACTTTACAAACAGAGTGTTTCCAAACCGCTGAATGAAAAGAAAAGTTAAACTCTGAGAGTTGAACGCACACATCACGCAGCAGTTTCTGAGAATGATTCTGTCTAGTTTTTATACGAAGATATTTCCTTTTCTGCATTTGGCCCCAAAGCGCTTGAAATCTCCACTTGCAAATTCCACAAAAACAGTGTTTCCAATCTGCTCTCTCTAAATGAAATTCAACTCTGTCATTTGAATACACACAACACAAGGAAGTTACTGAGAATTCTTCTGTCTAGCAGAATAGGAAGAAATCCCGTTTCCAACGAAGGCCTCAAAGAGGTCTGAATATCCACTTGCAGACTTTACAAACAGAGTGTTTCCTAACTGCTCTATGAACAGAAAGGTTAAACTCTGTGAGTTGAACGCACACATCACAAAGGAGTTTCTGAGAATCGTTCTGTCTAGTTTCTATAGGAAGATATTTCCTATTCTACCATTGAACTCAAAGCGGCTGAAATCTCCACTTGCAAATTCCACAAAAAGAGTGTTTCAAGTCTGCTCTGTGTAAAGGATCGTTGAACTCTGTGAGTTGAATACACACAACACAAGGAAGTTACTGAGAATTCTTCTTTCTAGCAGAATATGAAGAAATCCCGTTTCCAACGAAAGCCTCAAGGATGTCTGAATATCCACTTGCAGACTTTACAAACAGAGTGTTTCCTAACTGCTCTATGAAAAGAAAGGTTAAACTCTGTGAGCTGAACGCACACATCACAAAGGAGTTTCTGAGAATCATTCTGTCTAGTTTCTATAGGAAGATATTTCCTATTCTACCATTGACCTCAAAGCGGCTGAAATCTCCACTTGCAAATTCCACAAAAAGAGTATTTCAAGTCTGCTCTGTGTAAAGGATCCGTTCAACTCTGTGAGTTGAATACACACAACACAAGGAAGTTACTGAGAATTCTTCTGTCTAGCCTTACATGAAAAAAACCCGTTTCCAACGAAGGACTCTAAGTGGTCAAGTTATCCACGTGCAGACTTTACAAACAGAGTGTTTCCAAACTGCTGAATGAAAAGAAAAGTTAAACTCTGAGAGTTGAACGCACACATCGCAGAGCAGTTTCTGAGAATGATTCTGTCTATTTTTTATACGAAGATATTTCCTTTTCTACCATTGACCTCAAAGCGGCTGAAATCTCCACTTGCAAATTCCACAAAAAGAGTGTTTCAAGTCTGCTCTGTGTAAAGGATCGTTCAACTCTGTGAGTTGAATACACACAACACAAGGAAGTAACTGAGAATTCTTCTGTCTAGCAGAATATGAAGAAATCCCGTTTCCAACGAAAGCCTCAAGGAGGTCTGAATATCCACTTGCAGACTTTACAAACAGAGTGTTTCCCAACTGCTCTATGAAAAGAAAGGTTGAACTCTGTGAGTTGAACACACACATCACAAAGGAGTTTCTGAGAATCATTCTGTCTAGTTTCTATAGGAAGATATTTCCTATTCTACCATTGACCTCAAAGCGGCTGAAATCTCCACTAGCAAATTCCACAAAAAGAGTGTTTCAAGACTGTTCTGTGTAAAGGATCATTCAACTCTGTGAGTTGAATACACACAACACAAGGAAGTTTCTGAGAATTCTTCTGTCTAGCAGAATATGAAGAAATCCCGTTTCCAACGAAGGCCACAAGATGTCAGAATATCCACTTACAGACTTTACAAACAGAGTGTTTCCTAACTGCTCTATGAACAGAAAGGTTAAACTACTGTGAGTTGAACGAACACATCACAACGCAGTTTGTGGGAATGATTTCTGTCTAGTTTTGAAACGAAGATATTTCCTTTTCTGCCATTGACCACAAAGCGCTTGAAATCTCCACTTGCCAATTGCACAAAAAGAGTGTTTCAAATCTGCTCTGTCTAAGGGAACGTTCAACTCTGTGAGTTGAATGTACACAACACAAGGAAGTTACTGGGAATTCTTCTGTCTAGCCTTACGTGAAAAAAACCCGTTTCCAACGAAGGCCTCTAAGTGGTCAAGTTATCCACGTGCAGACTTTACAAACAGAGTGTTTCCAAACTGCTGAATGAAAAGAAAAGTTAAACTCTGAGAGTTGAACGCACACATCGCAGAGTAGTTTCTGAGAATGATTCTGTCTAGTTTTGAAACGAAGATATTTCCTTTTCTGCCTTTGGCCTCAAAGCGCTTGAAATCTCCACTTGCAAATTCCACAAAAAGAGAGTTTCAAATCTGCTCTGTGTAAATGAAAGTTCAACTCTGTGAGTTGAACACACACAACACAAGGGAAGTTACTGGGAATTCTTCTGTCTATCAGAATATGAAGAAATCCCGTTTCCAACGAAGGCCTCAAAGAGGTCTGATTATCCACTTGCAGACATTACAAACTGAGTGTTTCCTAACTGCTCTATGAAAAGAAAGGTTAAACTCTGTGAGTTGAACGCACACATCATAAAGGAGTTTCTGAGAATCATTCTGTCTAGTTTTTATACGAAGATATTTCCTTTTCTACCATTGACCTCAAAGCGGCTGAAATCTCCACTTGCAAATTCCACAAAAAGAGTGTCTCAAGTCTGCTCTGTGTAAAGGATCGTTCAACTCTGTGAGTTGAATACACACAACACAGGGAAGTTACTGAGAATTCTTCTGTCTAGCAGAATATGAAGAAATCCCGTTTCCAACGAAGGCCACAATATGTCAGAATATCCACTTAAAGAATTGACAAACAGACTGTTTCCTAACTGCTCTATGAAAAGAAAGGTTAAACTCTGTGAGTTGAACGAACACGTCACAACGCAGTTTGTGGGAATGATTCTGTCTAGTTTTTATACGAAGATATTTCCTTTTATACCATTGACCTCAAAGCGGCTGAAATCACCACTTGCCAATTGCACAAAAAGAGTGTTTCAAATCTGCTCTGTCTTAGGGAACGTTCAACTCTGTGAGTTGAATGTACACAACACAAGGAAGTTACTGGGAATTCTTCTGTCTAGCCTTACAGGAAAAAAACCCGTTTCCAACGAAGTCCTCTAAGTGGTCAAGTTATCCACGTGCAGACTTTACAAACAGAGTGTTTCCAAACTGCTGAATGAAAAGAAAAGTTAAACTCTGAGAGTTGAACGCACACATCGCAGAGCAGTTTCTGAGAATGATTCTGTCTAGTTTTTATACGAATATATTTCCTTCTTTTCTGCCTTTGGCCTCAAAGCGCTTGAAATCTCCACTTGCAAATTCCACAAAAAGAGTGTTTCAAATCTGCTCTGTGCAAATGAAAGTTCAACTCTGTGAGTTGAACACACACAACACAAGGAAGTTACTGGGAATTCTTCTGTCTAGCAGAATATGAAGAAATCCCGTTTCCAAAGAAGGCCTCAAAGAGGTCTGAATATCCACTTGCAGACATTATAAACAGAGTGTTTCCTAACTGCTCTATGAAAAGAAAGGTTGAACTCTGTGAGTTGAACGCACACATCACAAAGGAGTTTCTGAGAATCATTCTGTCTAGTTTTTATACGAAGATATTTCCTTTTCTACCATTGACCTCAAAGCGGCTGAAATCTCCACTTGCAAATTACACAAAGAGAGTGTTTCAAGTCTACTCTGTGTAAAGCATCGTTCAACTCTGTGAGTTGAAAACACACAACACAAGGAAGTTTCTGAGAATTCTTCTGTCTAGCAGAATATGAAGAAATCCCGTTTCCACTGAAGGCCACAAGATGTCAGAATATCCACTTACAGAATTTACCAACAGAGTGTTTCCTAACTGCTCTATGAAAAGAAAGGTTAAACTCTGTGAGTTGAACGAACACATCACAACGCAGTTTGTGGGAATGATTCTGTCTAGTTTTGAAACGAAGATATTTCCTTTTCTGCCTTTGGCCTCAAAGCGCTTGACATCTCCACTTGCAAATTCCACAAAAAGAGTGTTTCAAATCTGCTCTGTGTAAATGAAAGTTCAACTCTGTGAGTTGAACACACACAACACAAGGGAAGTTACTGGGAATTCTTCTGTCTAGCCTTACATGAAAAAAACCCGTTTCCAAAGAAGGCCTCTAAGTGGTCAAATTATCCACGTGCAGACTTTACAAACAGAGTGTTTCCAAACTGCTGAATGAAAAGAAAAGTTAAACTCTGAGAGTTGAACGCACACATCGCAGTGCAGTTTCTGAGAATGATTCTGTCTAGTTTTGAAACGAAGATATTTCCTTTTCTGCCTTTGGCCTCAAAGCGCTTGAAATCTCCACTTGGAAATTCCACAAAAAGAGAGTTTCAAATCTGCTCTGTGTAAATGAAAGTTCAACTCTGTGAGTTGAACACACACAACACAAGGAAGTTACTGGGAATTCTTCTTTCTAGCAGAATATGAAGAAATCCCGTTTCCAACGAAAGCCTCAAGGAGGTCTGAATATCCACTTGCAGACTTTACAAACAGAGTGTTTCCCAACTGCTGTATGAAAAGAAAGGGTAAACTCTGTGAGTTGAACGCACACATCACAAAGGAGTTTCTGAGAATCATTCTGTCTACTTTCTATAGGAAGATATTTCCTATTCTACCATTGACCTCAAAGCAGCTGAAATCTCCACTTGCAAATTCCACAAAAGGAGTGTTTCAAGTCTGCTCTGTGTAAAGGATCGTTCAACTCTGTGAGTTGAATACACACAACACAAGGCAGTTACTGAGAATTCTTCTGTCTAGCAGAATATGAAGAAATCCCGTTTCCAACGAAGGCCACAGGATGTCAGAATATCCACTTACAGACATTACAAACAGAGTGTTTCCTAACTGCTCTATGAACAGAAAGGTTAAACTCTGTGAGTTGAACGAACACATCACAACGCAGTTTGTGGGAATGATTCTGTCTAGTTTTGAAACGAAGATATTTCCTTTTCTGCCATTGACCTTAAAGCGCTTGAAATCTACACTTGCAAATTGCACAAATAGAGTGTTTCAAATCTGCTCTGTCTAACGGAACGTTCAACTCTGTGAGTTGAATGCACACAACACAAGGAAGTTACTGGGAATTCTTCTGTCTAGCCTTACATGAAAAAATCCCGTTTCCAACGAAGGCCTCTAAGTGGTCAAAATTTCCACGTGCAGACTTTACAAACAGAGTGTTTCCAAACCGCTGAATGAAAAGAAAAGTTAAACTCTGAGAGTTCAACGCACACATCACGCAGCAGTTTCTGAGAATGATTCTGTCTAGTTTTTATACGAAGATATTTCCTTTTCTGCCTTTGGCCCCAAAGCGCTTGAAATCTCCACTTGCAACTTCCACAAAAACAGTGTTTCAAATCTGCTCTCTCTAAATGAAAGTTCAACTCTGTCAGTTGAATACACACAACACAAGGAAGTTACTGAGAATTCTTCTGTCTAGCATAGTATGAAGAAATCCCGTTTCCAACGAAGGCCTCAAACAGGTCTGAATATCCACTTGCAGAGTTTACAAACAGAGTGTTTCCTAACTGCTCTATGAAAAGAAAGGTTAAACTCTGTGAGTTGAACGCACACATCACAAAGAAGTTTTTGAGAATCATTCTGTCTAGTTTCTATAGGAAGGTATTTCCTATTCTACCATTGACCTCAAAGCGGCTGAAATCTCCACTTGCAAATTCCACAAAAAGAGTGTTTCAAGACTGTACTGTGTAAAGGATCATTCAACTCTGTGAGTTGAATACACACAACACAAGGAAGTTACTGAGAATTCTTCTGTCTAGCAGAATATGAAGAAATCCCGTTTCCAACGAAGGCCACAAGATGTCAGAATATCCACTTACAGAATTAACAAACAGACTGTTTCCTAACTGCTCTATGAAAAGAAAGGTTAAACTCTGTGAGTTGAACGAACACATCACAACGCAGTTTGTGGGAATGATTCTGTCTAGTTTTGAAACGAAGATATTTCCTTTTCTGCCATTGACCTTAAAGCGCTTGAAATCTACACTTGCAAATTGCACAAATAGAGTGTTTCAAATCTGCTCTGTCTAAGGGAACGCTCATCTCTGTGAGTTGAATGCACACAACACAAGGAAGTTACTGGGAATTCTTCTGTCTAGCCTTACATGAAAAAAACCCGTTTCCAACGAAGACCTCTAAGTGGTCAAAATATCCACGTGCAGACTTTACAAACAGAGTGTTTCCAAACTGCTGAATGGAAAGAAAAGTTAAACTCTGAGAGTTGAACGCACACATCACAGAGCGGTTTCTGAGAATGATTTCTGTCATGTTTTTATACGAGGATATTTCCTTTTCTGCCTTTGGCCCCAAAGCGCTTGAAATCTCCACTTGCAAATTCCACAAAAACAGTGTTTCAAATCTGCTCTCTCCAAATGAAAGTTCAACTCTGTCAGTTGAATACACACAACACAAGGAAGTTACTGAGAATTCTTCTGTCTAGCATAATATGAAGAAATCCCGTTTCCAACGAAGGCCTCAAAGGGGTCTGAATATCCACTTGCAGACTTTATATACAGAGTGTTTACTAACTGCTCTATGAAAAGAAAGGTTAAACTCTGTGAGTTGAACACACACATCACAAAGGAGTTTCTGAGAATCATTCTGTCTAGTTTCTATAGGAAGATATTTCCTATTCTACCATTGACCTGAAAGCGGCTGAAATCTCCACTTGCAAATCCCACAAAAAGAGTGGTTCAAGTCAGCTCTGTGTAAAGGACCGTTCAACTCTGTGAGTTGAATACACACAACACAAGGAAGTTACTGAGAATTCTTCTGTCTAGCAGAATATGAAGAAATCCCGTTTCCAACAAAGGCCACAAGATGTCACAATATCCACTTACAGAATTTACAAACAGACTGTTTCCTAACTGCTCTATGAAAAGAAAGGTTAAACTCTGTGAGTTGAACGAACACATCACAACGCAGTTTGTGGGAATGATTCTGTCTAGTTTTTATAGGAAGATATTTCCTTTTCTACTTTGACTTCAAAGCGGCTGAAATCTCCATTTGCAAATTCCACAAAAAGAGTGTTACAAGTCTGCTCTGTGTAAAGGATCGTTCAACTGTGTGAGTTGAATACACACAACACAAGGAAGTTACTGAGAACTCTTCTGTCTAGCCTTACATGAAAAAAACCCGTTTCCAACGAAGGCCTCTAAGTGGTCAAATTATCCACGTGCAGACTTTACAAACAGAGTGTTTCCAAACTGCTGAATGAACAGAAAAGTTAAACTCTGAGAGTTGAACGCACACATCACAGAGCAGTTTCTGAGAATGATTCTGTCTAGTTTTGAAACGAAGATATTTCCTTTTCTGCCTTTGGCCTCAAAGCGCTTGAAATCTCCACTTGCAAATTCCACAAAAAGAGTGTTTCAAATCTGTTCTGTGTAAATGAAAGTTCAACTCTGTGAGTTGAACACACACAACACAAGGAAGTTACTGGGAATTCTTCTGTCTAGCATAATATGAAGAAATCCCGTTTCCAACGAAGGCCTCAAAGGGGTCTGAATATCCACTTGCAGACTTTATAAACAGAGTGTTTACTAACTTCTCTATGAAAAGAAAGGTTAAACTCTGTGAGTTGAACACACACGTCACAAAGGAGTTTCTGAGAATCATTCTGTCTAGTTTCTATAGGAAGATATTTCCTATTCTACCATTGACCTCAAAGCGGCTGAAATCTCCACTTGCAAATTCCACAAAAGGAGTGTTTCAAGTCTGCTCTGTGTAAAGGATCGTTCAACTCTGTGAGTTGAATACACACAAGACAAGGAAGTTACTGAGAATTCTTCTGTCTAGCATAATATGAAGAAATCCCGTTTCCAACGAAGGCCTCAAAGGGGTCTGAATATCCACTTGCAGACTTTATAAACAGAGTGTTTACTAACTGTTCTATGAAAAGAAAGGTTAAACTCTGTGAGTTGAACACACACATCACAAAGGAGTTTCTGAGAATCATTCTGTCTAGTTTCTATAGGAAGATATTTCCTATTCTACCATTGACCACAAAGCGGCTGAAATCTCCACTTGCAAATTTCACAAAAAGAGTGTTTCAAGTCTGCTCTGTGTAAAGGATCGTTCAACTCTGTGAGTTGAATACACACAACACAAGGAATTTACTGAGAATTCTTCTGTCTAGCATAATATGAAGAAATCCCGTTTCCAACGAAGGCCTCAAGGAGGTCTGAATATCCACTTGCAGACTTTACAAACAGAGTGTTTCCTAACTGCTCTATGAAAAGAAAGGTTAAACTCTGTGAGTTGAACGCACACATCACAAAGGAGTTTCTGAGAATCATTTCTGTCTAGTTTTGAAACGAAGATATTTCCTTTTCTGCCATTGACCTTAAAGCGCTTGAAATCTACACTTGCAAATTGCACAACTAGAGTGTTTCAAATCTGCTCTGTCTAAGGGAACGTTCAACTCTGTGAGTTGAATGCACACAACACAAGGCAAGTTACTGGGAATTCTTCTGTCTAGCCTTACATGAAAAAAACCCGTTTCCAACGAAGGCCTCTAAGTGGTCAAATTATCCACGTGCAGACTTTACAAACAGAGTGTTTCCAAACTGCTGAATGAAAAGCAAAGTTAAACTCTGAGAGTTGAACGCACACATCGCAGAGCAGTTTCTGAGAATGATTCTGTCTAGTTTCTATAGGAAGATATTTCCTATTCTACCATTGACCTCAAAGCGGCTGAAATCTCCACTTGCAAATTCCACAAAAAGAGTGTTTCAAGTCTGCTCTCTGTAAAGGATCATTCAACTCTGTGAGTTGAATACACACAACACAAGGAAGTTACTGAGAATTCTTCTGTCCAGCCTTACATGAAAAAAACCCGTTTCCAACGAAGGCCTCAAAGAAGTCCAAGTATCCACGTGCAGACTTAACAAACAGAGTGTTTCCTAACTGCTCTATGAAAAGAAAGGTTAAACTCTGTGAGTTGAACGCCCACATCACAAAGGAGTTTCTGAGAATCATTCTGTCTAGTTTTTATACGAAGATATTTCCTTTTCTACCATTGACCTCAAAGCGGCTGAAATCTCCACTTGCAAATTACACAAAAAGAGTGTTTCAAGTCTACTCTGTGTAAAGCATCGTTCAATTCTGTGAGTTGAAAACACACAACACAAGGAAGTTTCTGAGAATTCTTCTGTCTAGCAGAATATGAAGAAATCCCGTTTCCAACGAAGGCCACAAGATGTCAGAATATCCACTTACAGAATTTACAAACAGACTCTTTCCTAAGTGCTCTATGAAAAGAAAGGTTAAACTCTGTGAGTTGAACGAACACATCACAACGCAGTTTGTGGGAATGATTCTGTCTAGTTTTGAAACGAAGATATTTCCTTTTCTGCCATTGACCTTAAAGCGCTTGAAATCTCCATTTGCCAATTGCACAAAAAGAGTGTTTCAAATCTGCTCTGTCTAAGGGAACGTTCAACTCTGTGAGTTGAATGTACACAACACAAGGGAAGTTACTGGGAATTCTTCTGTCTAGCCTTACATGTAAAAAACCCGTTTCCAACGAAGGCCTCTAAGTGGTCAAAATATCCACGTGCAGACTTTACAAACAGAGTGTTTCCAAACCGCTGAATGAAAAGAAAAGTTAAACTCTGAGAGTTGAACGCACACATCACGCAGCAGTTTCTGAGAATGATTCTGTCTAGTTTTTATACGAAGATATTTCCTTTTCTGCCTTTGGCCTCAAAGCGCTTGAAATCTCCATTTGCAAATTCCATAAAAAGAGTGTTTCAAATCTGCTCTGTGTAAATGAAAGTTCAACTCTGTGAGTTGAACACACACAACACAAGGAAGTTACTGGGAATTCTTCTGTCTAGCATAATATGAAGAAATCCCGTTTCCAACGAAGGCCTCAAAGAGGTCTGAATATCCACTTGCAGACTTTACAAACAGAGTGTTTCCTAACTGCTCTATGAAAAGAAAGGTTAAACTCTGTGAGTTGAACGCACACATCACAACGGACTTTCTGAGAATCATTCTGTCTAGTTTTTATACGAAGATATTTCCTTTTCTACCATGGACCTCAAAGCGGCTGAAATCTCCACTTGCAAATTCCTCAAAAAGAGTGTTTCAAGTCTGCTCTGTGTAAAGGATCGTTCAACTCTGTGAGTTGAATGCACAGAACACAAGGAAGGTTCTGAGAATTCTTCTGTCTAGCAGAATATGAAGAAATCCCGTTTCCAACGAAGGCCACAAGATGTCAGAATATCCACTTACAGACTTTACAAACAGAGTGTTTCCTAACTGCTCTATGAACAGAAAGGTTAAACTCTGTGAGTTGAACGAACACATCACAACGAAGTTTGTGGGAATGATTCTGTCTAGTTTTGAAACGAAGATATTTCCTTTTCTGCCATTGACCTTAAAGCGCTTGAAATCTCCACTTGCCAATTGCACAAAAAGAGTGTTTCAAATCTGCTCTGTCTAAGGGAACGTTCAACTCTGTGAGTTGAATGTACACAACACAAGGTAAGTTACTGGGAATTCTTCTGTCTAGCCTTACATGAACAAAACCTGTTTCCAACGAAGGCCTCTAAGTGGTCAAATTACGCACATGCAGACTTTACAAACAGAGTGTTTCCAAACTGCTGAATGAAAAGAAAAGTTAAACTCTGAGAGTTGAACGCACATATCGCAGAGCAGTTTCTGAGAATGATTCTGTCTAGTTTTTATACGAAGATATTTCCTTTTCTGCCTTTGGCCCAAAAGCGCTTGTAATCTCCACTTGCAAATTCCACAAAAATAGTGTTTCAAATCTGCTCTCTCTAAATGAAAGTTCAACTCTGTCAGTTGAATACACACAACACAAGGAAGTTACTGAGAATTCTTCTGTCTAGCAGAATATGAAGAAATCCCGTTTCCAACGAATGCCCCAAAGATGTCTGAATATCCACTTGCAGACTTTACAAACAGAGTGTTTCCTAACTGCTCTATTAAAAGAAAGGTTAAACTCTGTGAGTTGAACGCACCCATCACAAAGGAGTTTCTCAGAATCATTCTGTCTAGTTTCTATAGGAAGATATTTCCTTTTCTAACATTGACCTCAAAGCGGCTGAAATCTCCACTTGCAAATTCCACAAAAAGAGTGTTTCAAGTCTGCTCTGTGTAAAGGATCGTTCAACTCTGTGAGTTGAATACACACAACACAAGGAAGTTACTGAGAATTCTTCTGTCTAGCAGAATATGAAGAAATCCCGTTTCCAACGAAGGCCACAAGATGTCAGAATATCCACTTACAGAATTTACAAACAGACTGTTTCCTAACTACTCTATGAAAAGAAAGGTTAAACTCTGTGAGTTGAACGAACACATCACAACGCAGTTTGTGGGAATGATTCTGTCTAGTTTTGAAACGAAGATATTTCCTTTTCTCCCATTGACCTTAAAGCGCTTGAGATCTACACTTGCAAATTGCACAAATAGAGTGTTTCAAATCTGCTCTGTCTAAGGGAACGTTCAACTCTGTGAGTTGAATGCACACAACACAAGGAAGTTACTGGGAATTCTTCTGTCTAGCCTTACATGAAAAAAACCCGTTTCCAACGAAGGCCTCTAAGTGGGCAAAATATCCACGTGCAGACTTTACAAACAGAGTGTTTCCAAACCGCTGAATGAAAAGAAAAGTTAAACTCTGACAGTTGAACGCACACATCACGCAGCAGTTTCTGAGAATGATTCTGTCTAGTTTTTCTACGAAGATAATTCCTTTTCTACCATTGACCTCAAAGCAGCTGAAATCTCCACTTGCAAATTCCACAAAAAGAGTGTTTCAAGTCTGCTCTCTGTAAAGGATCGTTCAAATCTGTGAGTTGAATACACACAACACAAGGAAGTTACTGAGAATTATTCTGTCTAGCATAATATGAAGAAATCCCGTTTCCAACGAAGGCCTCAAAGAGGTCTGAATATCCACTTGCAGACTTTACAAACAGAGTGTTTCCTAACTGCTCTATGAAAAGTTAAACTCTGTGAATTGAACGCACACATCACAAAGGAGTTTCTGAAAATCATTCTGTCTAGTTTTTATACGAAGATATTTCCTTTTCTACCATTGACTTCAACGCGGCTGAAATCTCCACTTGCAAATTCCACAAAAAGAGCGTTTCAAGTCTGCTCTGTGTAAAGGATCGTTCAACTCTGTGAGTTGAATACACACAACACAAGGAAGTTACTGAGAATTCTTCTGTCCAGCAGAATATGAAGAAATCCCATTTCCAACGAAGGCCACAAGATGTCAGAATATCCACTTACAGACTTTACAAACAGAGTGTTTCCTAACTGCTCTATGAACAGAAAGGTTAAACTCTGTGAGTTGAACGAACACATCACAACGCAGCTTGTGGGAATGATTCTGTCTAGTTTTGAAACGAAGATATTTCCTTTTCTGCCGTTGACCTTAAAGCGCTTGAAATCTACACTTGCAAATTGCACAAATAGAGTGTTTCAAATCTGCTCTGTGTAAGGGAACGTTCAACTCTGTGAGTTGAATGCACACAACACAAGGAAGTTACTGGGAATTCTTCTGTCTAGCCTTACATGAAAAAAAACCCGTTTCCAACGAAGGCCTCTAAGTGGTCAAAATATCCACGTGCAGACTTTACAAACAGAGTGTTTCCAAACCGCTGAATGAAAAGAAAAGTTAAACTCTGAGAGTTGAACGCACACATCACGCAGCAGTTTCTGAGAATGATTCTGTCTAGTTTTTATACGAAGATATTTCCTTTTCTGCCTTTGGCCCCAAAACGCTTGAAATCTCCACTTGCAAATTCCACAAAAACAGTGTTTCAAATCAGCTCTCTCTAAATGAAAGTTCAACTCTGTCAGTTGAATACACACAACACAAGGAAGTTACTGAGAATTCTTCTGTCTAGCCTTATATGAAAAAAACCCGTTTCCAACGAAGGCCTCAAAGAGGTCTGAATATCCACTTGCAGACTTTACAAACAGAGTCTTTCCTAACTGCTCTATGAAAAGAAAGGTTAAACTCTGTGAGTTGAACGCACACATCACAAAGAAGTTTCTGAGAATCATTCTGTCTAGTTTTTATAGGAAGATATTTCCTTTTCTACTTTGACTTCAAAGCGGCTGAAATCTCCACTTGCAAATTCCACAAAAAGAGTGTTACAAGTCTGCTCTGTGTAAAGGATCGTTCAACTGTGTGAGTTGAATACACACAACACAAGGAAGTTACTGAGAACTCTTCTGTCTAGCCTTACATGAAAAAAACCCGTTTCCAACGAAGGCCTCTAAGTGGTCAAATTATCCACGTGCAGACTTTACAAACAGAGTGTTTCCAAACTGCTGAATGAAAAGAAAAGTTAAACTCTGAGAGTTGAACGCACACATCGCAGAGCAGCTTCTGAGAATGCTTCTGTCTAGTTTTGAAACGAAGGATATTTCCTTTTCTGCCTTTGGCCTCAAAGCGCTTGAAATCTCCACTTGCAAATTCCACAAAAAGAGTGTTTCAAATCTGCTCTGTGTAAATGAAAGTTCAACTCTGTGAGTTGAACACACACAACACAAGGATGTTACTGGGAATTCTTCTCTCTAGCCTTAAAGGAAAAAAACCCGTTTCAAACGAAGGCCTCTAAGTGGTCAAAATATCCACGTGCAGACTTTACAAACAGAGTGTTTCCAAACTGCTGAATGAAAAGAAAAGTTAAACTCTGAGAGTTGAACGCACACATCGCAGAGCCGTTTCTGAGAATGATTCTGTCTAGTTTTTATACGAAGATATTTCCTTTTCTACCATTGACCTCAAAGCGGCTGAAATCTCCACTGGCCAATTCAACAAAAAGAGTTTTTCAAGTCTACTCTGTGTAACGGATCGTTGAACTCTGTGAGTTGAAAACACGCAACACAAGGAAGTTTCTGAGAATTCTTCCGTCTAGCACAATATGAAGAAATCCCGTTTCCAATGAAGGCCTCAAAGTGGTCTGAATATCCACTTGCAGACTTTACAAACAGAGTGTTTCCTAACTGCTCTATGAAAAGAAAAGTTAAACTCTGTGAGTTGAACGCACACATCACAAAGGATTTTCTGAGAATCATTCTGTCTAGTTTTTGTACGAAGATATTTCCTTTTCTACCATTGACCTCAAAGCAGCTGAAATCTCCACTTGCCAATTCAACAAAAAGAGTGTTTCAAGTCTACTCTGTGTAAAGGATCGTTGAACTCTGTGAGTTGAAAACACACAACACCAGGAAGTTTCTGAGAATTCTTCTGTCTAGCAGAATATGAAGAAATCCCGTTTCCAACGAAGGCCTCAAGGAGGTCGGAATATCCACTTACAGACTTTACAAACAGAGTGTTTCCTAACTGCTCTATGAACAGAAAGGTTAAACTCTGTGAGTTGAACGAACACATCACAACGCAGTTTGTGGGAATGATTCTCTCTAGTTTTGAAACGAAGATATTTCCTTTTCTGCCATTGACCTTAAAGCGCTTGAAATCTACACTTGCAAATTGCACAAATAGAGTGTTTCAAATCTGCTCCGTCTAAGGGAAAGTTCAACTCTGTGAGTTGAATGCACACAACACAAGGAAGTTACTGGGAATTCTTCTGTCTAGCCTTACATGAAAAAAACCCGTTTCCAACGAAGGCCTCTAAGTGGTCAAATTATCCACGTGCAGACTTTACAAACAGAGTGTTTCCAAACTGCTGAATGAAAAGAAAAGTTAAACTCTGTGAGTTGAACGCACACATCGCAGAGCAGTTTCTGAGAATGATTCTGTCTAGTTTTTATAGGAAGATATTTCCTTTTCTACCTTTGACTTCAAAGCGGCTGAAATCTCCACTTGCAAATTCCACAAAAAGAGTGTTACAAGTCTGCTCTGTGTAAAGGATCGTTAAACTCTGTGAGTTGAATACACACAACACAAGGAAGTTACTTGAGAATTCTTCTGTCTAGCATAGTATGAAGAAATCCCGTTTCCAACGAAGGCCTCAAAGAGGTCTGAATATCCACTTGCAGAGTTTAGAAACAGAGTGTTTCCTAACTGCTCTATGAAAAGAAAGGTTAAACTCTGTGAGTTGAACGCACACATCACAAAGAAGTTTCTGAGAATCATTCTGTCTAGTCTTTATACGAAGATATTTACTTTTCTACCATTGACCTCAAAGCGGCTGAAATCTCCACTTGCAAATTCCACAAAAAGAGTGTTTCAAGTCTGCTCTGTGTAAAGGAACATTCAACTCTGTGAGTTGAATAAACACAACACAAGGAAGTTACTGAGAATTCTTCTGTCTAGCAGAATATAAAGAAATCCCGTTTCCAACGAAGGCCTCAAAGAGGTCTGAATATCCACTTGCAGACTTTACAAACAGAGTGTTTCCTAACTGCTCTATGAAAAGAAAGGTTAAACTCTGTGAGTTGAACGCGCACATCACAAAGGAGTTTATGAGAATCATTCTGTCTAGTTTTTATACGAAGATATTTCCTTTTCTACCATTGACCTCAAAGCGGCTGAAATCACCACTTGCCCATTGCACAAAAAGAGTGTTTCAAATCTGCTCTGTCTAAGGGAACGTTCAACTCTGTGAGTTGAATGTACACAACACAAGGAAGTTCCTGGGAATTCTTCTGTCTAGCCTTACATGAAAAAAACCCGTTGCCAACGAAGGCCTCTAAGTGGTCAAATTATGCACGTGCAGACTTTACAAACAGAGTGTTTCCAAACTGCTGAATGAAAAGAAAAGTTAAACTCTGAGAGGTGAACGCACACATCGCAGAGCAGTTTCTGAGAATCATTCCGTCTAGTTTTGAAACGAAGATATTTCCTTTTCTGCCTTTGGCCTCAAAGCGCTTGAAATCTCCATTTGTAAATTCCACAAAAAGAGTGTTTCAAATCTGCTCTGTGTAAATGAAAGTTCAGCTCTGTGAGTTGAACACACACAACACAAGGAAGTTACTGGGAATTCTTCTGTCTAGCAGAATATGAAGAAATCCCGCTTCCAACGAAGGCCTCAAGGAGGTCTGAATATCCACTTGCAGACTTAACAAACAGAGTGTTTCCTAACTGCTCTATGAAAAGAAAGGTTAAACTCTGTGAGTTGAACGCACACATCACAAAGGAGTTTCTGAGAATCATTCTGTCTAGTTTCTATAGGAAGATATTTCCTATCCTACCATTGACCTCAAAGCGGCTGAAATCTCCACTTGCAAATTCCAGAAAAAGAGTGTTTCAAGTCTGCTCTGTGTAAAGGATCGTTCAACTCTGTGAGTTGAATACACACAACACAAGGAAGTTACTGAGAATTCTTCTGTCTAGCAGAATATGAAGAAATCCCGTTTCCAACGAAGGCCTCAAAGAGGTCTTAATATCCACTTGCAGACTTTACAACCAGAGTGTTTCCTAACTGCTCTATGAAAAGAAAGGTTAAACTCTGTGAGTTGAACGCACACATCACAAAGGAGTTTTTGAGAATCATTCTGTCTAGTTTTGAAACGAAGATATTTCCTTTTCTGTCATTGACCTTAAAGCGCTTGAAATCTACACTTGCAAATTGCACAAATAGAGTGTTTCAAATCTGCTCTGTCTAAGGGAACGTTCAACTCTGTGAGTTGAATGCACACAACACAAGGAAGTTACTGGGAATTCTTCTGTCTAGCCTTACATGAAAAAAACCCGTTTCCAACGAAGGCCTCTAAGTGGTCAAAATTTCCACGTGCAGACTTTACAAACAGAGTGTTTCCAAACCGCTGAATGAAAAGAAAAGTTAAACTCTGAGAGGTGAACGCACACATCACGCAGCAGTTTCTGAGAATGATTTCTGTCTAGTTTTTATACGAAGATATTTCCTTTTCTGCCTTTGGCCCCAAAGCGCTTGAAATCTCCACTTGCAAATTCCACAAAAACAGTGTTTCAAATCTGCTCTCTCTAAATGAAAGTTCAATTCTGTCAGTTGAATACACACAACACAAGGAAGTTACTGAGAATTCTTCTGTCTAGCATAATATGAACAAATCCCGTTTCCAACGAAGGCCTCAAGGAGGTCTGAATATCCACTTGCAGACTTTACAAACAGAGTGTTTCCTAACTGCTCTATGAAAAGAAAGGTTAAACTGTGTGAGTTGAACGCACACATCACAAAGGAGTTTCTGAGAATCATTCTGTCTAGTTTTTATACGAAGATATTTCCTTTTCTAACATTGACCTCAAAGTGGCTGAAATCTCCACTTGCAAATACCACAAAAAGAGTGTTTCAAGTCTGCTCTGTGTAAAGGATCGTTCAACTATGTGAGTTGAATACACAAAACACAAGGAAGTTACTGAGAATTCTTCTGTCTAGCAGAATATGAAGAAATCCCGTTTCCAACGAAGGCCACAAGATGTCAGAATATCCACTTACAGAATTTACAAACAGAGTGTTTCCTAACTGCTCTATGAAAAGAAAGGTTAAACTCTGTGAGATGAACGAACACATCACAACGCAGTTTTTGGGAATGATTCTGTGTAGTTTTTATAGGAAGATATTTCCTTTTCTACCTTTGACTTCAAAGCGGCTGAAATCTCCACTTTCAAATTCCACAAAAAGAGTGTTACAAGTCTGCTCTGTGTAAAGGATCGTTCAACTCTGTGAGTTGAATACACACAACACAAGGAAGTTACTGAGAATTCTTCTGTCTAGCCTTACATGAAAAAAACCCGTTTCCAACGAAGGCCTCTAAGTGGTCAAATTATCCACGTGCAGACTTTACAAACAGAGTGTTGCCAAACTGCTGAATGAAAAGAAAAGTTAAACTCTGAGAGTTGAACGCACACATCACAGAGCAGGTTCTGAGAATGATTCTGTCTAGTTTTTATACGAAGATATTCCCTTTACTGCCTTTTTCCTCAAAGCGCTTGAAATCTCCATTTGCAAATTCCACAAAAAGAGTGTTTCAAATCTGCTCTGTGTAAATGAAAGTTCAACTCTGTGAGTTGAACACACACAACCCAAGGAAGTTACTGGGAATTCTTCTGTCTAGCACAGTATGAAGAAATCCCGTTTCCAACGAAGGCCTCAAAGAGGTCTGAATATCCACTTGCAGAGTTTACAAACAGTGTTTCCTAACTGCTCTATGAAAAGAAAGGTTAAACTCTGTGAGTTGAACGCACACATCACAATGAAGTTTCTGAGAATCATTCTGTCTAGTTTTTATACGAAGATATTTCCTTTTCTACCATTGACCTCAACGCAGCTGAAATCTCCGCTTGCAAATTCCACAAAAAGAGTGTTTCAAGTCCGCTCTGTGTAAAGGATCGTTCAACTCTGTGAGTTGAATACACACAACACAAGGAAGTTACTGAGAATTGTTCTGTCTAGCAGAATATAAAGAAATCCCGTTTCCAACGAAGGCCACAAGATGTCAGAATATCCACATACAGACTTTACAAACAGAGTGTTTCCTAACTCCTCTATGAACAGAAAGGTTAAACTCTGTGAGTTGAACGAACACATCACAACGCAGTTTGTGGGAATGATTCTGTCTAGTTTTGAAACGAAGATATTTCCTTTTCTGCCGTTGACCTTAAAGCGCTTGAAATCTACACTTGCAAATTGCACAAATAGAGTGTTTCAAATCTGCTCTGTCGAAGGGAACTTTCAACTCTGTGAGTTGAATGCACACAACACAAGGAAGTTACTGGGAATTCTTCTGTCTAGCCTTACAGGAAAAAAACCCGTTTCCAACGAAGGCCTCTAAGTGGTCAAATTATCCACCTGCAGACTTTACAAACAGAGTGTTTCCAAACTGCTGAATGAAAAGAAAAGTTAAACTCTGAGAGTTGAACGCACACATCGCAGAGCAGTTTCTGAGAATGATTCTGTCTAGTTTTTATACGAAGATATTTCCTTTTCTGCATTTGGCCTCAAAGCGCTTGAAATCTCCACTTGCAAATTCCACAAAAAGAGTGTTTCAAATCTGCTCTGTGTAAATCAAAGTTCAACTCTGTGAGTTGAACACACACAACACAAGGAAGTTACTGGGAATTCTTCTGTCTAGCAGAATATGAAGAAATCCCGCTTCCAACGAAGGCCTCAAAGAAGTCTGAATATCCACTTGCAGACTTTACAAACAGAGTGTTTCCCAACTGCTCTAGGAAAAGAAAGGTTGAACTCTGTGTGTTGAACGCACACATCACAAAGGAGTTTCTGAGAATCATTCTGTCTAGTTTTTATACGAAGATATTTCCTTTTCTACCATGGACCTCAAAGCGGCTGAAATCTCCACTTGCAAATTCCACAAAAAGAGTGTTTCAAGTCTGCTCTGTGTAAAGGATCGTTCAACTCTGTGAGTTAAATACACACAACACAAGGAAGATTCTGAGAATTCTTCTGTCTAGCAGAATATGAAGACATCCCGTTTCCAACGAAGGCCACAAGATGTCAGAATATCCACTTACAGAATTTACAAACAGACTGTTTCTTAACTGCTCTATGAAAAGAAAGGTTAAACTCTGTGAGTTGAACGAACACCTCACAACGCAGTTTGTGGGAATGATTCTGTCTAGTCTTTATATGAAGATAGTTTCCTTTTCTACCATTGACCTCAAAGCGGCTGAAATCTCCACTTGCAAATTCCACAAAAAGAGTGTTTCAAGTCTGCTCTGTGTAAAGGATCGTTCAACTCTGTGAGTTGAATGCACACAACACAAGGAAGTTACTGGGAATTCTTCTGTCTAGCCTTACATGAAAAAAACCCGTTTCCAACGAAGGCCTCTAAATGGTCAAAATTTCCACGTGCAGACTTTACAAACAGAGTGTTTCCAAACCGCTGAATGAAAAGAAAAGTTAAACTCTGAGAGTTGAACGCACACATTACGCAGCAGTTTCTGAGAATGATTCTGTCTAGTTTCTATAGGATGATATTTCCCATTCTACCATTGACCTCAAAGCGGCTGAAATCTCCACTTGCAAATTCCACAAAAAGAATGTTTCTAGTCTGCTCTGTGTAAAGGATCCTTCAACTCTGTGAGTTGAATACACACAACACAAGGAAGTTACTGAGAATTCTTCTGTCTAGCATAATATGAAGAAATCCCGTTTCCAACGAAGGCCTCAAAGAGGTCTGAATATCCACTTGCAGACTTTACAAACAGAGTGTTTCCTAACTGCTCTATGAAAAGAAAAGTTAAACTCTGTGAGTTGAACGCACACATCCCAAAGAGTTTCTGAGAATCATTCTGTCTAGTTTTTATACGAAGATATCTCCTTTTCTACCATTGACCTCAAAGCGGCTGAAATCTCCACTTGCAAATTCCACAAAAAGAGTGTTTCAAGTCTGCTCTGTGTAAAGGATCGTTCAACTCTGTGAGTTGAATACACACAACACAAGGAAGTTACTGAGAATCCTTCTGTCTAGCATAATATGAAGAAATCCCGTTTCCAACGAAGGCCTCAAAGAGGTCTGAATATCCACTTGCAGAATTTACAAACAGAGTGTTTCCTAACTGCTCTATGAAAAGAAAGGTTAAACTCTGTGAGTTGAACGCACACATCTCAAAGGAGTTTCTGAGAATCATTCTGTCTAGTTTTGAGATGAAGATATTTCCTTTTCTGCCATTGACTCTTAAAGCGCTTGAAATCTACACTTGCAAATTGCACAAATAGAGTGTTTCAAATCTGCTCTGTCTAAGGGAACGTTCAACTCTGTGAGTTGAATGCACACAACACAAGGAAGTTACTGGGAATTCTTCTGTCTAGCCTTACAGGAAAAAAACCCGTTTCCAACGAAGGCCTCTAAGTGGTCAAAATATCCACGTGCAGACTTTACAAACAGAGTGTTTCCGAACTGCTGAATGAAAAGAAAAGTTAAACTCTGAGAGTTGAACGCACACATCACAAAGGAGTTTCTGAGAATCATTCTGTCTAGTTTTTATACGAAGATATTTCCTTTTCTGCCTTTGGCCCCAAAGCGCTTGAAATCTCCACTTGCAAATTCCACAAAAACAGTGTTTCAAATCTGCTCTCTCCAAATGAATGTTCAACTCTGTCAGTTGAATACACACAACACAAGGAAGTTACTGAGAATTCTTCTGTCTAGCATAATATGAAGAAATCCCGTTTCCAACGAAGGCCTCAAAGGGGTCTGAATATCCACTTGCAGACTTTATAAAGAGAGTGTTTACTAACTGCTCTATGAAAAGAAAGGTTAAACTCTGTGAGTTGAACACACACATCACAAAGGAGTTTCTGAGAATCATTCTGTCTACTTTTTATACGAAGATATTTCCTTTTCTACCATTGACCTCAACGCGGCTGAAATCTCCACTTGCAAATTCCACAAAAAGAGTGTTTCAAGTCCGCTCTGTGTAAAGGATCGTTCAACTCTGTGAGTTGAATACACACAACACAAGGAAGTTACTGAGAATTGTTCTGTCTAGCACAGTATGAAGAAATCCCGTTTCCAACGAAGGCCTCAAAGAGGTCTGAATATCCACTTGCAGAGTTTACAAACAGAGTGTTTCCTAACTGCTCTATGAAAAGAAAGGTTAAACTCTGTGAGTTGAACGCTCACAACACAATGAAGTTTCTGAGAATCATTCTGTCTAGTTTTGAAACGAAGATATTTCCTTTTCTGCCATTGACCTTAAAGCGCTTGAAATCTACACTTACAAATTGCACAAATAGAGTGTTTCAAATCTGCTCTGTCTAAGGGAACGTTCAACTCTGTGAGTGGAATGCACACAACACAAGGAAGTTACTGGGAATTCTTCTGTCTAGCCTTACATGAAAAAAACCCGTTTCCAACGAAGGCCTCTAAGTGGTCAAAATATCCACGTGCAGACTTTACAAACAGAGTGTTTCCAAACCGCTGAATGAAAAGAAAACTTAAACTCTGAGAGTTGAACGCACACATCACGCAGCAGTTTCTGAGAATGATTCTGTCTAGTTTTTATACGAAGATATTTCCTTTTCTGCCTTTGGCCTCACAGCGCTTGAAATCTCCACTTGCAAATTCCACAAAAAGAGTGTTTCAAATCTGCTCTGTGTAAATGAAAGTTCAACTCTGTGAGTTGAACACACACAACACAAGGAAGTTATTGGGAATTCTTCTTTCTAGCAGAATATGAAGAAATCCTGTTTCCAACGAAAGCCTCAAGGATGTCTGAATATCCACTTGCAGACTTTACAAACAGAGTGTTTCCTAACTGCTCTATGAAAAGAAAGGTTCAACTCTGTGAGTTGAACGCACACATCACAAAGGAGTTTCTGAGAATCATTCTGTCTAGTTTCTATACGAAGATATTTCATTTTCTACCATTAACCTTAAAGAGGCTGAAATGTCCGCTTGCAAATTCCACAAAAAGAGTGTTTCAAGTCTGCCCTGTGTAAAGGATCGTTCAACTCTGTGAGTTGAATGCACACAACACAAGGAAGTTACTGAGAATTCTTCTGTCTAGCAGAATATGAAGAAATCCCGTTTCCAACGAAGGCCTCAAAGAGGTCTGAATATCCACTTGCAGACTTTACAAACAGAGTGCTTCCTAACTGCTCTATGAAAAGAAAGGATAAACTCTGTGAGTTGAACTCACACATCACAAAGGAGTTTCTGAGAATCATTCTGTCTAGTTTTTATACGAAGATATTTCCTTTTCTACCATTGACCTCAAAGCGGCTGAAATCACCACTTGCCAATTGCACAAAAAGAGTGTTTCAAATCTGCTCTGTCTAAGGGAATGTTCAACTCTGTGAGTTGAATGTACACAACACAAGGAAGTTACTGGGAATTCTTCTGTCTAGCCTTACAAGAAAAAAACCCGTTTCCAACGAAGGCCTCTAAATGGTCAAAATATCCACGTGCAGACTTTACAAACAGAGTGTTTCCAAACTGCTGAATGAAAAGAAAAGTTAAACTCTGAGAGTTGAACGCACACATCGCAGAGCAATTTCTGAGAATGATTCTGTCTAGTTTTTATACGAAGATATTTCCTTTTCTGCTTTGGCCCCAAAGCGCTTGAAATCTCCACTTGCAAATTCCACAAAAACAGTGTTTCAAATCTGCTCTATCTAAATGAAAGTTCAACTCTGTCAGTTGAATACACACAACACAAGGAAGTTACTGAGAATTCTTCTGTCTAGCATAATATGAAGAAATCCCGTTTCCAACGAAGGCCTCAAAGGGGTATGAATATCCACTTGCAGACTTTATAAACAGAGTGTTTACTAACTGCTCTATGAAAAGAAAGGTTAAACTCTGTGAGTTGAACACACACATCACAAAGGAGTTTCTGAGAATCATTCTGTCTAGTCTTTATACGAAGATATTCCCTTTTCTACCATTGACCTTAAAGCGGCTGAAATCTTCACTTGCAAATTCCACAAAAAGAGTGTTTCAAGTCTGCTCTGTGTAAAGGATCGTTCAACTCTGCGAGTTGAATACACACAACACAAGGAAGTTACTGAGAATTCTTTTGTCTAGCAGAATATGAAGAAATCCCGTTTCCAACGAAGGCCACAAGATGTCAGAATATCCCCTTACAGAATTTTCAAACAGACTGTTTCCTAACTGCTCTATGAAAAGAAAGGTTAAACTCTGTGAGATGAACGAACACATCACAACGCAGTTTGTGGGAATGATTCTGTCTAGTTTTGAAACGAAGATATTTCCTTTTCTGCCATTGACCTCAAAGTGCTTGAAATCTCCACTTGCCAATTGCACAAAAAGAGTGTTTCAAATCTGCTCTGTCTAAGGGAACGTTCAACTCTGTGAGTTGAATGTACACAACACAAGGAAGTTACTGGGAATTCTTCTGTCTAGCCTTACAGGAAAAAAACCCGTTTCCAACGAAGGCCTCTAAGTGGTCAAAATATCCACATGCAGAGTTTACAGAGTGTTTCCAAACTCCTGAATGAAAAGAAAAGTTAAACTCTGAGAGTTGAACGCACACATCGCACAACAGTTTCTGAGAATGATTCTGTCTAGTTTCTGTAGGAAGATATATCCTATTCTACCATTGACCTCAAAGCGGCTGAAATCTCCACTTGCAAATTCCACAAAAAGAGTGTTTCAAGTCTGCTCTGTGTAAAGGATCGTTCAATTCTGTGAGTTGAATACACACAACACAAGGAAGTTACTGAGAATTCTTCTGTCTAGCATAATATGAAGAAATCCCGTTTCCAACGAAGGCCTCAAGGAGGTCTGAATATCCACTTGCAGACTTTACAAACAGAGTGTTTCCTAACTGCTCTATGAAAAGAAAGGTTAAACTCTGTCAGTTGAACGCAGACATCACAAAGGAGTTTCTGAGAATCACTCTGTCTAGTTTCTATAGGAAGATATTTCCTTTTCTACCATTGACCTCAAAGCGGCTGAAATCTCCACTTGCAAATTCCACAAAAAGAGAGTTTCAACTCTGCTCTCTGTAAAGGATCGTTCAACTCTGTGAGTTGAATACACACAACACAAGGAAGTTACTGAGAATTATTCTGTCTAGCAGAATATGAAGAAATCCCGTTTCCAACGAAGGCCACAAGATGTCAGAATATCCACTTACAGACTTTACAAACAGAGTGTTTCCTAACTGCTCTATGAACAGAAAGGTTAAACTCTGTGAGTTGAACGAACACTTCACAACGCAGTTTGTGGGAATGATTCTGTCTGGTTTTGAAACGAAGATATTTCCTTTTCTGCCGTTGACCTTAAAGCGCTTGAAATCTACACTTGCAAATTGCACAAATAGAGTGTTTCAAATCTTCTCTGTCTAAGGGAACGTTCAACTCTGTGAGTTGAATGCACACAACACAAGGAAGTTACTGGGAATTCTTCTGTCTAGCCTTACAAGAAAAAAACCCGTTTCCAACGAAGGCCTCTAAATGGTCAAAATATCCACGTGCGGACTTTACAAACAGAGTGTTTCCAAACTGCTGAATGAAAAGAAAAGTTAAACTCTGAGAGTTGAACGCACACATCGCAGAGCAGTTTCTGAGAATGATTCTGTCTAGTTTTGAAACGAAGATATTTCCTTTTCTGCCTTTGGCCTCAAAGCGCTTGAAATCTCCACTTGCAAATTCCACAAAAAGAGTGTTTCAAATCTGCTCTGTGTAAATGGAAGTTCAACTCTGTGAGTTGAACACACACAACACAAGGAAGTTACTGGGAATTCTTCTGTCTAGCAGAATATGAAGAAATCCCGTTTCCAACGAAGGCCTCAAAGGGGTCTGAATATCCACTTGCAGACTTTATAAACAGAGTGTTTACTAACTGCTCTATGAAAAGAAAGGTTAAACTCTGTGAGTTGAACACACACATCACAAAGGAGTTTCTGAGAATAATTCTGTCTAGTCTTTATACGAAGTTATTTCCTTTTCTACCATTGACATCAAAGCGGCTGAAATCTCCACTTGCAAATTCCACAAAAAGAGTGTTTCAAGTCTGCTCTGTGTAAAGGATCGTTCAACTCTGTGAGTTGAATACACACAACACAAGGAAGTTACTGAGAATTCTTCTGTCTAGCAGAATATGAAGAAATCCCGTTTCCAACGAAGGCCACCAGATGTCAGAATATCCACTTACAGACTTTACAAACAGAGTGTTTCCTAACTGCTCTATGAACAGAAAGGTTAAACTCTGTGAGTTGAACGAACACATCACAACGCAGTTTGAGGGAATGATTCTGTCTGGTTTTGAAACGAAGATATTTCCTTTTCTGCCGTTGACCTTAAAGCGCTTGAAATCTACACTTGCAAATTGCACAAATAGAGTGTTTCAAATCTGCTCTGTCTAAGGGAACGTTCAACTCTGTGAGTTGAATGCACACAACACAAGGAAGTTACTGGGAATTCTTCTGTCTAGCCTTATGGGAAAAAAACCCGTTTCCAACAAAGACCTCTAAGTGGTCAAAATATCCTCGTGAAGACTTTACAAACAGAGTGTTTCCAAAGTGCTGAATGAAAAGAAAAGTTAAACTCTGAGAGTTGAACGCACACATCACAGAGCAGTTTCTGAGAATGATTCTGTCTAGTTTTTATACGAAGATATTTCCTTTTCTGCCTTTGGCCTCAAAGCGCTTGAAATTTCCACTTGAAAATTCCACAAAAAGAGTGTTTCAAATCTGCTCTGTGTAAATGAAAGTTCAACTCTGTGAGTTGAACACACACAACACTAGGAAGTTACTGGGAATTCTTCTGTCTAGCACAGTATGAAGAAATCCCGTTTCCAACGAAGGCCTCAAAGAGGTCTGAATATCCACATGCAGAGTTTAAAAACAGAGTGTTTCCTAACTGCTCTATGAAAAGAAAGGTTAAACTCTGTGAGTTGAACGCACACATCACAAAGAAGTTTCTGAGAATCATTCTGTCTAGTTTCTATAAGAAGATATTTCCTATTCTACCATTGAACTCAAAGCGGCTGAAATCTCCACTTGCAAATTCCACAAAAAGAGTGTTTCAAGTCTGCTCTGTGTAAAGGATCATTCAACTGTGTGAGTTGAATACACACAACACAAGGAAGTTACTGAGAATTCTTCTGTCTAGCACAGTATGAAGAAATCCCGTTTCCAACGAAGGCCTCAAAGAGGTCTGAATATCCACTTGCAGAGTTTACAAACAGAGTGTTTCCTAACTGCTCTATGAAAAGAAAGGTTAAACTCTGTGAGTTGAACGCACACATCACAACGCAGTTTTTGGGAATGATTCTGTCTAGTTTTTATACGAAGATATTTCCTTTTCTACCATTGACCTCAAAGCGGCTGAAATCCCCACTTGCCAATTGCACAAAAAGAGTGTTTCAAATCTGCTCTGTCTAAGGGAACGTTCAACTCTGTGAGTTGAATGTACACAACACAAGGAAGTTCCTGGGAATTCTTCTGTCTAGCCTTACAGGAAAAAAACCCGTTTCCAACGAAGGCCTCTAAGTGGTCAAAATATCCACGGGCAGACTTTACAAACAGAGTGTTTCCACACTGCTGAATGAAAAGAAAAGTTAAACTCTGAGAGTTGAACGCACACATCGCAGAGCAGTTTCTGAGAATGATTCTGTCTAGTTTTTCTACGAAGATATTTACTTTTCTACTATTGACCTCAAAGCGGCTGAAATCTCCACTTGCAAATTCCACAAAAAGAGTGTTTCAAGTCTGCTCTGTGTAAAGGATCGTTCAACTCTGTGAGTTGAATACACACAACACAAGGAAAGTTACTGAGAATTCTTCTGTCTAGCAGAATAGGAAGAAATCCCGTTTCCAACGAAGGCCTCAAAGAGGTCTGAATATCCACTTGCAGACTTTACAAACAGAGTGTTTCCTAACTGCTCTATGAAAAGAAAGGTTAAACTCTGTGAGTTGAACGCACACATCCCAAAGGAGTTTCTGAGAATCGTTCTGTCTAGTCTTTATACGAAGATATTTCCTTTTCTACCATTGACCTCAAAGCGGCTGTAATCTCCACTTGCAAATTCGACAAAAAGAGTGTTTCAAGCCTGCTCTCTGTAAAGGATCCTTCAACTCGGTGAGTTGAATACACACAACACAAGGAAAGTTACTGAGAATTATTCTGTCTAGCATAATATGAAGAAATCACGTTTCCAACGAAGGCCTCAAAGAGGTCTGAATATCCACTTGCAGACTTTACAAACAGAGTGTTTCCTAACTGCTCTATGAGAAGAAAAGTTAAACTCTGTGAGTTGAACGCACACATCACAAAAGATTTTCTGAGAATCATTCTGTCTAGTTTTGAAACGAAGATATTTCCTTTCCTGCCATTGACCTTAAAGCGCTTGAAATCTCCATTTGCCAATTGCACAAAAAGAGTGTTTCAAATCTGCTCTGTCTAAGGGAACGTTCAACTCTGTGAGTTGAATGTACACAAGACAAGGAAGTTACTGGGAATTCTTCTGTATAGCCTTACATGAAAAAAACCCGTTTCCAACGAAGGCCTCTAAGTGGTCCAATTATCCACGTGCAGACTTTACAAACAGAGTGTTTCCAAACTGCTGAATGAAAAGAAAAGTTAAACTCTGAGAGTTGAACGCACACATCGCAGAGCAGTTTCTGAGAATGATTCTGTCTAGTTTTTATACGAAGATATTTCCTTTTCTGCCTTTGGCCTCAAAGCGCTTGAAATCTCCACTTGCAAATTCCACAAAAAGAGTGTTTCATATCTGCTCTGGGTAAATGAAAGTTCAACTCTGTGAGTTGAACACACACAACACAAGGAAAGTTACTGGGAATTCTTCTGTCTAGCCTTATATGAAAAAAAGCCATTTCCAACGAAGGCCTCAAAGAGGTCTGAATATCCACTTGCAGACTTTACAAACAGAGTGTTTCCTAACTGCTCTATGAAAAGAAATGTTAAACTCTGTGAGTTGAACGCACACATCACAAAGGAGTTTCTGAGAATCATTCTGTCTAGTTTCTATAAGAAGATATTTCCTATTCTACCTTTGACCTCAAAGCGGCTGAAATCTCCACTTGCAAATTCGACAAACAGAGTGTTTCAAGCCTGCTCTCTGTAAAGGATCCTTCAACTCTGTGAGTTGAATACACACAACACAAGGAAGTTACTGAGAATTATTCTGTCTAGCAGAATATGAAGAAATCCCGTTTCCAACGAAGGCCTCAAAGACGTCTGAATATCCACTTGCAGACTTTACAAACAGAGTGTTTCCTAACTGCTCTATGAGAAGAAAAGTTAAACTCTGTGAGTTGAACGCACACATCACAAAAGATTTTCTGAGAATCATTCTGTCTAGTTTTGAAACGAAGATATTTCCTTTTCTGCCATTGACCTTAAAGCGCTTGAAATCTACACTTGCAAATTGCACAAATAGAGTTTTTCAAATCTGCTCTGTCTAAGGGAACGTTCAACTCTGTGAGTTGAATGCACACAACACAAGGAAGTTACTGGGAATTCTTCTGTCTAGCCTTACATGAAAAAAAACCCGTTTCCAACGAAGGCCTCTAAGTGGTCAAAATTTCCACGTGCAGACTTTACAAACAGAGTGTTTCCAAACCGCTGAATGAAAAGAAAAGTTAAACTCTGAGAGTTGAACGCACACATCACGCAGCAGTTTCTGAGAATGATTCTGTCTAGTTTCTATAGGAAGATATTTCCTATTCTACCATTGACCTCAAAGCGGCTGAAATCTCCACTTGCAAATTCCACAAAAGGAGTGTTTCAAGTCTGCTCTGTGTAAAGGATCGTTCAACTCTGTGAGTTGAAAACACACAACACAAGGAAGTTCCTGAGAATTCCTCTGTCTAGCAGAATATGAAGAAATCCCGTTTCCAACGAAGGCCTCAAAGAGGTCTGAATATCCACTTGCACACTTTACAAACAGAGTGTTTCCTAACTGCTCTATGAAAAGAAAGGTTAAACTCTGTGAGTTGAACGCACTCATCACAAAGGAGTTTCTGAGAATCATTCTGTCTAGTTTTGAAACGAAGACATTTCCTTTTCTGCCTTTGACTTCAAAGCGGCTGAAATCTCCACTTGCAAATTCCACAAAAAGAGTGTTACAAGTCTGCTCTGTGTAAAGGATCGTTCAACTCTGTGAGTTGAATACACACAACACAAGGAAGTTACTGAGAATTCTTCTGTCTAGCAGAATATGAAGAAATCCCGTATCCAACGAAGGCCACAAGATGTCAGAATATCCACTTACAGACTTTACAAACAGAGTGTTTCCTAACTGCTCTATGAACAGAAAGGTTAAACTCTGTGAGTTGAACGAACACATCACAACGCAGTTTGTGGGAATGATTCTGTCTAGTTTTGAAACGAAGATATTTCCTTTTCTGCCATTGACCTTAAAGCGCTTGAAATCTCCATTTCCCAATTGCACAAAAAGAGTGTTTCAAATCTGCTCTGTCTAAGGGAACGTTCAACTCTGTGAGTTGAATGTACACAACACAAGGAAGTTACTGGGAATTCTTCTGTCTAGCCTTACATGATAAAGACCCGTTTCCAACGAAGGCCTCTAAGTGGTCAAAATATCCACGTGCAGACTTTACAAACAGCGTGTTTCCAAACCGCTGAATGAAAAGAAAAGTTAAACTCTGAGAGTTGAACACACACATCACGCAGCAGTTTCTGAGAATGACTCTGTCTAGTTTTTATACGAAGATATTTCCTTTTCTGCCTTTGGCCCCAAAGCGCTTGAAATCTCCACTTGCAAATTCCACAAAACAGTGTTTCAAATCTGCTCTCTCTAAATGATAGTTCAACTCTGTCAGTTGAATACACACAACACAAGGGAAGTTACTGAGAATTCTTCTGTATAGCAGAATATGAAGAAATCCCGTTTCCAACGAAAGCCTCAAGGATGTCTGAATATCCACTTGCAGACTTTACAAACAGAGTGTTTCCTAACTGCTCTATGAAAAGAAAGGTTAAACTCTGTGAGTTGAACGCAGACATCACAAAGGAGTTTCTGAGAATCACTCTGTCTAGTTTTTATACGAAGTATATTTCCTTTTCTACCATTGACCTCAAAGCGGCTGAAATCTCCACGTGCAAATTCCACAGAAAGAGTGTTTCAAATCTGCTCTGTGTAAACAATCGTTCAACTGTGTGAGTTGAATACACACAACACAAGGAAGATTCTGAGAATTCTTCTGTCTAGCAGAATATGAAGAAATCCCGTTTACAACGAAGGCCACAAGATGTCAGAATATCCACTTACAGACTTTACAGAGTGTTTCCTAACTGCTCTATGAACAGAAAGGTTAAACTCTGTGAGTTGAACGAACACATCACAACGCAGTTTGTGGAATGATTCTGTCTAATTTTGAAACGAAGATATTTCCTTTTCTGCCATTGACCTTAATGCGCTTGAAATCTACACTTGCAAATTGCACAAATAGAGTGTTTCAAATCTGCTCTGTCTAAGGGAACGTTCAACTCTGTGAGTTGAATGCACACAACACAAGGAAGTTACTGGGAATTCTTCTGTCTAGCCTTACATGAAAAAAACCCGTTTCCAACGAAGGCCTCTAAGTGGTCAAAATATCCACGTGCAGACTTTACAAACAGAGTGTTTCCAAACCGCTGAATGAAAAGAAAAGTTAAACTCTGAGAGTTGAACGCACACATCACGCAGCAATTTCTGAGAATGATTCTGTCTAGTTTTTATACGAAGATATTTCCTTTTCTGCCTTTGGCCTCAAAGCGCTTGAAATCTCCACTTGCAAATTCCAGAAAAAGAGTGTTTCAAATCTGCTCTGTCTAAATGAAAGTTCAACTCTGTCAGTTGAATACACACAACACAAGGAAGGTACTGAGAATTCTTCTGTCTAGCCTTACATGAAAAAAAACCCGTTTCCAATGAAGGCCTCAAAGAGGTGAAAATATCCACTTGCAGACTTTACAAACAGAGTGTTTCCTAACTGCTCTATGAAAAGAAAGGTTAACTCTGTGAGTTGAACACCCACATCACAAAGGAGTTTCTGAGAATCATTCTGTCTAGTCTTTATACGAAGATATTTCCTTTTCTACCATTGACCTCAAAACGGCTGAAATCTCCACTTGCAAATTCCACAAAAAGAGTGTTTCAAGACTGCTCTGTGTAAAGGATCGTTCAACTCTGTGAGTTGAATACACACAACACAAGGAAGTTACTGAGAATTCTTCTGTCTAGCAGAATATGAAGAAATCCCGTTTCCAACGAAGGCCACAAGATGTCAGAATATCCACTTACAGACATTACAAACAGAGTGTTTCCTAACTGCTCTATGAACAGAAAGGTTAAACTCTGTGAGTTGAACGAACTCATCACAACGCAGTTTGTGAGAATGATTCTGTCTAGTTTTGAAACGAAGATATTTCCTTTTCTGTTATTGACCTTAAAGCGCTTGAAATCTACACTTGCAAATTGCACAAATAGAGTGTTTCAAATCTGCTCTGTCTAAGGGAACGTTCAACTCTGTGAGTTGAATGCACAGAACACAAGGAAGTTACTGGGAATTCTTCTGTCTAGCCTTACATGAAAAAAACCCGTTTCCAACGAAGGCCTTTAAGTGGTCAAAATATCCACGTGCAGACTTTACAAACAGAGTGTTTCCAAACGGCTGAATGAAAAGAAAAGTTAAACTGTGAGAGTTGAACGCACACATCACACAGCAGTTTCTGAGAATGATTCTGTCTAGTTTTCATAGGAAGATATTTCCTTTTCTGCCTTTGGCCCCAAAGCGCTTGAAATCTCCACTTGCAAATTCCACAAAAACAGTGTTTCAAATCTGCTCTCTCTAAATGAAAGTTCAACTCTGTCAGTTGAATACACACAACACAAGGAAGTTACTGAGAATTCTTCTGTCTAGCAGAATATGAAGAAATCCCGTTTCCAACGAAGGTCACAAGGAGGTGTGAATATCCACTTGCAGACTTTACAAACAGAGTGTTTCCTAACGGCTCTATGAACAGAAAGGTTAAACTCTGTGAGTTGAACGCACACATCACAAAAGAGTTTCTGAGAATCATTCTGTCTAGTTTTTATACGAAGATATTTCCTTTTCTACCATTGACCTCAAAGTGGCTGAAATCTCCACTTGCAAATTCCACAACAAGAGTGTTTCAAGTATGCTCTGTGTAAAGGATCGTTCAACTACTGTGAGTTGAATACACACAACACAAGGAAGTTACTGAGAATTCTTCTGTCTAGCAGAATATGAAGAAATCCCGTTTCCAATGAAGGCCACAAGATGTCAGAATATCCACTTACAGACTTTACAAACAGAGTGTTTCCTAACTGCTCTATGAACAGAAAGGTTAAACTCTGTGAGTTGAACGAACACATCACAACGCAGTTTGTGAGAATGATTCTGTCTAGTTTTGAAACGAAGATAATTCCTTTTCTACCATTGACCTCAAAGCGGCTGAAATCTCCACTTGCAAATTCCACCAAAAGAGTGTTTCAAATCTGCTCTGTGTAAACCATCATTCAACTCTGTGTGTTGAATACACACAACACAAGGAAGATTCTGACAATTCTTCTGTCTAGCCTTACAGGAAAAAAACCCGTTTCCAACGAAGGCCTCTAAGTGGTCAAAATATCCACGTGCAGACTTTACAAACAGAGTGTTTCCAAACTGCTGAATGAAAAGAAAAGTTAAACTCTGAGAGTTGAACGCACACATCGCAGAGCAGTTTCTGAGAGTGATTCTGTCTAGTTTTGAAACGAAGATATTTCCTTTTCTGCCTTTGGCCTCAAAGCGCTTGAAATCTCCACTTGCAAATGCCACAAAAAGAGTGTTTCAAATCTGCTCTGTGTAAATGAAAGTTCAACTCTGTGAGTTGAACACACACAACACAAGGAAGTTACTGGGAATTCTTCTGTCTAGCATAATATGAAGAAATCCCGTTTCCAAAGAAGGCCTCAAGGAGGTCGGAATATCCACTTGCAGACTTTACAAACAGAGTGTTTCCTAACTGCTCTATGAAAAGAAAGGTTAAACTCTGTGAGTTGAACGCACACATCACAAAGGAGTTTCTGAGAATCATTCTGTCTAGTTTTTATATGAAGATATTTCCTTTTCTACCATTGACCTCAAAGCGGCTGAAATCTCCACTTGCAAATTCCACAAAAAGAGTGTTTCAAATCTGCTCTGTGTAAACCATCGTTCAACTCTGTGAGTTGAATACACACAACACAAGGAAGATTCTGAGAATTCTTCTGTCTAGCAGAATATGAAGAAATCCCGTTTCCAACGAAGGCCACAAGGATGTCAGAATATCCACTTACAGAATTTACAAACAGACTGTTTCCTAACTGCTCTATGAAAAGAAAGGTTAAACTCTGTGAGTTGAACGAACACATCACAACGCAGTTTGTGGGAATGATTCTGTCTAGTTTTAAAACGAAGATATTTCCTTTTCTGCCATTGACCTTAAAGCGCTTGAAATCTACACTTGCAAATTGCACAAATAGAGTGTTTCAAATCTGCTCTGTCTAAGGGAACGTTCAACTCTGTGAGTTGAATGCACACAACACAAGGAAGTTACTGGTAATTCTTCTGTCTAGCCTTACATGAAAAAAACCCGTTTCCACGAAGGCCTCTAAGTGGTCAAAATTTCCACGTGCAGACTTTACAAACAGAGTGTTTCCAAACCGCTGAATGAAAAGAAAAGTTAAACTCTGAGAGTTGAACGCACACATCACACAGCAGTTTCTGAGAATGATTCTGTCTAGTTTCTATAGGAAGATATTTCCTATTCTACCATTGACCTCAAAGCGGCTGAAATCTCCACTTGCAAATTCCACAAAAAGAGTGTTTCCAGTCTGCTCTGTGTAAAGGATCGTTCAACTCTGTGAGTTGAATACACACAACACAAGGAAGTTACTGAGAATTCTTTTGTCTAGCATAATATGAAGAAATCCCGTTTCCAACGAAGGCCTCAAGGAGGTCTGAATATCCACTTGCACACATTACAAACAGAGTGTTTCCTAACTGCTCTATGAAAAGAAAGGTTAAACTCTGTGAGTTGAACGCACACATCACAAAGGAGTTTCTCAGAATCATTCTGTCTAGTTTTTATAGGAAGATATTTCCTTTTCTACCTTTGACTTCAAAGCGGCTGAAATCTCCACTTGCAAATTCCACAAAAAGAGTGTTACAAGTCTCCTCTGTGTAAAGGATCGTTCAACTCTGTGAGTTGAATACACACAACACAAGGAAGTTACTGAGAATTCTTCTGTCTAGCAGAATATGAAGAAAACCCGTTTCCAACGAAGGCCACAAGATGTCAGAATATCCACTTACAGACTTTACAAACAGAGTGTTTCCTAACTGCTCTATGAACAGAAAGGTTAAACTCTGTGTGTTGAACGCACACATCACAAAGGAGTTTATGAGAATCATTCTGTCTAGTTTTGAAACGAAGATATTTCCTTTTCTGCCATTGACCTTAAAGCGCTTGAAATCTCCATTTGCCAGTTGCACAAAAAGAGTGTTTCAAATCTGCTCTGTCTAAGGGAACGTTCAACTCTGTGAGTTGAATGTACACAACACAAGGAAGTTACTGGGAATTCTTCTGTCTAGCCTTACAGGAAAAAAACCCGTTTCCAACGAAGGCCTCTAAGTGGTCAAAATATCCACGTGCAGACTTTACAACCAGAGTGTTTCCAAACTGCTGAATGAAAAGAAAAGTTAAACTCTGAGAGTTGAACGCACACATCGCAGAGCAGTTTCTGAGAATGATTCTGTCTAGTTTTTATAAGAAGATATTTCCTTTTCTGCCTTTGGCCTCAAAGCGCTTGAAATCTCCATTTGCAAATTATACAAAAAGAGTGTTTCAAATCTGCTCTGTGTAAATGAAAGTTCAACTCTGTGAGTTGAACACACACAACACAAGGAAGTTACTGGGAATTCTTCTGTCTAGCATAATATGAAGAAATCCCGTTTCCAACGAAGACCTCAAGGGAGGTCTGAATATCCACTTGCAGACTTTACAAACAGAGTGTTTCCTAACTGCTCTATGAAAAGAAAGGTTAAACTGTGTGAGTTGAACGCACACATCACAAAGGAGTTTCTGAGAATCATTCTGTCTAGTTTTTATAGGAAGATATTTCCTTTTCTACCTTTGACTTCAAAGCGGCTGAAATCTCCACTTGCAAATTCCACAAAAAGAGTGTTACAAGTCTGCTCTATGTAAAGGATCGTTCAACTCTGTGAGTTGAATACACACAACACAAGGAAGTTACTGAGAATTCTTCTGTCTAGCAGAATATGAAGAAATCCCGTTTCCAACGAAGGCCTCAAGGAGGTCTGAATATCCACTTGCAGACTTTACAAACAGAGTGTTTCCTAACTGCTCTATGAACAGAAAGCTTAAACTCTGTGAGTTGAACGAACACATCACAAAGCAGTTTGTGGGAATGATTCTGTCTAGTTTTGAAACTAAGATATTTCCTTTTCTGCCATTGACCTTAAAGCGCTTCAAATCTACACTTGCAAATTGCACAAATAGAGTGTTTCAAATCTGCTCTGTCTAAGGGAACGTTCAACTCTGTGAGTTGAATGCACACAACACAAGGAAGTTACTGGGAATTCTTCTGTCTAGCCTTACATGAAAAAAACCCGTTTCCAACGAAGGCCTCTAAGTGGTCAAATTATCCACGTGCAGACTTTACAAACAGAGTGTTTCCAAACTGCTGAATGAAAAGCAAAGTTAAACTCTGAGAGTTGAACGCACACATCGCAGAGCAGTTTCTGAGAATGATTCTGTCTAGTTTTTATACGAAGATATTTCCTTTTCTGCCTTTGGCCCCAAAGCTCTTGAAATCTCCACTTGCAAATTCCACAAAAACAGTGTTACAAATCTGCTCTCTCTAAATGAAAGTTCAACTCTGTCAGTTGAATACACACAACACAAGGAAGTTACTGAGAATTCTTCTGTCTAGCATAGTATGAAGAAATCCCGTTTCCAACTAAGGCCTCAAAGAGGTCTGAATATCGACTTGCAGAGTTTACAAACAGAGTGTTTCCTAACTGCTCTATGAAAAGAAAGGTTAAACTCTGTGAGTTGAACGCACACATCACAAAGAAGTTTCTGAGAATCATTCTGTGTACTTTCTATAGGAAGATATTTCCTATTCTACCTTTGAACTCAAAGCGGCTGAAATCTCCACTTGCAAATTCCACAAAAAGAGTGTTTCAAGTCTGCTCTGTGTAAAGGATCGTTCAACTCTGTGAGTTGAATACACACAACACAAGGAAGTTCCTGAGAATTCCTCTGTGTAGCATAATATGAAGAAATCCCGTTTCCAACGAAGGCCTCAAAGAGGTCTGAATATCCACTTGCAGACTTTACAAACAGAGTGTTTCCTAACTGCTCTATGAACAGAAAGGTTAAACTCTGTGAGTTGAACGAACACATCACAACGCAGTTTGTGGGAATGATTCTGTCTAGTTTTGAAACGAAGATATTTCCTTTTCTGCCATTGACCTTAAAGCGCTTGAAATCTCCACTTGCCAATTGCACAAAAAGAGTGTTTCAAATCTGCTCTGTCTAAGGGAACGTTCAACTCTGTGAGTTGAATGTACACAACGCAAGGAAGTTACTGGGAATTCTTCTGTCTAGCATAATATGAAGAAATCCCGTTTCCAACGAAGGCCTCAAAGAGGTCTGAGTATCCACTTGCAGACTTTACAAACAGAGTGTTTCCTAACTGCTCTATGAAAAGAAAGGTTAAACTCTGTGAGTTGAACGCACACATCACAAAGGAGTTTCTGAGAATCATTCTCTCTAGTTTCCATAGGAATATATTTCCTATTCTACCATTGATCTCAAAGCGGCTGAATTCTCCACTTGCCAATTCCACCAAAAGAGCGTTTCAAGTCTGCTCTGTGTAAAGGATCGTTCAACTCTGTGAGTTGAATACACAGAATAGAAGGAAGTTACTGAGAATTCTTCTGTCTAGCATAATATGAAGAAATCCCGTTTCCAACGAAGGCCTCAAGGAGGTCTGAATATCCACTTGCAGACTTTACAAACACAGTGTTTCCTAACTGCTCTATGAAAAGAAAGGTTAAACTCTGTGAGCTGAACGCACACATCACAAAGGAGTTTCTGAGAATCATTCTGTCTACTTTCTATAGGAAGATATTTCCTATTCTACCATTGACCTCAAAGCGGCTGAAATCTCCACTTGCAAATTCCACAAAAAGAGTGTTTCAAGTCTGCTCTGTGTAAAGGATCGTTCAACTCTGTGAGTTGAATACACACAACACAAGGAAGTTATTGAGAATTCTTCTGTCTAGCTTAATATGAAGAAATCCCGTTTCCAACGAAGGCCTCAAAGAGGTCTGAATATTCACTTGCAGACTTTACAAACAGAGTGTTTCCTAACTGCTCTATGAAAAGAAAGGTTAAACTCTGTGAGTTGAACGCACACATCACAAAGGAGTTTCTGAGAATCATTCTGTCTAGTTTTTATATGAAGATATTTCCTTTTCTACCATTGACCTCAAAGCGGCTGAAATCTCCACTTACAAATTCCACAAAAAGAGTGTCTCAAGTCTGCTCTGTGTAAACGATCGTTCAAATCTGTGAGTTGAATACACACAACACAAGGAAGTTACTGAGAATTCTTCTTTCTAGCAGAATATGAAGAAATCCCGTTTCCAACGAAAGCCTCAAGGATGTCTGAATATCCACTTGCAGACTTTACAAACAGAGTGTTTCCTAACTGCTCTATGAAATGAAAGGTTAAACTCTGTGAGTTGAACGCACACATCACAAAGGAGTTTCTGAGAATCATTCTGTCTAGTTTTTATACGAAGATATTTCCTTTTCTGCCTTTGGCCCCAAAGCGCTTGAAATCTCCACTTGCAAATTCCACAAAAACAGTGTTTCAAATCTGCTCTCTCCAAATGAAAGTTCAACTCTGTGAGTTGAATACACACAACACAAGGAAGTTACTGAGAATTCTTCTGTCTAGCATAATATGAAGAAATCCCGTTTCCAACGAAGGCCTCAAGGAGGTCTGAATATCCACCTGCAGACTTTACAAACAGAGTGTTTCCTAACTGCTCTATGGAAAGAAAGGTTAAACTCTGTGAGTTGAACGCACACATCACAAAGGAGTTTCTGAGAATCATTCTGTCTAGTCTTTATACGAAGATATTTCCTTTTCTACCATTGACCTCAAAGCGGCTGAAATCTCCACTTGCAAATTCCACAAAAAGAGTGTTTCAAGTCTGCTCTGTGTAAAGGATCGTTCAACTCTGTGAGTTGAATACACACAACACAAGGAAGTTAGTGAGAATTCTTCTGTCTAGCAGAATATGAAGAAATCCCATTTCCAACGAAGGCCTCAAGGAGGTCTGAATATCCACTTGCAGACTTTACATACAGAGTGTTTCCTAACTGCTCTATGAAAAGAAAGGTTAAACTCTGTGAGTTGAACGCACACATCACAAAGGAGTTTCTGAGAATCATTCTGTCTAGTTTTGAAACGAAGATATTTCCTTTTCTGCCGTTGACCTTAAAGCGCTTGAAATCTACACTTGCAAATTGCACAAAGAGAGTGTTTCAAATCTGCTATGTCTAAGGGAACGTTCAACTCTGTGAGTTGAATGCACACAACACAAGGAAGTTACTGGGAATTCTTCTGTCTAGCCTTACATGAAAAAAACCCGTTTCCAACGAAGACCTCTAAGTGGTCAAATTATCCACGTGCAGACTTTACAAACAGAGTGTTTCCAAACTGCTGAATGAAAAGAAAAGTTAAACCCTGAGAGTTGAACGCACACATCGCAGAGCAGTTTCTGAGAATGATTCTGTCTAGTTTCTATAGGAAGATATTTCCTATTCTACCATTGAACTCACAGCGGCTGAAATCTCCACTTGCAAATTCCACAAAAAGAGTGTTTCAAGTCTTCTCTGTGTAAAGGATCGTTCAACTCTGTGAGTTGAATACACACAACACAAGGAAGTTACTGAGAATTCTTCTGTCTAGCAAAATATGAAGAAATCCCGTTTCCAACGAAGGCCTCAAGGAGGTCTGAATATCCACTTGCAGACTTTACAAACAGAGTGTTTCCTAACTGCTCTATGAAAAGAAAGGTTAAACTCTGTGAGTTGAACGCACACATCACAAAGGAGTTTCTGAGAATCATTCTGTCTACTTTCTATAGGAAGATATTTCCTATTCTACCATTGACCTCAAACCGGCTGAAATCTCCACTTGCAAATTCCACAAAAGGAGTGTTTCAAGTCTGCTCTGTGTAAAGGATCGTTCAACTCTGTGAGTTGAAAACACACAACACAAGGAAGTTTCTGAGAATTCTTCTGTCTAGCAGAACATGAAGAAATCCCGCTTCCAACGAAGGCCTCAAAGAAGTCTGAATATCCACTTGCAGACTTTACAAACAGAGTGTTTCCCAACTGCTCTATGAAAAGAAAGGTTGAACTCTCTGAGTTGAACGCACACATCACAAAGGAGTTTCTGAGAATCATTCTGTCTAGTTTTGAAACGAAGATATTTCCTTTTCTGCCGTTGACCTTAAAGCGCTTGAAATCTACACTTGCAAATTGCACAAATAGAGTGTTTCAAATCTGCTCTGTCTAAAGGAACGTTCAACTCTGTGAGTTGAATGCACACAACACAAGGAAGTTACTGGGAATTCTTCTGTCTAGCCTTACATGAAAAAAACCCGTTTCCAACGAAGGCCTCTAAGTGGTCAAAATATCCACGTGCAGACTTTACAAACAGAGTGTTTCCAAACCGCTGAATGAAAAGAAAAGTTAAACTCTGAGAGTTGAACGCACACATCATGCAGCAGTTTCTGAGAATGATTCTGTCTAGTTTTGAAACGAAGATATTTCCTTTTCTGCCTTTGGCCTCAAAGCGCTTGACATCTCCAATTGCAAATTCCACAAAAAGAGTGTTTCAAATCTGCTCTGTGTAAATGAAAGTTCAACTCTGTGAGTTGAACACACACAACACAAGGAAGTTACTGGGAATTCTTCTGTCTAGCCTTATATGAAAAAACCCGTTTCCAACGAAGGCCTCAAAGAGGTCTGAATATCCACTTGCAGACTTTACAAACAGAGTGTTTCCTAACTGCTCTATGAAAAGAAAGGTTAAACTCTGTGAGTTGAACGCACACATCACAAAGGAGATTCTGAGAATCATTCTGTCTAGTTTTTCTACGAAGATATTTCCTTTTCTACTATTGACCTCAAAGCGGCTGAAATCTCCACTTGCAAATTCCACAAAAAGAGTGTTTCAAGTCTGCTCTCTGTAGAAGGATCGTTCAACTCTGAGAGTTGAATACACACAACACAAGGAAGTTACTGAGAATTATTCTGTCTAGTAGAATATGGAGAAATCCAGTTTCCAACGAAGGGCCACAAGATGTCAGAATATCCACTTACAGACTTTACAAACAGAGTGTTTCCTAACTGCTCTATGAACAGAAAGGTTAAACTCTGTGAGTTGAACGAACACATCACAACGCAGTTTGTGGGAATGATTCTGTCTAGTTTTGAAACGAAGATATTTCCTTTTCTGCCATTGACCTTAAAGCGCTTGAAATCTACACTTACAAATTGCACAAATAGAGTGTTTCAAATCTGCTCTGTCTAAGGGAACGTTCAACTCTGTGAGTTGAATGCACACAACACAAGGAAGTTACTGGGAATTCTTCTGTCTAGCCTTACATGAAAAAAACCCGTTTCCAACGAAGGCCTCTAAGTGGTCAAGTTATCCACGTGCAGACTTTACAAACAGAGTGTTTCCAAACTGCTGAATGAAAAGAAAAGTTAAACTCTGAGAGTTGAACGCACACATCGCAGAGCAGTTTCTGAGAATGATTCTGTCTAGTTTCTATAGGAAGAAATTTCCTATTCTACCATTGACCTCAAAGCGGCTGAAATCTCCACTTGCAAATTCCACAAAAAGAGTGTTTCAAGTCTGCTCTGTGTAAAGGATCGTTCAACTCTGTGAGTTGAATACACACAACACAAGGCAGTTACTGAGAATTCTTCTGTCTAGCAGAATATGAAGAAATCCCGCTTCCAACGAAGGCCTCAAAGAAGTCTGAATATCCACTTGCAGACTTTACAAACAGAGTGTTTCCAAACTGCTCTATGAAAAGAAAGGTTGAACTCTGTGAGTTGAACGCACACATCACAAAGGAGTTTCTGAGAATCATTCTGTCTAGTTTTTATAGGAAGATATTTCCTTTTCTACCTTTGACTTCAAAGCGGCTGAAATCTCCACTTGCAAATTCCACAAAAAGAGTGTTACAAGTCTGCTCTGTGTAAATGATCGTTCAACTCTGTGAGTTGAATACACACAACACAAGGAAGTTACTGAGAATTCTTCTGTCTAGCAGAATATGAAGAAATCCCATTTCCAACGAAGGCCACAAGATGTCAGAATATCCACTTACAGAATTCACAAACAGACTGTTTCCTAACTGCTCTATGAAAAGAAAGGTTAAACTCTGTGAGTTGAACGAACACATCACAACGCAGTTTGTGGGAATGATTCTGTCTAGTTTTGAAACGAAGATATTTCCTTTTCTGCCATTGACCTTAAAGCGCTTGAAATCTCCACTTGCAAATTGCACAAAAACAGTGTTTCAAATCTGCTCTGTCTAAGGGAACGTTCAACTCTGTGAGTTGAATGCACACAACAAAAGGAAGTTACTGGGAATTCTTCTGTCTAGCCTTACATGAAAAAAACGCGTTTCCAACTAACGCCTCTAAGTGGTCAAAATATCCACGTGCAGACTTTACAAACAGAGTGTTTCCAAACTGCTGAATGAAAAGAAAAGTTCAACTCTGAGAGTTGAACGCACACATCACAGAGCAGTTTCTGAGAATGATTCTGTCTAGTTTTTATACGAAGATATTTCCTTTTCTGCCTTTGGCCTCAAAGCGCTTGAAATCCCCACTTGCAAATTCCACAAAAAGAGTGTTTCAAATCTGCTCTGTGTAAATCAAAGTTCAACTCTGTGAGTTGAACACACACAACACAAGGAAGTTACTGGGAATTCTTCTCTCTAGCAGAATATGAAGAAATCCCCTTTCCAACGAAGGCCTCAAAGAGGTCTGAATATCCACTTGCAGACTTTACAAACAGAGTGTTTCCTAACTGCTCTATGAAAAGAAAGGTTAAACTCTGTGAGTTGAACGCACACATCACAAAGGAGTTTCTGAGAATCATTCTGTCTAGTTTTTATACGAAGATATTTCCTTTTCTACCATTGACTTCAAAGCGGCTGAAATCTCCACTTGCAAATTACACAAAAAGAGTGTTTCAAGTCTACTCTGTGTAAAGCATCGTTCAACTCTGTGAGTTGAAAACACACAACACAAGGAAGTTTCTGAGAATTCTTGTGTCTACCAGAACATGAAGAAATCCCGTTTCCAATGAAGGCCTCAAAGATGTCTGAATATCCACTTGCAGACTTTACAAACAGAGTGTTTCCTAACTGCTCTATGAAAAGAAAGGTTAAACTCTGTGAGTTGAACGCACACATCACAAAGGAGTTTCTGAGAATCATTCTGTCTAGTTTTGAAACGAAGATATTTCCTTTTCTGCCGTTGACCTTAAAGCGCTTGAAATCTACACTTGCAAATTGCACAAATAGAGTGTTTCAAATCTGCTCTGTCTGAGGGAACGTTCAACTCTGTGAGTTGAATGCACAGAACACAAGGAAGTTACTGGGAATTCTTCTGTCTAGCCTTACATGAAAAAAACCCGTGTCCAACGAAGGCCTCTAAGTAGTCAAATTATCCACGTGCAGACTTTACAAACAGAGTGTTTTCAAACTGCTGAATGAAAAGAAAAGTTAAACTCTGAGAGTTGAACGCACACATCGCAGAGCAGTTTCTGAGAATGATTCTGTCAAGTTTTTATACCGAAGATATTTCCTTTTCTGCCTTTGGCCTCAAAGCGCTTGAAATCTCCATTTGCAAATTCCACAAAAAGAGTGTTTCAAATCTGCTCTGTGTAAATGAAAGTTCAACTCTGTGAGTTGAAGACACACAACACAAGGAAGTTACTGGGAATTCTTCTGTCTAGCAGAATATGAAGAAATCCTGCTTCCAACGAAGGCCTCAAAGAAGTCTGAATATCCACTTGCAGACTTTACAAACAGAGTGTTTCCCAACTGCTCTATGAAAAGAAAGGTTGAACTCTGTGAGTTGAACGCACACATCACAAAGGAGTTTCTGAGAATCATTCTGTCTAGTTTCTATAGGAAGATATTTCCTATTCTACCATTGAACTCAAAGTGGCTGAAATCTCCACTTGCAAATTCCACAAAAAGAGTGTTTCAAGTCTGCTCTGTGTAAAGGATCGTTCAACTCTGTGAGTTGAATACACACAACACAAGGAAGTTACTGAGAATTCTTCTGTCTAGCAGAATATGAAGAAATCCCGTTTCCAACAAAGGCCACAAGATGTCAGAATATCCACTTGCAGAGTTCACAAACAGAGTGTTTCCTAACTGCTCTATGAAAAGAAAGGTTAAACTCTGTGAGTTGAACGAACACATCACAACGCAGTTTGTGGGAATGATTCTGTCTAGTTTTGAAACGAAGATATTTCCTTTTTTGCCATTGACCTTAAAGCGCTTGAAATCTCCACTTGCCAATTGCACAAAAAGAGTGTTTCAAATCTGCTCTGTCTAAGGGAACGTTCAACTCTGTGAGTTGAATGTACACAACACAAGGAAGTTACTGGGAATTCTTCTGTCTAGCCTTACATGAAAAAAAACCGTTTCCATCGAAGGCCTCTACGTGATCAAATTATCCACGTGCAGACTTTACAAACAGAGTGTTTCCAAACTGCTGAATGAAAAGAAAAGTTAAACTCTGAGAGTTGAACGCACACATCGCAGAGCAGTTTCTGAGAATGATTCTGTCTAGTTTTTATATGAAGATATTTCCTTTTCTGCCTTTGGCCTCAAAGTGCTTGAAATCTCCATTTGCAAATTCCACAAAAAGAGTGTTTCAAATCTGCTCTGTGTAAATGAAAGTTCAACTCTGTGAGTTCAACATACACAACACAAGGAAGTTACTGGGAATTCTTCTGTCTAGCATAATATGAAGAAATCCCGTTTCCAACGAAGGCCTCAAAGAGGTCTGAATATCCACTTGCAGACTTTACAAACAGAGTGTTTCCTAACTGCTCTATGAAAAGAAAGGTTGAACTCTGTGAGTTGAACGCACACATCACAAAGCAGTTTCTGAGAATCATTCTGTCTAGTTTTTCTACGAAGATATTTCCTTTTCTACCATTGACCTCAAAATGGCTGAAATCTCCACTTGCAAATTCCACAAAAAGAGTGTTTCAAGTCTGCTCTGTGTAAAGGATCGTTCAACTCTGTGAGTTGAATACACAGAACACAAGGTAGTTACTGAGAATTCTTCTGTCTAGCAGAATATGAAGAAATCCCGTTTGCAACGAAGGCCACAAGATGTCAGAATATCCACTTACAGACTTTACAAACAGCGTGTTTCCTAACTGCTCTATGAACAGAAAGGTTAAACTCTGTGAGTTGAACGAACACATCACAACGCAGCTTGTGGGAATGATTCTGTCTAGTTTTGAAACGAAGATATTTCCTTTTCTGCCATTGACCTTAAAGCGCTTGAAATCTACACTTGCAAATTGCACAAATAGAGTGTTTCAAATCTGCTCTGTCTAAGGGAACGTTCAACTCTGTGAGTTGAATGCACACAACACAAGGAAGTTACTGGGAAATTCTTCTGTCTAGCCTTACGTTAAAAAAACCCGTTTCCAACGAAGGCCTCTAAGTGGTCAAGTTATCCACGTGCAGACTTTACAAACAGAGTGTTTCCAAACTGCTGAATGAAAAGAAAAGTTAAACTCTGAGAGTTGAACGCACACATCGCAGAGCAGTTTCTGAGAATGATTCTGTCTAGTTTTTATAGGAAGATATTTCCTTTTCTGCCTTTGGCCTCAAAGCGCTTGAAATCTCCATTTGCAAATTCCACAAAAAGAGAGTTTCAAATCTGCTCTGTGTAAATGAGAGTTCATCTGTGTGACTTGAACACACACAACAAAAGGAAGTTACTGGGAATTCTTCTGTCTAGCCTTATATGAAAAAAACCCGTTTCCAAAGAAGGCCTCTAAGTGGTCAAATTATCCACGTGCAGACTTTACAAACAGAGTGTTTCCAAACTGCTGAATGAAAAGAAAAGTTAAACTCTGAGAGTTGAACGCACACATCGCAGAGCAGTTTCTGAGAATGATTCTGTCTAGTTTTTATACGAAGATATTTCCTTTTCTGCCTTTGGCCTCAAAGCGCTTGAAACCTCCATTTGCAAATTCCACAAAAAGAGTGTTTCAAATCTGCCCTGTGTAAATGAAAGTTCAACTCTGTGAGTTGAACACACACAACACAAGGAAGTTACTGGGAATTCTTCTGTCTAGCATAGTATGAAGAAATCCCGTTTCCAACGAAGGCCTCAAAGAGGTCTGAATATCCACTTGCAGAGTTTACCAACAGAGTGTTTCCTAACTGCTCTATGAAAAGAAAGGTTAAACTCTGTGAGTTGAACGCACACATCACAAAGAAGTTTCTGAGAATCATTGTGTCTAGTTTCTATAAGAAGATATTTCCTATTCTACCTTTGACCTCAAAGCGGCTGAAATCTCCACTTGCAAATTCGACAAAAAGAGTGTTTCAAGCCTGCTCTCTGTAAAGGATCCTTCAACTCTGTGAGTTGAATACACACAACACAAGGAAGTTACTGAGAATTATTCTGTCTAGCATAATATGAAGAAATCCCGTTTCCAACGAAGACCTCAAAGAGGTCTGAATATCCACTTGCAGACTTTACAAACAGAGTGTTTCCTAACTGCTCTATGAGAAGAAAAGTTAAACTCTGTGAGTTGAACGCACACATCACAAAAGATTCTCTGAGAATCATTCTGTCTAGTTTTGAAACCAAGATATTTCCTTTTCTGCCGTTGACCTTAAAGAGCTTGAAAACTACACTTGCAAATTGCACAAATAGAGTGTTTCAAATCTGCTCTGTCTAAGGGAACGTTCAACTCTGTGAGTTGAATGCACACAACACAAGGAAGTTACTGGGAATTCTTCTGTCTAGCCTTACATGAAAAAAACCCGTTTCCAACGAAGGCCTCTAAGTGGTCAAAATATCCACGTGCAGACTTTACAAACAGAGTGTTTCCAAACCGCTGAATGAAAAGAAAAGTTAAACGCTGAGAGTTGAACGCACACATCACGCAGCAGTTTCTGAGAATGATTCTGTCTAGTTTTTATACGAAGATATTTCCTTTTCTGCCTTTGGCCTCAAAGCGCTTGAAATCTCCACTTGCAAATTCCACAAAAAGAGTGTTTCAAATCTGCTCTGTGTAAATGAAAGTTCAAATCTGTGAGTTGAACACACACAACACAAGGAAGTTACTGGGAATTCTTCTGTCTAGCATAGTATGAAGAAATCCCGTTTCCAACGAAGGCCTCAAAGAGGTCTGAATATCCACTTGCAGAATTTACAAACAGAGTGTTTCCTAACTGCTCTATGAAAAGAAAGGTTAAACTCTGTGAGTTGAACGCACACATCACAAAGAAGTTTCTGAGAATCATTCTGTCTAGTTTTTATACGAAGACATTTCCTTTTCTACCATGGACCTCAAAGCGGCTGAAATCTCCACTTGCAAATTCCACAAAAAGAGTGTTTCAAGTCTGCTCTGTGTAAAGGATCGTTCAACTCTGTGAGTTGAATACACACAACACAAGGAAGATTCTGAGAATTCTTCTGTCTAGCAGAATATGAAGAAATCCCGTTTCCAACGAAGGCCTCAAGGAGGTCTGAATATCCACTTGCAAACTTTACAAACAGAGTGTTTCCTAACTGCTCTATTAACAGAAAGGTTAAACTCTGTGAGTTGAACGAACACATCACAACGCAGTTTGTGGGAATGATTCTGTCTAGTTTTGAAACGAAGATATTTCCTTTTCTGCCATTGACCTTAAAGCGCTTGAAATCTCCATTTGCCAATTGCACAAAAAGAGTGTTTCAAATCTGCTCTGTCTAAGGGAACGTTCAAATCTGTGAGTTGAATGTACACAACACAAGGAAGTTACTGGGAATTCCTTCTGTCTAGCCTTACATGAAAAAAACCCGTTTCCAACGAAGGCCTCTAAGTGGTCAAAATATCCACGTGCAGACTTTACAAACAGAGTGTTTCCAAACCGCTGAATGAAAAGAAAAGTTAAACTCTGAGTGTTGGACGCACACATCACGCAGCAGTTTCTGAGAATGATTCTGTCTAGTTTTGAAACGAAGATATTTCCTTTTCTGCCTTTGGCCTCAAAGCGCTTGAAATCTCCACTTGCAAATTCCACAAAAAGAGTGTTTCAAATCTGCTCTGGGTAAATGAAAGTTCAACTCTGTCAGTTGAACACACACAACACAAGGAAGTTACTGGGAATTCTTCTTTCTAGCAGAATATGAAGAAATCCCGTTTCCAACGAAAGCCTCAAGGATGTCTGAATATCCACTTGCAGACTTTACAAACAGAGTGTTTCCTAACTGCTCGATGAAAAGAAAGGTTAAACTCTGTGACTTGAACGCACACATCACAAAGGAGTTTCTGAGAATCATTCTGCCTAGTTTTTCTACGAAGATATTTCCTTTTCTACTATTGACCTCAAAGCGGCTGAAATCTCCACTTGCAAATTCCACAAAAAGAGTGTTTCAAGTCTGCTCTGTGTAAAGGATCGTTCAACTCTGTGAGTTGAATACACACAACACAAGGAAGTTACTGAGAATTCTTCTGTCTAGCAGAATATGAAGAAATCCCGTTTCCAACGAAGGCCTCAAAGAGGTCTGAATATCCACTTGCAGACTTTACAAACAGAGTGTTTCCTAACTGCTCTAGTGAAAAGAAAGGTTAAACTCTGTGAGTTGAACGCACACATCACAAAGGAATTTCTGAGAATCATTCTGTCTAGTTTCTATAGGAAGATATTTCCTATTCTACCATTGACCTCAAAGCGGCTGAAATCTCCACTTGCAAATTCCACAAAAAGAGTGTTTCAAGTCTGCTCTCTGTAAAGGATCGTTCAACTCTGTGAGTTGAATACACACAACACAAGGGAGTTACTGAGAATTCTTCTGTCTAGCCTTACAAGAAAAAAACCCGTTTCCAACGAAGGCCTCTAAATGGTCAAAATATCCACGTGCAGACTTTACAAACAGAGTGTTTCCAAACTGCTGAATGAAAAGAAAAGTTAAACTCTGAGAGTTGAACGCACACATCGCAGAGCAGTTTCTGAGAATGATTCTGTCTAGTTTTGAAACGAAGACATTTCCTTTTCTGCCTTTGGCCTCAAAACGCTTGAAATCTCCACTTGCAAATTCCACAAAAAGAGTGTTTCAAATCTGCTCTGGGTAAATGAAAGTTCAACTCTGTGAGTTGAACACACACAACACAAGGAAGTTACTGGGAATTCTTCTGTCTAGCACAGTATGAAGAAATCCCGTTTCCAACGAAGGCCTCAGAGAGGTCTGAATATCCACTTGCAGACTTTACAAACAGAGTGTTTCCTAACTGCTCTATGAAAAGAAAGGTTAAACTCTGTGAGTTGAACGCACACATCACAAAGGAGTTTCTGAGAATCATTCTGTCTAGTTTTTATAGGAAGATATTCCCTTTTCTACCTTTGACTTCAAAGCGGCTGAAATCTCCACTTGCAAATTCCACAAAAAGAGTGTTACAAGTCTGCTCTGTGTAAAGGATCGGTCAACTCTGTGAGTTGAATACACACAACACAAGGAAGTTACTGAGAATTCTTCTGTCTAGCACAGTAAGAAGAAATCCCGTTTCCAACGAAGGCCTCAAAGAGGTCTGAATATCCACTTGCAGAGTTTAAAAACACAGTGTTTCCTAACTGCTCTATGAAAAGAAAGGTTAAACTCTGTGAGTTGAACGCACACATCACAAAGAAGTTTCTGAGAATCATTCTGTCTAGTTTTTATAGGAAGATATTTCCTTTTCTACCTTTGACTTCAAAGCGGCTGAAATCTCCACTTGCAAATTCCACAAAAAGAGTGATACAAGTCTGCTCTGTGTAAAGGATCGTTCAACTCTGTGAGTTGAATACACACAACACAAGGAAGTTACTGAGAAATCTTCTGTCTATCCTTACATGAAAAAAACCCGTTTCCAACGAAGGCCTCTAAGTGGTCAAATTATCCACGTACAGACTTTACAAACAGAGTGTTTCCAAACTGCTGAATGAAAAGAAAAGTTAAACTCTTAGAGTTGAACGAACACATCGCAGAGCAGTTTCTGAGAATGATTCTGTCTAGTTTTTATACGAAGATATTTCCTTTTCTACCATTGACCTCAAAGCGCTTGAAATCTCCACTTGCAAATTCCACAAAAAGAGTGTTTCAAATCTGCTCTGTGTAAATGAAAGTTCAACTCTGTGAGTTGAACACACACAACACAAGGAAGTTACTGGGAATTCTTCTTTCTGGCAGAATATGAAGAAATCCCGTTTCCAACGAAAGCCTCAAGGATGTCTGAATATCCACTTGCAGACTTTACAAACAGAGTGTTTCCTAACTGCTCTATGAAAAGAAAGGGTAAACTCTGTGAGTTGAACGCACACATCACAAAGGAGTTTCTAAGAATCATTCTGTCTAGTTTTTATACGAAGATGTCTCCTTTTCTACCATTGACCTCAAAGCGGCTGAAATCTCCACTTGCAAATTCCACAAAAAGAGTGTTTCAAGTCTGCTCTGTGTAAAGGATCGTTCAACTCTGTGAGTTGAATACACACAACACAAGGAAGTTACTGAGAATTCTTCTGTCTAGGAGAATATGAAGAAATCCCGTTTCCAACGAAGGCCACAAGATGTCAGAATATCCACTTACAGAATTGACAAACAGACTGTTTCCTAACTGCTCTATGAAAAGAAAGGTTAAACTCTGTGAGTTGAACGAACACATCACAACGCAGTTTGTGGGAAGATTCTGTCTAGTTTTGAAACGAAGATATTTCCTTTTCTCCCATTGACCTTAAAGCGCTTGAAATCTCCACTTGCCAATTGCACAAAAAGAGTGTTTCAAATATGCTCTGTCTAAGGGAACGTTCAACTCTGTGAGTTGAATGTACACAACACAAGGGAAGTTACTGGGAATTCTTCTGTCTAGCCTTACATGAAAAAACCCGTTTCCAACGAAGACCTCTAAGTGGTCAAATTATCCACGTGCAGACTTTACAAACAGAGTGTTTCCAAACTGCTGAATGAAAAGAAAAGTTAAACTCTGAGAGTTGAACGCACACATCGCAGAGCAGTTTCTGAGAATGATTCTGTCTAGTTTTTCTACGAAGATATTTCCTTTTCTGCCTTTGGCCTCAAAGCGCTTGAAATCTCCACTTGCAAATTCCACAAAAAGAGTGTTTCAAGTCTGCTCTGTGTAAAGGATCGTTCAACTCTGTGAGTTGAATACACACAACACAAGGAAGATTCTGAGAATTCTTCTGTCTAGCATAATATGAAGAAATCCCGTTTCCAACGAAGGCCTCAAAGGGGTCTGAATATCCACTTGCAGACTTTATAAACAGAGTGTTTACTAACTGCTCTATGAAAAGAAAAGTTAAACTCTGTGTGTTGAACGCACACATCACAAAGGAGTTTCTGAGAATCATTCTGTCTAGTTTTTCCACGAAGATATTTCCTTTTCTACTACTGACCTCAAAGCGGCTGAAATCTCCACTTGCAAATTCTACAAATAGAGTGTTTCAAGTCTGCTCTGTGTAAAGGATCGTTCAACTCTGTGAGTTCAATACACACAACACAAGGAAGTTACTGAGAATTCTTCTGTCTAGCAGAATATGAAGAAATCTCGTTTCCAACGAAGGCCACAAGATGTCAGAATATCCACTTACAGAATTTTCAAACGGACTGTTTCCTAACTGCTCTATGAAAAGAAAGGTTAAACTCTGTGAGTTGAACGAACACATCACAACGCAGTTTGTGGGAATGAATCTGTCTAGTTTTTATAGGAAGTTATTTCCTTTTCTAACTTTGACTTCAAAGCGGCTGAAATCTCCACTTGCAAATTCCACAAAAAGAGTGTTACAAGTCCGCTCTGTGTAAAGGATCGTTCAACTCTGTGAGTTGAATACACACAACACAAGGAAGTTACTGGGAATTCTTCTGTCTAGCCTTACATGAAAAAAACAAACGAAGGCCTCTAAGTGGTCAAAATTTCCACGTGCAGACTTTACAAAGAGAGTGTTTCCAAACCGCTGAATGAAAAGAAAAGTTAAACTCTGAGAGTTGAACCCACACATCACGCAGTAGTTCCTGAGAATGATTCTGTCTAGTTTTGAAACGAAGATATTTCCTTTTCTACCATTGACCTCAACGCGGCTGAAATCTCCATTTGCAAATTCCACAAAAAGAGTGTTTCAAATCTGCTCTGGGTAAATGAAAGTTCAACTCTGTGAGTTGAACACACACAACACAAGGAAGTTACTGGGAATTCTTCTGTCTAGCCTTATATGAAAAAAACCCGTTTCCAACGAAGGCCTCAAAGAGGTCTGAACATCCACTTGCAGACTTTACAAACAGAGTGTTTCCTAACTTCTCTATGAAAAGAAAGGTTAAACTGTGTGAGTTGAACGCACACATCACAAAGGAGTTTCTGAGAATCATTCTGTCCAGTTTTTATACGAAGATATTTCCTTTTCTACCATTGACATCAACGCGGCTGAAATCTCCAGTTGCAAATTCCACAAAAAGAGTGTTTCAAGTCTGCTCTGTGTAAAGGATCGTTCAACTCTCTGAGTTGAAAACACACAACACAAGGAAGTTACTGAGAATTCTTCTGTCTAGCAGAATATGAAGAAATCCCGTTTCCAACGAAGGCCACAAGATGTCAGAATATCCACTTACAGAATTTACAAACAGAATGTTTCCTAACTGCTCTATGAAAAGAAAGGTTAAACTCTGTGAGTTGAACGAACACATCACAACGCAGTTTGTGGGAATGATTCTGTCTAGTTTTGAAACGAAGATATTTCCTTTTCTGCCATTGACCTTAAAGCGCTTGAAATCTACGCTTGCAAATTGCACAAATAGAGTGTTTCAAATCTGCTCTGTCTAAGGGAACGTTCAACTCTGTGAGTTGAGTGCACACAACACAAGGAAGTTACTGGGAATTCTTCTGTCTAGCCTTACAGGAAAAAAACCCGTTTCCAACGAAGGCCTCTAAGAGGTCAAGTTATCCACGTGCAGACTTTACAAACAGAGTGTTTCCAAACTGCTGAATGAAAAGAAAAGTTAAACTCTGAGAGTTGAACGCACACATCGCAGAGCAGTTTCTGAGAATGATTCTGTCTAGTTTATATACGAAGATATTTCCTTTTCTGCCTTTGGCCCCAAAGCGCTTGAAATCTCCACTTGCAAATTCCACAAAAACAGTGTTTCAAATCTGCTCACTCTAAATGAAAGTTCAACTCTGTCAGTTGAATACACACAACACAAGGAAGTTACTGAGAATTCTTCTTTCTAGCAGAATATGAAGAAATCCCGTTTCCAACGAAAGCCTCAAGGATGTCAGAATATCCACTTGCAGACTTTACAAACAGAGTGTTTCCCAACTGCGCTATGAAAAGAAAGGTTAAACTCTGTGAGTTGAACGCACACATCACAAAGGAGTTTCTGAGAATCATTCTATCTAGTCTTTATACGAAGATATTTCCTTTTCTACCGTTGACCTCAAAGCGGCCGAAATCTCCACTTGCAAATTCCACAAAAAGAGTGTTTCAAGACTGCTCTGTGTAAAGGATCGTTCAACTCTGTGAGTTGAATACACACAACACAAGGAAGTTACTGAGAATTCTTCTGTCTAGCATAATATGAAGAAATCCCGTTTCCAACGAAGGCCACAAGATGTCAGAATATCCACTTACAGACTTTACAAACAGAGTGTTTCCTAACTGCTCTATGAACAGAAAGGTTAAACTCTGTGAGTTGAACGAACACATCACAACGCAGTTTGTGGGAATCATTTCTGTCTAGTTTTGAAACGAAGATATTTCCTTTTCTGCCATTGACCTTAAAGCGCTTGAAATCTACGCTTGCAAATTGCACAAATAGAGTGTTTCAAATCTGCTCTGTCTAAGAGAACGTTCAACTCTGTGAGTTGAATGCACACAACACAAAGAAGTTACTGGGAATTCTTCTGTCTAGCCTTACATGAAAAAAACCCGTTTCCAACGAAGGCCTCTAAGTGGTCAAAATTTCCACGTGCAGACTTTACAAACAGAGTGTTTCCAAACCGCTGAATGAAAAGAAAAGTTAAACTCTGAGAGTTGAACGCACACATCACGAAGCAGGTTCTGAGAATGATTTCTGTCTAGTTTTTATACGAAGATATTTCCTTTTCTGCCTTTGGCCTCAAAGCGCTTGAAATCTCCACTTGCAAATTCCACAAAAAGAGTGTTTCAAATCTGCTCTGTGTAAATGAAAGTTCATCTCTGTGAGTTGAACACACACAACACAAGGAAGTTACTTGGAATTCTTCTGTCTAGCAGAATATGAAGAAATCCCGTTTCCAACGAAGGCCTCAAAGAGGTCTGAATATCCACTTGAAGACTTTACAAACAGAGTGTTTCCTAACTGCTCTATGAAAAGAAAAGTTAAACTCTGTGAGTTGAACGCACACATCACAAAGGAGTTCCTGAGAATCATTCTGTCTAGTCTTTATACGAAGATATTTCCTTTTCTACCATTGACTCAAAGCGGCAGAAATCTCCCCTTGCCAATTCCACAAAAAGAGTGTTTCAACTCTTCTCTGTGTAAAGGATCGTTCAACTCTGTGAGTTGAATACACACAACACAAGGAAGTTACTGAGAATTCTTCTGTCTAGCAGAATAGGAAGAAATCCCGTTTCCAACGAAGGCCACAAGATATCAGAATATCCACTTACAGACTTTACAAACAGAGTGTTTCCTAACTGCTCTATGAACAGAAAGGTTAAACTCTGTGAGTTGAACGAACACATCACAACGCAGTTTGTGGGAATGATTCTGTCTAGTTTTGAAACGAAGATATTTCCTTTTCTGCCATTGACCTTAAAGCGCTTGAAATCTACACTTGCAAATTGCACAAATAGAGTGTTTCAAATCTGCTCTGTCTAAGGGAACGTTCAACTGTGTGAGTTGAATGCACACAACACAAGGAAGTTACTGGGAATTCTTCTGTCTAGCGTTACATGAAAAAAACCCGTTTCCAACGAAGACCTCTAAGTGGTCAAATTATCCACGTGCAGAGTTTACAAACAGAGTGTTTCCAAACTGCTGAATGAAAAGAAAAGTTAAACTCTGAGAGTTGAACGCACACATCGCAGAGCAGTTTCTGAGAATGATTCTGTCTAGTTTTTATACGAAGGATATTTCCTTTTCTGCCTTTGGCCTCAAAGCGCTTGAAATCTCCATTTGCAAATTCCACAAAAAGAGTGTTTCAAATCTGCTCTGTGTAAATGAAAGTTCAACTCTGTGAGTTGAACACACACAACACATGGAAGTTACTGGGAATTCTTCTGTCTAGCAGAATATGAAGAAATCCCGCTTCCAACGAAGCCCTCAAAGAAGTCTGAATATCCACTTGCAGACTTTACAAACAGAGTGTTTCCCAACTGCTCTATGAAAAGAAAGGTTGAACTCTGTGAGTTGAACGCACACATCACAAAGGAGTTTCTGAGAATCATTCTGTCTAGTCTTTATACGAAGATATTTACTTTTCTACCATTGACCTCAAAGCGGCTGAAATCTCCACTTGCAAATTCGACAAAAAGAGTGTTTCAAGCCTGCTCTCTGTAAAGGATCCTTCAACTCTGTGAGTTGAATACACACAACACAAGGAAGTTACTGAGAATTATTCTGCCTAGCAGAATATGAAGAAATCCCGTTTCCAACGAAGGCCACAAGATGTCAGAATATCCACTTACAGAATTTTCAAACAGACTGTTTCCTAACTGCTCTATGAAAAGAAAGGTTAAACTCTGTGAGTTGAACGAACACATCACAACGCAGTTTGTGGGAGTGATTCTGTCTAATTTTGAAACGAAGATATTTCCTTTTCTGCCATTGACCTTAATGCGCTTGAAATCTACACTTGCAAATTGCACAAATAGAGTGTTTCAAATCTGCTCTGTCTAAGGGAACGTTCAACTCTGTGAGTTGAATGCACACAACACAAGGAAGTTACTGGGAATTCTTCTGTCTAGCCTTACATGAAAAAAACCCGTTTCCAACGAAGGCCTCTAAGTGGTCAAATTATCCACGTGCAGACTTTACAAACAGAGTGTTTCCAAACTGCTGAATGAAAAGAAAAGTTAAACTTCTGAGAGTTCAACGCACACATCGCAGAGCAGTTTCTGAGAATGATTCTGTCTAGTTTTTATACGAAGATATTTCCTTTTCTGCCTTTGGCCTCACAGCGCTTGAAATCTCCACTTGCAAATTCCACAAAAAGAGTGTTTCAAATCTGCTCTGTGTAAATGAAAGTTCAACTCTGTGAGTTGAACACACACAACACAAGGAAAGTTACTGGGAATTCTTCTGTCTAGCATAATATGAAGAAATCCCGTTTCCAACGAAGGCCTCAAAGAGGTCTGAATATCCACTTGCAGACTTTTCAAACAGAGTGTTTCCTAACTGCTCTATGAAAAGAAAGGTTAAACTCTGTGGGTTGAACGCACACATCACAAAAGATTTTCTGAGAATCATTCTGTCTATTCTTTATATGAAGACAGTTTCCTTTTCTACCATTGACCTCAAAGCGGCTGAAATCTCCACTTGCAAATTCCACAAAAAGAGTGTTTCAAGTCTGCTCTGTGTAAAGGATCATTCAACTCTGTGAGTTGAATACACACAACACAAGGAAGTTACTGAGAATTCTTCTGTCTAGCAGAATTTGAGGAAATCCCGTTTCCAACGAAAGCCTCAAAGAGGTCTGAATATCCACTTGCAGACTTTACAAACAGAGGGTTTCCTAACTGCTCTATGAACAGAAAGGTTAAACTCTGTGAGTTGAACGAACACATCACAACGCAGCTTGTGGGAATGATTCTGTCTAGTTTTGAAACGAAGATATTTCCTTTTCTGCCATTGACCTTAAAGCGCTTGAAATCTCCATTTGCCAATTGCACAAAAAGAGTACTTCAAATCTGCTCTGTCTAAGGGAACGTTCAACTCTGTGAGTTGAATGTACACAACACAAGGTAGTTACTGGGAATTCTTCTGTCTAGCCTTACATGAAAAAATCCCGTTTCCAACGAAGGCCTCTAAGTGGTCAAAATTTCCACGTGCAGACTTTAAAAACAGAGTGTTTCCAAACCGCTGAATGAAAAGAAAAGTTAAACTCTGAGAGTTGAACGCACACATCACGCAGCAGTTTCTGAGAATGATTCTGTCTAGTTTTTATAAGAAGATATTTCCTTTTCTGCCTTTGGCCTCAAAGCGCTTGAAATCTCCACTTGCAAATTCCACAAAAAGAGTGTTTCCAATCTGCTCTGTGTAAATGAAAGTTCAACTCTATTAGTTGAACACACACAACACAAGGAAGTTACTGGGAATTCTTCTGTCTAGCATAATATGAAGAAATCCCGTTTAAAACGAAGGCCTCAAAGAGGTCTGAATATCCACTTGCAGACTTTACAAACAGAGTGTTTCCTAACTGCTCTATGAAAAGAAAGGTTAAACTCTGTGAGTTGAACGCACACATCACGAAGGAGTTTATGAGAATCATTCTGTCTACTCTTTATACGAAGATATTTCCTTTTCTACCATTGACCTCAAAGCGGCTGAAATCTCCACAAGCAAATTCCACAAAAAGAGTGTTTCAAGTCTGCTCTGTGTAAAGGATCGTTCAACTCTGTGAGTTGAATACACACAACACAAGGAAGTTACTGAGAATTCTTCTGTCTAGCAGAATATGAAGAAATCCCGTTTCCAACGAAGGCCACAAGATGTCAGAATATCCACTTTCATACTTTACAAACAGAGTGTTTCCTAACTGCTCTATGAACAGAAAGGTTAAACTCTGTGGGTTGAACGAACACATCACAACGCAGTTTGTGGGAATGATTCTGTCTAGTTTTGAAACGAAGAATATTTCCTTTTCTGCCATTGACCTTAAAGCGCTTGAAATCTCCATTTGCCAATTGCACAAAAAGAGTGTTTCAAATCTGCTCTGTCTAAGGGAACGTTCAACTCTGTGAGTTGAATGTACACAACACAAGGAAGTTACTGGGAATTCTTCTGTCTAGCCTTACAGGAAAAAAACCCGTTTCAAACGAAGGCCTCTAAGTGGTCAAAATATCCACGTGCAGACTTTACAAACAGAGTGTTTCCAAACTGCTGAATGAAAAGAAAAGTTAAACTCTGAGAGTTGAACGCACACATCGCAGAGCAGTTTCTGAGAAAGATTCTGTCTAGTTTTTATACGAAGATATTTCCTTTTCTGCCTTTGGCCCCAAAGCGCTTGAAATCTCCACTTGCAAATTCCACAAAAACAGTGTTTCAAATCTGCTCTCTCTAAATGAAAGTTCAACTCTGTCAGTTGAATACACACAACACAAGGAAGTTACTGAGAATTCTCTGTCTAGCCTTATATGAAAAAATCCCGTTTCCAACGAAGGCCTCAAAGAGGTCTGAATATCCACTTGCAGACCTTACAAACAGAGTGTTTCCTAACTGCTCTATGAAAAGAAAGGTTAAACTCTGTGAGTTGAACCCACACATCACAAAGGAGTTTCTGAGAATCATTCTGTCCAGTTTCTATAGGAAGATATTTCCTATTCTACCATTGACGTCAAAGCGGCTGAAATCTCCACTTGCAAATTCCACAAAAAGAATGTTTCAAGTCTGCTCTGTGTAAAGGATCGTTCAACTCTGTGAGTTGAATACACACAACACAAGGAAGTTACTGAGAATTCTTCTGTCTAGCAGAATATGAAGAAATCCCGTTTCCAACGAAGGCCTCAAAGAGGTCTGAATATCCACTTGCAGTCTTTACAAACAGAGTGTTTCCTAACTGCTCTATGAAAAGAAAGGTTAAACTCTGTGAGTTGAACGCACACATCACAAAGGAGTTTCTGAGAATCATTCTGTCTAGTTTTGAAACGAAGATATTTCCTTTTCTGCCACTGACCATAAAGCGCTTGAAATCTACACTTGCAAATTGCACAAATAGAGTGTTTCAATTCTGCTCTGTCTAAGGAAACGTTCAACTCTGTGAGTTGAATGCACACAACACAAGGAAGTTACTGGGAATTCTTCTGTCTAGCCTTACATGAAAAAAACCCGTTTCCAACGAAGGCCTCTAAGTGGTCAAATTATCCACGTGCTGACTTTACAAACAGAGTGTTTCCAAACTGCTGAATGAAAAGAAAAGTTAAACTCTGAGAGTTGAACGCACACATCGCAGAGCAGTTTCTGAGAATGATTCTGTCTAGTTTTGAAAGGAAGATATTTCCTTTTCTGCCTTTGGCCTCAAAGCGCTTGAAATCTCCACTTGCAAATTCCACAAAAAGAGTGTTTCAAATCTGCTCTGTGTAAATGGAAGTTCAACTCTGTGAGTTGAACACACACAACACAAGGAAGTTACTGGGAATTCTTCTGTCTAGCATAATATGAAGAAATCCCGTTTCCAACGAAGGCCTCAAAGAGGTCTGAATATCCACTTGCACACTTTACAAACAGAGTGTTTCCTAACTGCTCTATGAGAAGAAAAGTTAAACTCTGTGAGTTGAACGCACACACACAAAAGATTTTCTGAGAATCATTCTGTCTAGTTTCTATACGAAGATATTTCCCTTTCTACCATTGACTTCAAATCGGCTGAAATCTCCACTTGCAAATTCCACAAAAAGAGTGTTTCAAGTCTGCTCTGTGTAAAGGATCGTTCTACTCTGTGAGTTGAATACACACAACACAAGGAAGTTTCTGAGAATTCTTCTGTCTAGCAGAATATGAAGAAATCCCGTTTCCAACGAAGGCCACAAGATGTCAGAATATCCACTTACAGAATTGACAAACAGACTGTTTCCTAACTGCTCTATGAAAAGAAAGGTTAAACTCTTGTGAGTTGAACGAACACATCACAACGCAGTTTGTGGGAATGATTCTGTCTAGTTTTGAAACGAAGATATTTCCTTTTCTGCCATTGACCTTAAAGCGCTAGAAATCTCCACTTGCCAATTGCACAAAAAGAGTGTTTCAAATCAGCTCTGTCTAAGGGAACGTTCAACTCTGTGAGTTGAATGTACACAACACAAGGGAAGTTACTGGGAATTCTTCTGTCTAGCCTTACAGGAAAAAAACCCGTTTCCAACGAAGGCCTCTAAGTGGTCAAAATATCCACGTGCAGACTTTACAAACAGAGTGTTTCCACACTGCTGAATGAAAAGAAAAGTTAAACTGCTGAGAGTTGAACGCACACATCGCAGAGCAGTTTCTGAGAATGATTCTGTCTAGTTTTTATACGAAGATATATCCTTTTGTGCCTTGGCCTCAAAGCGCTTGAAATCTCCACTTGCAAATTCCACAAAAAGAGTGTTTCAAATCTGCTCTGTGTAAATGAAAGTTCAACTCTGTGAGTTGAACACACACAACACAAGGAAGTTACTGGGAATTCTTCTGTCTAGCAGAATAGGAAGAAATCCCGTTTCCAAAGAAGACCTCAAAGAGGTCTGAATATCCACTTGCAGACTTTACAAACAGAGTGTTTCCTAACTGCTCTATGAAAAGAAAGGTTAAACTCTGTGAGTTGAACGCACACATCACAAAGGAGTTTCTGAGAATCGTTCTGTCTAGTTTCTGTAGGAAGATATTTCCTATTCTACCTTTGACCTCAAAGCGGCTGAAATCTCCACTTGCAAATTCCACAAAAAGAGTGTTTCAAGTCTGCTCTCTGTAAAGGATCGTTCAACTCTGTGAGTTGAATACACACAACACAAGGAAGTTACTGAGAATTATTCTTTCTAGCAGAATATGAAGAAATCCCGTTTCCAACGAAAGCCTCAAGGATGTCTGAATATCCACATGCAGACTTTACAAACAGAGTGTTTCCCAACTGCTCTATGAAAAGAAAGGTTAAACTCTGTGAGTTGAACGCACACATCACAAAGGAGTTTCTGAGAATCATTCTGTCTAGTTTCTATAGGAAGATATTTCCTATTCTACCATTGACACTCAAAGCGGCTGAAATCTCCACTTCCAAATTCCACAAAAAGAGTGTTTCAAGTCTGCTCTGTGTAAAGGATCGTTCAACTCTGTGAGTTGAATACACACAACACAAGGAAGTTACTGAGAATTCTTCTGTCTAGCCTTACATGAAAAAAACCCGTTTCCAACGAAGGCCTCTAAGTGGTCAAATTATCCACGTGCAGACTTTACAAACAGAGTGTTTCCAAACTGCTGAATGAAAAGAAAAGTTAAACTCTGAGAGTTGAACGCACACATCGCACAGCAGTTTCTGAGAATGATTCTGTCTCGTTTTTATACGAAGATATTTCCTTTTCTGCCTTTGGCCTCAAAGCTCTTGAAATCTCCCTTTGCAAATTCCACAAAAAGAGTGTTTCCAATCTGCTCTGTGTAAATGAAAGTTCAACTCTGTGAGTTGAACACACACAAGGAAGTTACTGGGAATTCTTCTGTCTAGCCTTATATGAAAAAAACCCGTTTCCAACGAAGGCCTCAAAGAGGTCTGAATATCCACTTGCAGACTTTACAAACAGAGTGTTTCCAAACTGCTCTATGAAAAGAAAGGTTAAACTCTGTGAGTTGAACACACACATCACAAAGGAGTTTCTGAGAATCATTCTGTCTAGTTTCTATACGAAGATATTTCATTTTCTACCATTAACCTCAAAGAGGCTGAAATCTCCGCTTGCAAATTCCACAAAAAGAGTGTTTCAAATCTGCCCTGTGTAAAGGATCGTTCAACTCTGTGAGTTGAATGCACACAACACAAGGAAGTTACTGAGAATTCTTCTGTCTAGCAGAATATGAAGAAATCCCGTTTCCAACGAAGGCCTCAAAGAGGTCTGAATATCCACTTGCAGACTTTACAAACAGAGTGTTTCCTAACTGCTCTATGAAAAGAACGGTTAAACTCTGTGAGTTGAACTCACACATCACAAAGGAGTTTCTGAGAATCATTCTGTCTAGTTTTGAAACGAAGATATTTCCTTTTCTCGCCATTGACCTTAAAGCGCTTGAAATCTACACTTGCAAATTGCACAAATATAGTGTTTCAAATCTGCTCTGTCTAAGGGAACGTTCAACTCTGTGATGTTGAATGCACACAACACAAGGAAGTTACTGGGAATTCTTCTGTCTAGCAGAATATGAAGAAATCCCGTTTCCAACGAAGGCCTCAAAGACGTCTGAATATCCACTTGCAGACTTTACAAACAGAGTGTTTCCCAACTGCTCTATGAAAAGAAAGGTTAAACTCTGTGAGTTGAACGCACACATCACAAAGGAGTTTCTGAGAATCATTCTGTCTAGTTTCTATAGGAAGATATTTCCTATTCTACCATTGACCTCAAAGCGGCTGAAATCTCCACTTGCAAATTCCACAAAAAGAGTGTCTCAAGTCTGCTCTGTGTAAAGGATCGTTCAACTCTGTGAGTTGAATACACACAACACAAGGAAGTTACTGAGAATTCTTCTGTCTAGCATAATATGAAGAAAACCCGTTTCCAACGAAGGCCTCAAGGAGGTCTGAATATCCACTTGCAGACTTTACAAACAGAGTGTTTCCTAACTGCTCTATGAAAAGAAAGGTTAAACTCTGTGAGTTGAACGCACACATCACAAAGGAGTTTCTGAGAATCATTCTGTCTAGTTTCTATAGGAAGATATTTCCTATTCTACAATTGACCTCAAAGCGGACTGAAATCTCCACTTGCAAATTCCACAAGAAGAGTGTTTCAAGTCTGCTCTGTGTAAAGGATCGTTCAACTCTGTGAGTTGAATACACACAACACAAGGAAGTTACTGAGAATTCTTCTGTCTAGCAGAATATGAAGAAATCCCGTTTCCAACGAAGGCCACAAGATGTCAGAATATCCACTTACAGAATTGACAAACAGACTGTTTCCTAACTGCTCTATGAAAAGAAAGGTTAAACTCTGTGAGTTGAACGAACACATCACAACGCAGTTTGTGGGAATGATTCTGTCTAGTTTTGAAACGAAGATATTTCCTTTTCTGCCGTTGACCTTAAAGCGCTTGAAATCTACACTTGCAAATTGCACAAATAGAGTGTTTCAAATCTGCTCTGTCTAAGGGAACGTTCAACTCTGTGAGTTGAATGCACACAACACAAGGAAGTTACTGGGGAATTCTTCTGTTTAGCCTTACATGCAAAAAACCCGTTTCCAACGAAGGCCTCTAAGTGGTCAAAATATCCACGTGCAGACGTTACAAACAGAGTGTTTCCAAACGGCTGAATGAAAAGAAAAGTTAAACTCTGAGAGTTGAACGCACACATCACGCAGCAGTTTCTGAGAATGATTCTGTCTAGTTTTTATACGAAGATATTACCTTTTCTGCCTTTGGCCCCAAAGCGCTTGAAATCTCCACTTGCAAATTCCACACAAACAGTGTTTCAAATCTGCTCTCTCTAAATGAAAGTTCAACTCTGTCAGTTGAATACACACAACACAAGGAAGTTACTGAGAATTATTCTGTCTAGCAGAATATGAAGAAATCCCGTTTCCAACGAAGGCCTCAAAGAGGTCTGAATATCCACTTTCAGACTTTACAGAGTGTTTCCTAACTGCTCTATGAAAAGAAAGGTTAAACTCTGTGAGTTGAACACACACATCACAAAGGAGTTTCTGAGAATCATTCTGTCTAGTCTTTATACGAAGATATTTCCTTTTCTCCCATTGACCTCAAAGCGGCTGAAATCTCCACTTGCAAATTCCACAAAAAGAGTGTTTCAAGTGTGCTCTGTGTAAAGGATCGTTCAACTCTGTGAGTTGAATACACACAACACAAGGAAGTTACTGAGAATTCTTCTGTCTAGCAGAATATGAAGAAATCCCGTTTCCAACGAAGGCCTCAAAGAGGTCTGAATATCCACTTGAAGAGTTTACAAACAGAGTGTTTCCTAACTGCTCTATGAAAATAAACGTTAAACTCTGTGAGTTGAACGAACACATCACAACGAAGTTTGTGGGAATGATTCTGTCTAGTTTTGAAACGAAGATATTTCCTTTTCTGCCGTTGACCTTAAAGCGCTTGAAATCTACACTTGCAAATTGGACAAATAGAGTGTTTCAAATCTGCTCTGTCTAAGGGAACGTTCAACTCTGTGAGTTGAATGCACACAACACAAGGAAGTTACTGGGAATTCTTCTGTCTAGCCTTACAGGAAAAAAACCCGTTTCCAACGAAGGCCTCTAAGTGGTCAAGTTATCCACGTGCAGACTTTACAAACAGAGTGTTTCCAAACTGCTGAATGAAAAGAAAAGTTAAACTCTGAGAGTTGAACGCACACATCGCAGAGCAGTTTCTGAGAATGATTCTCTCTAGTTTTTATACGAAGATATTTCCTTTTCTACCATTGACCTCAAAGTGGCTGAAATCTCCACTTGCAAAATCCACAAAAATATTGTTTCTAATCTGCTCTGTGTAAAGGATCTTTCAACTCTGTGAGATGAATGCACACAACACAAGGAAGTTACTGAGAATTCTTCTGTCTAGCATAATATGAAGAAATCCCGTTTCCAACGAAGGCCTCTAAGAGGTCTGAATATCCAATTGCAGACTTTACAAACAGAGTGTTTCCTAACTACTCTATGAAAAGAAAGGTTAAACTCTGTGAGTTGAACACACACATCACAAAGGAGTTTCTGAGAATCATTCTGTCTAGTTTTTATACGAAGATATTTCCTTTTCTACCATTGACCTCAAAGCGGCTGAAATCTCCACATGCAAATTCCACAAAAAGAGTGTTTCTAATCTGCTCTGTGTAAAGGATCGTTCAACTCTGTGAGTTGAAAGCACACAACAAAAGGAAGTTACTGAGAATTGTTCTGTCTAGCAGAATATGAAGAAATCCCGTTTCCAACGAAGGCCACAAGATGTCAGAATATCCACTTACAGAATTTACAAACAGACTGTTTCCTAACTGCTCTATGAAAAGAAAGGTTAAACTTCTGTGAGTTGAACGAACACATCACAACGCAGTTTGTGGGAATGATTTCTGTCTAATTTTGAAACGAAGATATTTCCTTTTCTGCCATTGACCTTAATGCGCTTGAAATCTACACTTGCAAATTGCACAAATAGAGTGTTTCAAATCTGCTCTGTCTAAGGGAACGTTCAACTCTGTGAGTTGAATGCACACAACACAAGGAAGTTACTGGGAATTCTTCTGTCTAGCCTTACATGAAAAAAACCCGTTTCCAACGAAGGCCTCTAAGTGGTCAAATTATCCACGTGCAGACTTTACAAACAGAGTGTTTCCAAACTGCTGAATGAAAAGAAAAGTTAAACTCTGAGAGTTGAACGCACACATCACAGAGCAGTTTCTGAGAATGATTCTGTCTAGTTTTTATACGAAGATATTTCCTTTTCTGCCTTTGGCCCCAAAGCGCTTGAAATATCCACTTGCAAATTCCACAAAAACAGTGTTTCAAATCTGCTCTCTCTAAATGAAAGTTCAACTCTGTCAGTTGAATACACACAACACAAGGAAGTTACTGAGAATTCTTCTGTCTAGCCTTACATGAAAAAAACCCGTTTCCAACGAAGGCCTCAAAGAGGTCTGAATATCCACTTGCAGACTTTACAAACAGAGTGTTTCCTAACTGCTCTATGAAAAGAAAGGTTAAACTCTGTGAGTTGTACTCACACATCACAAAGGAGTTTCTGAGAATCATTCTGTCTAGTTTCTATAAGAAGATATTTCCTATTCTACCATTGACCTCAAAGCGGCTGAAATCTCCACTTGCAAATTCGACAAAAAGAGTGTTTCAAGCCTGCTCTCTGCAAAGGATCCTTCAACTCTGTGAGTTGAATACACACAACACAAGGAAGTTACTGAGAATTATTCTGTCTAGCATAATATGAAGAAATACCGTTTCCAACGAAGGCCTCAAAGAGGTCTGAATATCCACTTGCAGACTTTACACACAGAGTGTTTCCTAACTGCTCTATGAACAGAAAGGTTAAACTCTGTGAGTTGAACGAACACATCACAACGCAGTTTGTGGGAATGATTCTGTATAGTTTTGAAACGAAGATATTTCCTTTTCTGCCGTTGACCTTAAAGAGCTTGAAAACTACACTTGCAAATTGCACAAATAGAGTGTTTCAAATCTGCTCGGTCTAAGGGAACGTTCAACTCTGTGAGTTGAATGCACACAACACAAGGAAGTTACTGGGAATTCTTCTGTCTAGCCTTACATGAAAAAATCCCGTTTCCAACGAAGGTCTCTAAGTTGTCAAAATTTCCACGTGCAGACTTCACAAACAGAGTGTTTCCAAACCGCTGAATGAAAAGAAAAGTTAAACTCTGAGTGTTGATCGCACACATCACGCAGCAGTTTCTGAGAATGATTCTGTGTAGTTTTGAAACGAAGATATTTCCTTTTCTGCCTTTGGCCTCAAAGCGCTTGAAATCTCCACTTGCAAATTCCACAAAAAGAGTGTTTCAAATCTGCTCTGTGTAAATGAAAGTTCAACTCTGTGAGTTGAACACACACAACACAAGGAAGTTACTGGGAATTCTTCTGTCTAGCATAATATGAAGAAATCCCGTTTCCAACGAAGGCCTCAACGAGGTCTGAATATCCACTTGCAGACTTTACAACCAGAGTGTTTCCTAACTGCTCTATGAAAAGAAAGGTTAAACTCTGCGAGTTGAACGCACACATCACAAAGGAGTTTCTGAGAATCATTCAGTCTAGTTTTTATACGAAGATATTTCCTTTTCTACCATTGACCTCAAAGCGGCTGAAATCTCCACTGGCCAATTCAACAAAAAGAGTTTTTCAAGTCTACTCTGTGTAAAGGATCGTTGAACTCTGTGAGTTGAAAACACGCAACACCAGGAAGTTTCTGAGAATTCTTCTTTCTGGCAGAATATGAAGAAATCCCGTTTCCAACGAAAGCCTCAAGGATGTCTGAATATCCACTTGCAGACTTTACAAACAGAGTGTTTCCCAACTGCTCTATGAAAAGAAAGGTTGAACTCTGTGAGTTGAACGCACACATCACAAAGCAGTTTCTGAGAATCATTCTGTCTAGTTTTGAAACGAAGATATTTCCTTTTCTGCCGTTGACCATAAAGCGCTTGAAATCTACACTTGCAAATTGCACAAATAGAGTGTTTCAAATCTGCTCTGTCTAAGGGAACGTTCAACTCTGTGAGTTGAATGCACACAACACAAGGAAGTTACTGGGAATTCTTCTGTCTAGCCTTACATGAGAAAAACCCGTTTCCAACGAAGGCCTCTAAGTGGTCAAAATATCCACGTGCAGACTTTACAAACAGAGTGTTTCCAAACCGCTGAATGAAAAGAAAAGTTAAACTCTGAGAGTTGAACGCACACATCACGCCGCAGTTTCTGAGAATGATTCTGTCTAGTTTTTATACGAAGATATTTCCTTTTCTGCCTTTGGCCCCAAAGCTCTTGAAATCTCCACTTGCAAATTCCACAAAAACAGTGTTACAAATCTGCTCTCTCTAAATGAAAGTTCAACTCTGTCAGTTGAATACACACAACACAAGGAAGTTACTGAGAATTCTTCTGTCTAGAATTACATGAAAAAAAACCCGTTTCCAACGAAGGCCTCAAAGAGGTGGAAATATCCACTTGCAGACTTTACAAACAGAGTGTTTCCTAACTGCTCTATGAAAGGAAAGGTTAAACTCGGTGAGTTGAACACCCATATCAAAAAGGAGTTTCTGAGAATAATTCTGTCTAGTTTCTATAGGAAGATATTTCCTATTCTACCATTGACCTCAAAGCGGCTGAAATCTCCACTTGCAAATTCCACAAAAAGAGTGTTTCAAGACTGTTCTGTGTAAAGGATCATTCAACTCTGTGAGTTGAATACACACCACAAAAGGAAGTTACTGAGAATTCTTCTGTCTATCAGAATATGAAGAAATCCCGTTTCCAAAGAAGGCCTCAAGGAGGTCTGAATATCCACTTGCAGACTTTACAAACAGAGTGTTTCCTAACTGCTCTATGAAAAGAAAGGTTAAACTCTGTGAGTTGAACGCACACATCACAAAGGAGTTTCTGAAAATCATTCTGTCTAGTCTTTATACGAAGATAGTTTCCTTTTCTACCATTGACCTCAAGCGGCTGAAATCTCCACTTGCAAATTCCACAAAAAGAGTGTTTCAAGTCTGCTCTGTGTAAATGATCGTTCAACTCTGTGAGTTGAATACACACAACACAAGGAAGTTACTGAGAATTATTCTGTCTAGCATAATATGAAGAAATCCCGCTTCCAACGAAGGCCTCAAGGAGGTCTGAATATCCACTTGCAGACTTTACAAACAGAGTGTTTCCTAACTGCTCTATGAAAAGAAAGGTTAAACTCTGTGAGTTGAACGCACACATCACAAAGGAGTTTCTGAGAATCATTCTGTCTAGTTTTGAAACGAAGATATTTCCTTTTCTGCCATTGACCTCAAAGCGCTTGAAATCTCCACTTGCCAATTGCACAAAAAGAGTGTTTCAAATCTGCTCTGTCTAAGGGAACGTTCAACTCTGTGAGTTGAATGTACACAACACAAGGAAGTTACTGGGAATTCTTCTGTCTAGCCTTACATGAAAAAAACCCGTTTCCAACGAAGGCCTCTAAGTGGTCAAATTATTCACGTGCAGACGTTACAAACAGAGTGTTTCCAAACTGCTGAACGAAAAGAAAAGTTAAACTCTGAGAGTTGAACGCACACATCGCAGAGCAGTTTCTGAGAATGATTCTGTCTAGTTTTTATACGAAGATATTTCCTTTTCTGCATTTCGCCACAAAGCGCTTGAAATCTCCATTTGCAAATACCACAAAAAGAGTGTTTCAAACCTGCTCTGTGTAAATGAAAGTTCAACTCTGTGAGTTGAACACACACAACACAAGGAAGTTACTGGGAATTCTTCTGTCTAGCAGAATATGAAGAAATCCCGTTTCCAACGAAGGCCTCAAAGAGGTCTGAATATCCACTTGCAGACTTTACAAACAGAGTGTTTCCTAACTGCTCTATGAAAAGAAAGGTTAAACTCTGTGAGTTGAACGCACACATCACAAAGGAGTTTCCGAGAATCATTCTGTCTAGTTTTTATAGGAAGATATTTCCTTTTCTACCTTTGACTTCAAAGCGGCTGAAATCTCCACTTGCAAATTCCACAAAAAGAGTGTTACAAGTCTGCTCTGTGTAAAGGATCGTTCAACTCTGTGAGTTGAATACACACAACACAAGGAAGTTACTGGGAATTCTTCTGTCTAGCCTTATATGAAAAAAACCCGTTTCCAACGAAGGCCTCAAAGAGGTCTGAATATCCACTTGCAGAGTTTACAAACAGAGTGTTTCCTAACTGCTCTATGAAAAGAAAGGTTAAACTCTGTGAGTTGAATGCACACATCACAAAGAAGTTTCTGAGAATCATTCTGTCTAGTTTTGAAACGAAGATATTTCCTTTTCTGCCATTGACCTTAAAGCGCTTGAAATCTACACTTGCAAATTGCACAAATAGAGTGTTTCAAATCTGCTCTCTCTAAGGAACGTTCAACTCTATGAGTTGAATGCACACAACACAAGGAAGTTACTGGGAATTCTTCTGTCTAGCCTTACATGAAAAAAACCCGTTTCCAACGAAGGCCTCTAAGTGGTCAAATTATCCATGTGCAGACTTTACAAACAGAGTGTTTCCAAACTGCTGAATGAAAAGAAAAGTTAAACTCTGAGAGTTGAACGCACACATCGCAGAGCAGTTTCTGAGAATGATTCTGTCTAATTTTTATACGAAGATATTTCCATTTCTGCGTTTGGCCTCAAAGCGCTTGAAATCTCCATTTGCAAATTCCACAAAAAGAGTGTTTCAAATCTGCTCTGTGTAAATGAAAGTTCAACTCTGTGAGTTGAACACACACAACACAAGGAAGTTACTGGGAATTCTTCTGTCTAGCAGAATATGAAGAAATCCCGTTTTCAACGAAGGCCTCAAAGAGGTCTGAATATCCAATTGCAGACATTATAAACAGAGTGTTTCCTAACTGCTCTATGAAAAGAAAGGTTGAACTCTGTGAGTTGAACGCACACATCACAAAGGAGTTTCTGAGAATCATTCTGTCTAGTTTTTATAGGAAGATATTTCCTTTTCTACCATTGACCTCAAAGCGGCTGAAATCTCCACTTGCAAATTCCACAAAAAGAGTGTTTCAAGTCTGCTCTGTGTAAAGGATCGTTCAACTCTGTGAGTTGAATACACACAACACGCGGAAGTTACTGAGAATTCTTCTGTCTAGCATAGTATGTAGAAATCCCGTTTCCAACGAAGGCCTCAAAGAGGTCTGAATATCCACTTGCAGAGTTTACAAACAGAGTGTTTCCTAACTGCTCTATGAAAAGAAAGGTTAAACTCTGTGAGTTGAACGCACACATCACAAAGAATTTTCTGAGAATCATTCTGTCTAGTTTTGAAACGAAGATATTTCCTTTTCTGCCATTGACCTTAAAGCGCTTGAAATCTACACTTGCAAATTGCACAAATAGAGTGTTTCAAATCTTCTCTGTCTAAGGGAACGTTCATCTCTGTGAGTTGAATGCACACAACACAAGGAAGTTACTGGGAATGCTTCTGTCTAGCCTTACATGAAAAAAACTCGTTTCCAACGAAGGCCTCTAAGTGGTCAAAATATCCACGTGCAGACTTTACAAACAGAGTGTTTCCAAACCGCTGAATGAAAAGAAAAGTTAAACTCTGAGAGTTGAACGCACACATCACGCAGCAGTTTCTGAGAATGATTCTGTCTAGTTTTTATACGAAGATATTTCCTTTTCTGCCTTTGGCCCCAAAGCGCTTGAAATCTCCACTTGCAAATTCCACAAAAACAGTGTTTCAAATCTACTCTCTCTAAATGAAAGTTCAACTCTGTGAGTTGAATACACACAACACAAGGAAGTTACTGAGAATTCTTCTGTCTAGCCTTACATGAAAAAAACCCGTTTCCAACGAAGGCCTCAAAGAAGTCTCAATATCCACATGCAGACTTTACAAACAGAGTGTTTCCTAACTGCTCTATGAAAAGAAAGGTTAAACTCTGTGAGTTGAACGCACACATCACAAAGCAGTTTCTGAGAATCATTCTGACTAGTTTTTATAGGAAGATATTTCCTTTTCTACCTTTGACTTCAAAGCGGCTGAAATCTCCACTTGCAAATTCCACAAAAAGAGTGTTACAAGTCTGCTCTGTGTAAAGGATCGTTCAACTCTGTGAGTTGAATACACACAACACAAGGAAGTTACTGAGAATTCTTCTGTCTAGCATTATATGAAGAAATCCCGTTTCCAACGAAGGCCTCAAAGAGGTCTGAATATTCACTTGCAGACTTTACAAACAGAGTGTTGTCTAACTGCTCTATGAAAAGAAAAGTTAAACTCTGTGAGTTGAACGCACACATCACAAAGGAGTTTCTGAGAATCATTCTGTCTAGTCTTCATACGAAGATATTTCCTTTTCTACCATTGACCTCAAAGCGGCTGAAATCTCCACTTGCAAATTCCACAAAAAGAGTGTTTCAAGTCTGCTCTGTGTAAAGGATCGTTCAACTCTGTGAGTTGAATACACACAACACAAGGAAGTTACCGAGAATTCTTCTGTCTAGCAGAATATGAAGAAATCCCGTTTCCAACGATGGCCACAAGATGTCAGAATATCCACTTACAGACTTTAAAAACAGAGTGTTTCCTAACTGCTCTATGAACAGAAAGGTTAAACTCTGTGAGTTGAACGAACACATCACAACGCAGTTTGTGGGAATGATTCTGTCTAGTTTTGAAACGAAGATATTTCCTTTTCTGCCGTTGACCTTAAAGCGCTTGAAATCTACACTTGCAAATTGGACAAATAGAGTGTTTCAAATCTGCTCTGTCTAAGGGAACGTTCAACTCTGTGAGTTGAATGCACACAACACAAGGAAGTTACTGGGAATTCTTCTGTCTAGCAGAATATGAAGAAATCCCGTTTCCAACGAAGGACTCAAGGAGGTCTGAATATCCACTTGCAGACTTTACAAACACAGTGTTTCCTAACTGCTCTATGAACAGAAAGGTTAAACTCTGTGAGTTGAACGCACACATCACAAAGGAGTTTCTGAGAATCATTCTGTCTAGTTTCTATAGGAAGATATTTCCTATTCTACCATTGACCTCAAAGCGGCTGAAATCTCCACTTGCAAATTCCACAAAAAGAGTGTTTCAAGTCTGCTCTGTGTAAAGGGTCGTTCAACACTGTGAGTTGAATACACACAACACAAGGAGGTTACTGAGAATTCTTCTGTCTAGCAGAATATGAAGAAATCCCGCTTCCAACGAAGGCCTCAAAGAAGTCTGAATATCCACTTGCAGACTTTACAAACAGAGTGTTTCCCAACTGCTCTATTAAAAGAAAGGTTGAACTCTGTGAGTTGAACGCACACATCACAAAGGAGTTTCTGAGAATCATTCTGTCTAGTCTTCATACGAAGATATTTACTTTTCTACCATTGACCTCAAAGCGGCTGAAATCTCCACTTGCAAATTCCACAAAAAGAGTGTTTCAAGTCTGCTCTGTGTAAAGGAACATTCAACTCTGTGAGTTGAATACACACAACACAAGGAAGTTACTGAGAATTCTTCGGTCTAGCAGAATATGAAGAAATCCCGTTTCCAACGAAGGCCTCAAGGAGGTCTGAATATTCACTTGCAGACTTTACAAACAGAGTGTTTCCTAACTGCTCTATGAACAGAAAGGTTAAACTCTGTGAGTTGAACGAACACATCACAACGCAGTTTGTGGGAATGATTCTGTCTAGTTTTGAAACGAAGATATTTCCTTTTCTGCCATTGACTTTAAAGCGCTTGAAATCTACACTTGCAAATTGCACAAATAGAGTGTTTCAAATCTCCTCTGTCTAAGGGAACGTTCAACTCTGTGAGTTGAATGCACACAACACAAGGAAGTTACTGGGAATTCTTCTGTCTAGCCTTATATGAAAAAAAACCCGTTTCCAACGAAGGCCTCTAAGTGGTCAAAATATCCACGTGCAGACTTTACAAACAGAGTGTTTCCAAACCGCTGAATGAAAAGAAAAGTTAAACTCTGAGAGTTGAACGCACACATCACGCAGCAGTTTCTGAGAATGATTCTGTCTAGTTTTTATACGAAGATATTTCCTTTTCTACTATTGACCTCAAAGCGGCTGAAATCTCCACTTGCAAATTCCACAAAAAGAGTGTTTGAAGTCTGCTCTCTGTAAAGGATCGTTCAACTCTGTGAGTTGAATACACACAACACAAGGAAGTGACTGAGAATTCTTCTGTCTAGCAGAATAGGAAGAAATCCCGTTTCCAACGAAGGCCTCAAAGAGGTCTGAATATCCACTTGCAGACTTTACAAACAGAGTGTTTCTTAACGGCTCTATGAAAAGAAAAGTTAAACTCTGTGAGTTGAACGCACACATCACAAAGGAGTTTCTGAGAATCGTTCTGTCTAGTTTCTATAGGAAGATATTTCCTATTCTACCATTGACCTCAAAGCGGCTGAAATCTCCACTTGCAAATTCCACAAAAAGAATGTTTCAAGTCTGCTCTGTGTAAAGGATCGTTCAACTCTGTGAGTTGACTACACACAACACAAGGAAGTTACTGAGAATTCTTCTGTCTAGCAGAATATGAAGAAATCCCGTTTCCAACGAAGGCCTCAAGGAGGTCTGAATATCCACTTGCAGACTTTACAAACAGAGTGTTTCCTAACTGCTCTATGAACAGAAAGGTTAAACTCTGTGAGCTGAACGCACACATCACAAAGGAGTTTCTGAGAATCATTCTGTCTAGTTTTTATACGAAGATATTTCCTTTTCTACCATTGACCTCAAAGCGGCTGAAATCTCCACTTGCAAATTCCACAAAAAGAGTGCTTCAAGTCTGCTCTGTGTAAACGATCGTTCAACTCTGTGAGTTGAATACACACAACACAAGGAAGTTTCTGAGAATTCTTCTGTCTGGCAGAATATGAAGAAATCCCGTTTCCAACGAAAGCCTCAAAGATGTCTGAATATCCACTTGCAGACTTTACAAACAGAGTGTTTCCTAACTGCTCTATGAAAAGAAAGGTTAAACTCTGTGAGTTGAACGCACACAGCACAAAGGAGTTTCTGAGAATCATTCTGTCTAGTTTAGAAACGAAGATATTTCCTTTTCTGCCATTGACCTTAAAGCGCTTGAAATCTCCACTTGCCAATTGCACAAAAAGAGTGTTTCAAATCTGCTCTGTCTAAGGGAACGTTCAACTCTGTGAGTTGAATGTACACAACACAAGGAAGTTACTGGGAATTCTTGTGTCTAGCCTTACATGAAAAAAACCTGTTTCCAACGAAGGCCTCTAAGTGGTCAAAATATCCACGTGCAGACTTTACAAACAGAGTGTTTCCAAACTGTTGAATGAAAAGAAAAGTTAAACTCTGAGAGTTGAACGCACACATCGCAGAGCAGTTTCTGAGAATGATTCTGTCTAGTTTTTATACGAAGATATTTCCTTTTCTGCCTTTGGCCCCAAAGCGCTTGAAATCTCCACTTGCAAATTCCACAAAAACAGTGTTTCAAATCTGCTCTCTCTAAATGAAAGTTCAACTCTGTGAGTTGTATACACACAACACAAGGAAGTTACTGAGAATTCTTCTGTCTAGCCTTATATGAAAAATACCCGTTTCCAACGAAGGCCTCAAAGAGGTCTGAATATCCACTTGCAGACTTTACAAACAGAGTGTTTCCTAACTGCTCTATGAAAAGAAAGGTTAAACTCTGTGAGTTGAACGCACACATCACAAAGGAGTTTCTGAGAATCATTCTGTCTAGTTTTTATACGAAGATATTTCCTTTTCTAACATGGACCTCAAAGCGGCTGAAATCTCCACTTGCAAATTCCACAAAAAGAGTGTTTCAAGTCTGCTCTGTGTAAAGGATCGTTCAACTCGGTGAGTTGAATACACACAACACAAGGAAGATTCTGAGAATTCTTCTTTCTAGCAGAATATGAAGAAATCCCGTTTCCAACGAAGGCCACAAGATGTCAGAATATCCACTTACAGACGTTACAGAGTGTTTCCTAACTGCTCTATGAACAGAAAGGTTAAACTCTGTGAGTTGAACGAACACATCACAACGCAGTTTGTGGGAATGATTCTGTCTAGTTTTTTTACGACGATATTTCCTTTTGTACCTTTGACTTCAAAGCGGCTGAAATCTCCACTTGCAAATTCCACAAAAAGAGTGTTTCAAGTCTGCTCTGTGTAAAAGATCGTACAACTCTGTGAGTTGAATACACACAACACAAGGAAGTTCCTGAGAATTCTTCTGTCTAGCCTTACATGAAAAAAACCCGTTTCCAACGAAGGCCTCTAAGTGGTCAAATTATCCACGTGCAGACTTTACAAACAGAGTGTTTCCAAACTGCTGAATGAAAAGAAAAGTTAAACTCTGAGAGTTGAACGCACACATCACAGAGCAGTTTCTGAGAATGATTCTGTCTAGTTTTTATACGAAGATATTTCCTTCTTTTCTGCCTTTGGCCTCAAAGCGCTTGAAATCTCCACTTGCAAATTCCACAAAAAGAGTGTTTCAAATCTGCTCTGTGTAAATGAAAGTTCAACTCTGTGAGTTGAACACACACAACACAAGGAAGTTACTGGGAATTCTTCTTTCTAGCAGAATATGAAGAAATCCCGTTTCCAACGAAAGCCTCAAGGATGCCTGAATATCCACTTGCAGACTTTACAAACAGAGTGTTTCCTAACTGCTCTATGAAAAGAAAGGTTAAACTCTGTGAGTTGAACGCACACATCACAAAGGAGTTTCTGAGAATCATTCTATCTAGTCTTTATACGAAGATATTTCCTTTTCTACCATTGACATCAAAGCGGCTGAAATCTCCACTTGCAAATTCCACAAAAAGAGTCTTTCAAGTCTGCTCTGTGTAAAGGATCGTTCAACTCTGTGAGTTGAATACACACAACACAAGGAAGTTACTGAGAATTCTTCTGTCTAACAGAACATGAAGAAATCCCGCTTCCAACGAAGGCCTCAAAGAAGTCTGAATATCCACTTGCAGACTTTACAAACAGAGTGTTTCCCAACTGCTCTATGAAAAGAAAGGTTGAACTCTGTGAGTTGAACGCACACATCACAAAGGAGTTTCTGAGAATCATTCTGTCTAGTTTTTATAGGAAGATATTTCATTTTCTACCTTTGACTTCAAAGCGGCTGAAATCTCCACTTGCAAATTCCACAAAAAGAGTGTTACAAGTCTGCTCTGTGTAAAGGATCGTTCAACTCTGTGAGTTGAATGTACACAACACAAGGAAGTTACTGAGAATTCTTCTGTCTAGCCTTACAGGAAAAAAACCCGTTTCCAACGAAGGCCTCTAAGTGGTCAAAATATCCACGTTCAGACTTTACAAACAGAGTGTTTCCAAACTGCTGAATGAAAAGAAAAGTTAAACTCTGAGAGTTGAACGCACACATCACACAGTAGTTTCTGAGAATGATTCTGTCTAGTTTTTATACGAAGATATTTCCTTTTCTGCCTTTGGCCTCAAAGCGCTTGAAATCTCCAATTGCAAATTCCACAAAAAGAGTGTTTCAAATCTGCTCTTTGTAAATGAAAGTTCAACTCTGTCAGTTGAACACACACAACACAAGGAAGTTACTGGGAATCCTTCTGTCTAGCATAATATGAAGAAATCCCGATTCCAACGAAGGCCTCAAAGAGGTCTGAATATCCACTTGCAGACTTTACAAACAGAGTGTTTCCTAACTGCTCTATGAAAAGAAAGGTTAAACTCTGTGAGTTGAACGCACACATCACAAAGGAGTTTCTGAGAATCATTCTGTCTAGTTTTTATACGAAGATATTTCCTTTTCTATCATTGACATCAAAGCGGCTGATATCTCCAATTGCAAATACCACAACAAGAGTGTTTCACATCTGTGCTGTGTAAATGAAAATTCAACTCTGTGAGTTGAATACACACAACACAAGGAAGCTACTGGGAATTCTTCTTTCTAGCATAATATGAAGAAATCCCGTTTCCAACGAAGGCCACAAGATGTCAGAATATCCACTTACAGACTTTACAAACAGAGTGTTTCCTAACTGCTCTATGAACAGAAAGGTTAAACTCTGTGAGTTGAACGAACACATCACAACGCAGTTTGTGGGAATGATTCTGTCTAGTTTTGAAACGAAGATATTTCCTTTTCTGCCATTGACCTCAAAGCGCTTGAAATCTACACTTGCAAATTGCACAAATAGAGTGTTTCAAATCTGCTCTGTGTAAAGGATCGTTCAACTCTGTGAGTTGAATGCACACAATACAAGGAAGTTGCTGGGAATTCTTCTGTCTAGCCTTACAGGAAAAAAACCCGTTTCCAATGAAGGCCTGTAAGTGGTCAAATTATCCACGTGCAGACTTTACAAACAGAGTGTTTCCAAACTGCTGAATGAAAAGAAAAGTTAAACTCTGAGAGTTGAACGCACACATCGCAGAGCAGTTTCTGAGAATGATTCTGTCTAGTTTTTATACGAAGATATTTCCTTTTCTGCCTTTGGCCTCAAAGCGCTTGAAATCTCCATTAGCAAATTCCACAAAAAGAGTGTCTCAAATCTGCTCTGTGTAAATGATCGTTCAACTCTGTGAGTGGAATACACACAACACAAGGAAGTTACTGAGAATTCTTCTGTCTAGCATAATATGAAGAAATCCCGTTTCCAACGAAGGCCTCAAAGGGGTCTGAATATCCACTTGCAGACTTTATAAACAGAGTGTTTACTAACTGCTCTATGAAAAGAAAGGTTAAACTCTGTGAGTTGAACACACACATCACAAAGGAGTTTCTGAGAATCTTTCTGTCTAGTTTCTATAGGAAGATATTTCCTATTCTACCATTGACCTCAAAGCGGCTGAAATCTCAACTTGCAAATTCCACAAAAAGAATGTTTCAAGTCTGCTCCGTGTAAAGGATCGTTCAACTCTGTGAGTTGAATACACACAACACAAGGAAGTTACTGAGAATTATTCTGTCCAGCAGAATATGAAGAAATCCCGTTTCCAACGAAGGCCACTAGATGTCAGAATATCCACTTACAGACTTTACAAACAGAGTGTTTCCTAACTGCTCTATGAACAGAAAGGTTAAACTCTGTGAGTTGAACGAACACATCACAACGCAGTTTGTGGGAATGATTCTGTCTAGTTTTGAAACGAAGACATTTCCTTTTCTGCCTTTGGCCTCAAAGTGCTTGAAATCTCCATTTGCAAATTCCACAAAAAGAGTGTTTCAAATCTGCTCTGTGTAAATGAAAGTTCAACTCTGTGAGTTGAACATACACAACACAAGGAAGTTACTGGGAATTCTTCTGTCTAGCCTTACATGAAAAAAACCCGTTTCCAACGAAGGCCTCTAAGTGGTCAAAATATCCACGTGCAGACTTTACAAACAGAGTGTTTCCAAACCGCTGAATGAAAAGAAAAGTTAAACTCTGAGAGTTGAACGCACACATCACGCAGCAGTTTCTGAGAATTATTCTGTCTAGTTTTTATACGAAGATATTTCCTTTTCTGCCTTTGGCCCCAAAGCGCTTGAAATCTCCACTTGCAAATTCCACAAAAACAGTGTTTCAAATCTGCTCTCTCTAAATGAAAGTTCAACTCTGTCAGTTGAATACACATAACACAAGGAAGTTACTGAGAATTCTTCTGTCTACCATAGTATGAAGAAATCCCGTTTCCAACGAAGGCCTCAAACAGGTCTGAATATCCACTTGCAGAGTTTACAAACAGAGTGTTTCCTAAATGCTCTATGAAAAGAAAGGTTAAACTCTGTGAGTTGAACGCACACATCACAAAGAAGTTTCTGAGAATCATTCTGTCTAGTTTTTATACGAAGATATTTCCTTTTCTACCATGGACCTCAAAGCGGCTGAAATCTCCACTTGCAAATTCCACAAAAAGAGTGTTTCAAATCTGCTCTGTGTAAACCATCGTTCAACTGTGTGAGTTGAATACACACAACACAAGGAAGATTCTGAGAATTCTTCTGTCTAGCAGAATATGAAGAAATCCCGTTTCCAACGAAGGCCTCAAAGAGGTCTGAATATCCACTTGCAGACTTTACAAACAGAGTGTTTCCTAACTGCTCTATGAAAAGAAAGGTTAAACTCTGTGAGTTCAACGCACACATCACAAAGGAGTTTACTGAGAATCGTTCTGTCTAGTTTTGAAACGAAGATATTTCCTTTTTCTGCCGTTGACCTTAAAGCGCTTGAAATCTACACTTGCAAATTGCACAAATAGAGTGTTTCAAATCTGCTCTGTCTAAGGGAACGTTCAACTCTGTGAGTTGAATGCACACAACACAAGGAAGTTACTGGGAATTCTTCTGTCTAGCCTTACATGAAAAAAACCCGTTTCCAACGAAGACCTCTAAGTGGTCAAATTATCCACGTGCAGACTTTACAAACAGAGTGTTTCCAAACTGCTGAATGAAAAGAAAAGTTAAACTCTGAGAGTTGAACGCACACATCGCAGAGCAGTTTCTGAGAATGAATCTGTCTAATTTTTATACGAAGATATTTCCTTTTCTGCCTTTGGCCTCAAAGCGCTTGAAATCTCCATTTGCAAATTCCACAAAAAGAGTGTTTCAAATCTGCTCTGTGTAAATGAAAGTTCAACTCTGTGAGTTGAACACACACAACACATGGAAGTTACTGGGAATTCTTCTGTCTAGCATAATATGAAGAAATCCCGTTTCCAACGAAGGCCTCAAAGAGGAATGAATATCCACTTGCAGACTTTACAAACAGAGTGTTTCCTAACTGCTCTATGAAAAGAAAGGTTAAACTCTGTGAGTTCAACGCACACATCACAAAGGAGTTTCTGAGAATCATTCTGTCTTGTTTTTATACGAAGATATTTCCTTTTCTACCATTGACCTCAAAGCGGCTGAAATCTCCACTTGCAAATTCCACAAAAAGAGTGTTTCAAGTCTGCTCTGTGTAAAGGATCGTTCAACTCTGTGAGTTGAATACACACAACACAAGGAAGTTTCTGAGAATTCCTCTGTCTAGCAGAATGTGAAGAAATCCCGTTTCCAACGAAGGCCACAAGATGTCAGAATATCCACTTACAGAGTTTACAAACAGAGTGTTTCCTAACTGCTCTATGAACAGAAAGGTTAAACTCTGTGAGTTGAACGAACACATCACAACGCAGTTTGTGGGAATGATTCTGTCTAGTTTTGAAACGAAGATATTTCCTTTTCTGCCATTGACCTTAAAGCGCTTGAAATCTCCACTTGCCAATTGCACAAAAAGAGTGTTTCAAATCTGCTCTGTCTAAGGGAACGTTCAACTCTGTGAGTTGAATGTACACAACGCAAGGAAGTTACTGGGAATTCTTCTGTCTAGCCTTACAGGTAAAGTAAACCCGTTTCCAACGAAGGCCTCTAAGTGGTCAAAATATCCATGTGCAGACTTTACAAACAGAGTGTTTCCAAACTGCTGAATGAAAAGAAAAGTTAAACTCTGAGAGTTGAACGCACACATCGCAGAGCAGTTTCTGAGAATGATTCTGTCTAGTCTTTATACGAAGATATTTCCTTTTCTACCATTGACCTCAAAGCGGCTGAAATCTCCACTTGCAAATTCCACAAAAAGAGTGTTTCAAGTCTGCTCTCTGTAAAGGATCGTTCAACTCTCTGAGTTGAATACACAGAACACAGGGAAGTTACTGAGAATTCTTCTGTCTAGCAGAATATGAAGAAATCCCGTTTCCAACGAAGGCCTCAAAGAGGTCTGAATATCCACTTGCAGACCTTACAAACAGAGTGTTTCCTAACTGCTCTATGAAAAGAAAAGTTAAACTCTGTGTGTTGAACGCACACATCACAAAGGAGTTTCTGAGAATCATTCTGTCTAGTTTCTATAGGCAGATATTTCCTATTCTACCATTGACCTCAAAGCGGCTGAAATCTCCACTTGTAAATTCCACAAAAAGAGTGTTTCAAGACTGTTCTGTGTAAAGGATCATTCAACTCTGTGAGTTGAATACACACAACACAAGGAAGTTACTGAGAATTCTTCTGTCTAGCAGAATATGAAGAAATCCCGTTTCCAACGAAGGCCACAAGATGTCACAATATCCACTTACAGACTTTACAAACAGAGTGTTTCCTAACTGCTCTATGAACAGAAAGGTTAAACTCTGTGAGTTGAACGAACACATCACAACGCAGTTTGTGGGAATGATTCTGTCTAGTTTTAATACGAAGATATTTCCTTTTATACCATTGACCTCAAAGCGGCTGAAATCACCACTTGCCAATTGCACAAAAAGAGTGTTTCAAATCTGCTCTGTCTAAGGGAACGTTCAACTCTGTGAGTTGAATGTACACAACACAAGGAAGTTACTAGGAATTCTTCTGTCTAGCCTTACAAGAAAAAAACCCGTTTCCAACGAAGGCCTCTAAGTGGTCAAAATATCCACGTGCAGACTTTACAAACAGAGTGTTTCCAAACTGCTGAATGAAAAGAAAAGTTAAACTCTGAGAGTTGAACACACACATCGCAGAGCAGTTTCTGAGAATGATTCTGTCTAGTTTTTATACGAAGACATTTCCTTTTCTGCCTTTGGCCCCAAAGCGTTTGAAATCTCCACTTGCAAATTCCACAAAAACAGTGTTTCAAATCTGCTCTCTCTAAATGAAAGTTCAACTCTGTCAGTTGAATACACACAACACAAGGAAGTTACTGAGAATTCTTCTGTATAGCAGAATATGAAGAAATCCCGCTTCCAACGAAGGCCTCAAAGATGTCTGAATATCCACTTGCAGACTATAAAAACAGAGTGTTTCCTAACTGCTCTATGAAAAGAAAGGTTAAACTCTGTGAGTTGAACGCACACATCACAAAGGAGTTTCTGAGAATCATTCTGTCTAGTTTTTATACGAAGATATTTCCTTTTCTACCATTGACCTCAAAGCGGCTGAAATCTCCACTTGCAAATTCCACAAAAAGAGTGTTTCAAGTCTGCTCTGTGTAAAGGATCGTTCAACTCTGTGAGTTGAATACACACAACACAAGGAAGTTACTGTGAATTCTTCTGTCTAGCATAGTATGAAGAAATCCCGTTTCCATCGAAGGCCTCAATGAGGTCAGAATATCCACTTGCAGAGTTTACAAACAGAGTGTTTCCTAACTGCTCTATGAAAAGAAAGGTTAAACTCTGTGAGTTGAACGCACACATCACAATGAAGTTTCTGAGAATCATTCTGCCTAGTTTTGAAACGAAGATATTTCCTTTTCTGCCATTGACCTTAAAGCGCTTGAAATCTCCACTTGCCAATTGCACAAAAAGAGTGTTTCAAATCTGCTCTGTCTAAGGGAACGTTCAACTCTGTGAGTTGAATGTACACAACACAAGGAAGTTACTGGGAATTCTTCTGTCTAGCCTTACATGAAAAAAACCCGTTTCCAACGAAGGCCTCTAAGTGGTCAAATTATCCACGTGCAGACTTTACAAACAGAGTGTTTCCAAACTGCTGAAGGAAAAGAAAAGTTAAACTCTGAGAGGTGAACACACACATCGCAGAGCAGTTTCTGAGAATGATTCTGTCTAGTTTTTATACGAAGATATTTCCTTTTCTGCCTTGGCCTCAAAGCGCTTGAAATCTCCACTTGCAAATTCCACAAAAAGAGTGTTTCAAATCTGCTCTGTGTAAATGAAAGTTCAACTCTGTGAGTTGAACACACACAACACAAGGAAGTTACTGGGAATTCTTCTGTCTAGCAGAATATGAAGAAATCCCGCTTCCAACGAAGGCCTCAAAGAAGTCTGAATATCCACTTGCAGACTTTACAAAAAGAGTGTTTCCCAACTGCTCTATGAAAAGAAAGGTTGAACTCTGTGAGTTGAACGCACACATCACAAAGGAGTTTCTGAGAATCATTCTGTCTAGTCTTTATACGAAGATATTTCCTTTTCTACCATTCACCTCAAAGCGGCTGAAATCTCCACTTGCAAATTCCACACAAAGAGTGTTTCAAGTCTGCTCTGTGTAAAGGATCGTTCAACTCTGTGAGTTGAATACACACAACACAAGGAAGTTACTGAGAATTCTTCTGTCTAGCAGAATATGAAGAAATCCCGTTTCCAACGAAGGCCTCAAAGAGGTCTGAATATCCACTTGCAGACTTTACAAACAGAGTGTTTCCTAACTGCTCTATGAAAAGAAAAGTTAAACTCTGTGAGTTGAACGCACACATCACAACGCAGTTTGTGGGAATGATTCTGTCTAGTTTTGAAACGAAGATATTTCCTTTTCTGCCGTTGACCTTAAAGAGCGTGAAAACTACACTTGCAAATTGCACAAATAGAGTGTTTCAAATCTGCTCTGTCTAAGGGAACGTTCAACTCTGTGAGTTGAATGCACACAACACAAGGAAGTTACTGGGAATTCTTCTGTCTAGCCTTACAGGAAAAAAACCCGTTTCCAACGAAGACCTCTAAGTGGTCAAAATATCCACGTGCAGACTTTACAAACAGAGTGTTTCCAAACTGCTGAATGAAAAGAAAAGTTAAACTCTGAGAGTTGAACGCACACATCGCAGAGCAGTTTCTGAGAATGATTCTGTCTAGTTTTTATACGAAGATATTTCCTTTTCTGCCTTTGGCCTCAAAGCGCTTGAAATCTCCATTTGCAAATTCCACAAAAAGAGTGTTTCAAATCTGCTCTGTGTAAATCAAAGTTCAACTCTGTGAGTTGAACACACACAACACAAGGAAGTTACTGGGAATTCTTTTGTCTGGCAGAATATGAAGAAATCCCGTTTCCAACGAAGGCCTCAAAGGGGTCTGAATATCCACTTGCAGACTTTACAAACAGAGTGTTTCCTAACTGCTCTATGAAAAGAAAGGTTAAACTCTGTGAGTTGAACGCACACATCACAAAGGAGTTTATGAGAATCATTCTGTCTAGTTTTTATACGAAGATATTTCCTCTTCTACCATTGACCTCAACGCGGCTGAAATCTCCACTTGCAAATTCCACAAAAAGAGTGTTTCAAGTCTGCTCTGTGTAAAGGATCGTGCAACTCTGTGAGTTGAATACACACAACACAAGGAAGTTACTGAGAATCTCTCTGTCTAGCAGAATATGAAGAAATCCCGTTTCCAACGAAGGCCACAAGTATGTCAGAATATCCACTTACAGAATTTACAAACAGACTGTTTCCTAACTGCTCTATGAAAAGGAAGGTTAAACTCTGTGAGTTGAACGAACACATCACAACGCAGTTTGTGGGAATGATTCTGTCTAGTTTTGAAACGAAGATATTTCCTTTTCTGCCATTGACCTTAAAGCGCTTGAAATCTACACTTGCAAATTGCACAAATAGAGTGTTTCAATTCTGCTCTGTCTAAGGAAACGTTCAACTCTGTGACTTGAATGCACACAACACAAGGAAGTTACTGGGAATTCTTCTGTCTAGCCTTACATGAAAAAAACCCGTTTCCAACGAAGGCCTCTAAGTGGTCAAAATATCCACGTGCAGACTTTACAAACAGAGTGTTTCCAAACCGCTGAATGAAAAGACAAGTTAAACTCTGAGAGTTGAACGCACACATCACGCAGCAGTTTCTGAGAATGATTCTGTCTAGTTTTGAAACGAAGATATTTCCTTTTCTGCCTTTGGCCTCAAAGCGCTTGAAATCTCCACTTGCAAATTCCACAAAAAGAGTGTTTCAAATCTGCTCTGTGTAAATGAAAGTTCAACTCTGTGAGTCGAACACACACAACAGAAGGAAGTTACTGGGAATTCTTCTGTCTAGCCTTACATGAAAAAAACCCGTTTCCAACGAAGGCCTCAAAGAAGTCCAAATATCCACATGCAGACTTTACAAACAGAGTGTTTCCTAACTGCTCTATGAAAAGAAAGGTTAAACTCTGTGAGTTGAACGCCCACATCACAAAGGAGTTTCTGAGAATCATTCTGTCTAGTTTCTATAGGAAGATATTTCCTATTCTACCATTGACCACAAAGCGGCTGAAATCTCCACTTGCAAATTCCACAAAAAGAGTGTTTCAAGACTGCTCTGTGTAAAGGATCGTTCAACTCTGTGAGTTGAATACACACAACAGAAGGAAGTTACTGAGAATTCTTCTGTCTAGCAGAATATGAAGAAATCCCGTTTCCAACGAAGGCCACAAGATGTCAGAATATCCACTTACAGACTTTACAAACAGAGTGTTTCCTAACTGCTCTGTGAACAGAAAGGTTAAACTCTGTGAGTTGAACGAACACATCACAACGCAGTTTGTGGGAATGATTCTGTCTAGTTTTTATACGAAGATATTACCTTTTCTACCATTGACCCCAAAGCGGCTGAAATCACCACTTGCCAATTGCACAAAAAGAGTGTTTCAAATCTGCTCTGTCTAAGGGAACGTTCAACTCTGGGAGTTGAATGTACACAACACAAGGAAGTTACTGGGAATTCTTCTGTCTAGCCTTACATGAAAAAAACCCGTTTCCAACGAAGGCCTCTAAGTGGTCAAAATATCCACGTGCAGACTTTACAAACAGAGTGTTTCCAAACCGCTGAATCAAAAGAAAAGTTAAACTCTGAGAGTTGAACGCACACATCACGCAGCAGTTTCTGAGAATGATTCTGTCTAGTTTTTATACGAAGATATTTCCTTTGCTGCCTTTGGCCCCAAAGCGCTTGAAATCTCCACTTGCAAATTCCACAAAAACAGTGTTTCAAATCTGCTCTCTCTAAATGAAAGTTCAACTCTGTCAGTTGAATACACACAACACAAGGAAGTTACTGAGAATTCTTCTGTCTAGCATAATATGAAGAAATCCCGTTTCCAACGAAGGCCTCAAAGAGGTCTGAATATCCACTTGCACACTTTACAAACAGAGTGTTTCCTAACTGCTCTATGAGAAGAAAAGTTAAACTCTGTGAGTTGAGCGCACACATCACAAAAGATTTTCTGAGAATCATTCTGTCTAGTTTTTATACGAAGATATTTCCTTTTCTACCATTGACCTCAACGCGGCTGAAATCTCCACTTGCAAATTCCACAAAAAGAGTGTTTCAAGTCTGCTCTGTATAAAGGATCGTTCAACTCTGTGAGTTGAATACACACAACACAAGGAAGTTACTGAGAATTCTTCTGTCTAGCATAGTATGAAGAAATCCCGTTTCCAACGAAGGCCTCAAAGAGGTCTGAATATCCACTTGCAGAGTTTACAAACAGAGTGTTTCCTAACTGCTCTATGAAAAGAAAGGTTAAACTCTGTGAGTTGAAGGAACACATCACAACGCAGTTTGTGGAAATGATTCTGTCTAGTTTTGAAACGAAGATATTTCCTTTTCTGCCATTGAGCTTAAAGCGCTTGAAATCTACACTTGCAAGTTGCACAAATAGAGTGTTTCAAATCTGCTCTGTCTAAGGGAACGTTCAACTCTGTGAGTTGAATGCACACAACACAAGGAAGTTACTGGGAATTCTTCTGTCTAGCCTTACATGAAAAAAAACTCGTTTCCAACGAAGGCTTCTAAGTGGTCAAAATATCCACGTGGAGACTTTACAAACAGAGTGTTTCCAAACTGCTGAATGAAAAGAAAAGTTAAACTCTGAGAGTTGAACGCACACATCACAGAGCGGTTTCTGAGAATGATTCTGTCTAGTTTTTATACGAAGATATTTCCTTTCCTGCCTTTTGCCCCAAAGCGCTTGAAATCTCCACTTGCAAATTGCACAAAAACAGTGTTTCAAATCTGCTCTCTCTAAATGAAAGTTCAACTCTGTCAGTTGAATACACACAACAAAAGGAAGTTACTGAGAATTCTTCTGTCTAGCATAATATGAAGAATTCCCATTTCCAACGAATGGATCAAGGAGGTCTGAATATCCACTTGCAGACTTTACAAACAGAGTGTTTCCTAACTGCTCTATGAAAAGAAAGGTTAAACTGTGTGAGTTGAACGCACACATCACAAAGGAGTTTCTGAGAATCATTCTGTCTAGTTTCTATAGGAAGATATTTCCTATTCTACCATTGACCTCAAAGCGGCTGAAGTCTCCACTTGCAAATTCCACAAAAAGAGTGTTTCAAGTCTGCTCTGTGTAAAGGATCGTTCAACTCTGTGAGTTGAATACACACAACACAAGGAAGTTACTGAGAATTCTTCTGTCTAGCATAATATGAAGAAATCCCGTTTCCAACGAAGGCCTCAAGGAGGTCTGAATATCCACTTGCAGACTTTACAAACAGAGTGTTTCCTAACTGCTCTATGAAAAGAAAGGTTAAACTCTGTGAGTTGAACGCACACATCACAAAGGAGTTTCTCATAATCATTCTGTCTAGTTTTTATACGAAGATATTTCCTTTTCTACCATTGACCTCAAAGCGGCTGAAATCTCCACTTGCAAATTACACAAAAAGAGTGTTTCAAGTCTACTCTGTGTAGAGGATCATTCAACTCTGTGAGTTGAATACACACAACACAAGGAAGTTACTGAGAATTCTTCTGTCTAGCCTTACAAGAAAAAAACCCGTTTCCAACGAAGGCCTCTAAATGGTCAAAATATCCACGTGCAGACTTTACAAACAGAGTGTTTCCAAACTGCTGAATGAAAAGAAAAGTTAAACTCTGAGAGTTGAACGCACACATCGCAGAGCAGTTTACTGAGAATGATTCTGTCTAGTTTTTATACGAAGATATTTCCTTTTCTGCTTTTGGCCTCAAATCGCTTGAAATATCCACTTGCAAATTCCACAAAAACAGTGTTTCAAATCTGCTCTCTCTAAATGAAAGTTCAACTCTGTCAGCTGAATACACACAACACAAGGAAATTACTGAGAATTCTTCTGTCTAGCAGAATATGAAGAAATCCGGTTTCCAACGAAGGCCTCAAGGAGGTCTGAATATCCACTTGCAGACTTTACAAACAGAGTGTTTCCTAACTGCTCTATGAACAGAAAGGTTAAACTCTGTGAGTTGAACGCACACACCACAAAAGAGTTTCTGAGAATCATTCTGTCTATTTTTTATAGGAAGATATTTCCTTTTCTACCTTTGACTTCAAAGCGGCTGAAATCTCCACTTGCAAATTCCACAAAAAGAGTGTTACAAGTCTGCTCTGTGTAAAGGATCGTTCAACTCTGTGAGTTGAATACACACAACACGCGGAAGTTACTGAGAATTCTTCTGTCTAGCCTTACATGAAAAAAACCCGTTTCCAAAGGAGGTCTCAAAGAGGTCAAAATACCCACTTGCAGACTTTACAAACAGAGTGTTTCCTAACTACTCTATGAATAGAAAGGTTAAACTCTGTGAGTTGAACACACACATCACAAAGGAGTTTCTGAGAATCATTCTGTCTAGTTTTGAAACGAAGATATTTCCTTTTCTGCCTTTGACCTTAAAGCGCTTGAAATCTACACTTGCAAATTGCACAAATAGAGTGTTTCAAATCTGCTCTGTCTAAGGGAACGTTCAACTCTGTGAGTTGAATGCACACAACACAAGGAAGTTACTGGGAATTCTTCTGTCTAGCCTTACATGAAAAAACCCGTTTCCAACGAAGGCTTCTAAGTGGTCAAAATATCCACGTGCAGACTTTACAAACAGAGTGTTTCCAAACCGCTGAATGAAAAGAAAAGTTAAACTCTGAGAGTTGAACGCACACATCACGCAGCAGTTTCTGAGAATGATTCTGTCTAGTTTTTATACGAAGATATTTCCTTTTCTGCCTTTGGCCTCAAAGCGCTTGAAATCTCCATTTGCAAATTCCACAAAAAGAGTGTTTCAAATCTGCTCTGTGTAAATGAAAGTTCAACTCTGTGAGTTGAAGACACACAACACAAGGAAGTTACTGGGAATTCTTCTATCTAGCCTTACATGAAAAAACCCCGTTTCCAACGAAGGCCTCAAAGAAGTCCAAATATCCACGTGCAGACTTTACAAACAGAGTGTTTCCTAACTGCTCTATGAAAAGAAAGGTTAAACTCTGTGAGTTGAACGCACACATCACAAAGGAGTTTCTGAGAATCATTCTGTCTAGTTTTTATAGGAAGATATTTCCTTTTCTACCTTTGACTTCAAAGCGGCTGAAATCTCCACTTGCAAATTCCACAAAAAGAGTGTTACAAGTCTGCTCTTTGTAAAGGATCGTTCAACTCTGTGAGTTGAATACACACAACACAAGGAAGTTACTGAGAATTCTTCTGTCTAGCACAGTATGAAGAAATCCCGTTTCCAACGAAGGCCTCAAAGAGGTCTGAATATCCACTTGCAGACTTTACAAACTGAGTGTTTCCTAACTGCTCTATGAAAAGAAAGGTTAAACTCTGTGAGTTGAACGAACACATCACAACGCAGTTTGTGGGAATGATTCTGTCTAGTTTTGAAACGAAGATATTCCCTTTTCTGCCATTGACCTTAAAGCGCTTGAAATCTCCATTTGCCAATTGCACAAAAAGAGTGTTTCAAATCTGCTCTGTCTAAGGGAACGTTCAACTCTGTGAGTTGAATGTACACAACACAAGGAAGTTACTGGGAATTCTTCTGTCTACCCTTACATGAAAAAACCCGTTTCCAACGAAGGCCTCTAAGTGGTCAAAATATCCACGTGCAGATTTTACAAACATAGTGTTTCCTAACTGCTCTATGAAAAGAAAGGTTAAACTCTGTGAGTTGAACGCACACATCACAAAGGAGTTTCTGAGAATCATTCTGTCTAGTTTTGAAACGAAGATATTTCCTTTTCTGCCTTTGGCCTCAAAGCGCTTGAAATCTCCACTTGCAAATTCCACAAAAAGAGGGTTTCAAATCTGCTCTGTGTAAATGAAAGTTCAACTCTGTGAGTTCAACACACACAACACAAGGAAGTTACTGGGAATTCTTCTGTATAGCAGAATATGAAGAAATGCCGTTTCCAACGAAAGCCTCAAAGATGTCTGAATATCCACCTGCAGACTTTACAAACAGAGTGTTTCCTAACTGCTCTATGAAAAGAAAGGTTAAACTCTGTGAGTTGAACGCACACATCACAAAGGAGTTTCTGAGAATCATTCTGTCTAGTTTTTATAGGAAGATATTTCCTATTCTACCGTTGACCTCAAAGCGGCTGAAATCTCCACTTGCAAATTCCACAACAAGAGTGTTTCAAGTCTGTTCTGTGTAAAGGATCATTCAACTCTGTGAGTTGAATACACACAACACAAGGAAGTTACTGAGAATTCTTCTGTCTAGCAGAATATGAAGAAATCCCGCTTCCAACGAAGGCCTCAAAGAAGTCTGAATATCCACTTGCAGACTTTACAAACAGAGTGTTTCCCAACTGCTCTATGAAAAGAAAGGTTGAACTCTGTGAGTGGAACGCACACATCACAAAGGAGTTTCTGAGAATCATTCTGTCTAGTTTTGAAACGAAGATATTTCCTTTTCTGCCGTTGACCTTAAAGAGCTTGAAAACTACACTTGCAAATTGCACAAATAGAGTGTTTCAAATCTGCTCGGTCTAAGGGAACGTTCAACTCTGTGAGTTGAATGCACACAACACAAGGAAGTTACTGGGAATTCTTCTGTCTAGCCTTACATGAAAAAAACCCGTTTCCAACGAAGGCCTCTAAGTGGTCAAAATTTCCACGTGCAGACTTTACAAACAGAGTGTTTCCAAACGGCTGAATGAAAAGAAAAGTTAAACTCTGAGAGTTGAACGCACACATCACGCAGCAGTTTCTGAGAATGATTCTGTCTAGTTTATATACGAAGATATTTCCTTTTCTGCCTTTGGTCCCAAAGCGCTTGAAATCTCCACTTGCAAATTCCACAAAAACAGTGTTTCAAATCTGCTCTCTCTAAATGAAACTTCAACTCTGTCAGTTGAATACACAAAACACAAGGAAGTTACTGAGAATTCTCTGTCTAGCAGAATATGAAGAAATCCCGCTTCCAACGAAGGCCTCAAAGAAGTCTGAATATCCACTTGCAGACTTTACAAACAGAGTGTTTCCCAACTGCTCTATGAAAAGAAAGGTTGAACTCTGTGAGTTGAACGCACACATCACAAAGGAGTTCTGAGAATCTCTCTCTGTCTAGTTTTTATACGAAGATATTTCCTTTTCTACCATTGACCTCAAAGCGGCTGAAATCTCCACTTGCAAATTCCACAAAAAGAGTGTTTCAAATCTGCTCTGTGTAAACCATCGTTCAACTGCTGTGAGTTGAATACACACAACACAAGGAAGATTCTGAGAATTCTTCTGTCTAGCAGAATATGAAGAAATCCCGTTTCCAACGAAGGCCACAAGATGTCAGAATATCCACTTACAGAATTTACAAACAGACTGTTTCCTAACTGCTCTATGAAAAGAAAGGTTAAACTCTGTGAGTTAAACGAACACATCACAACGCAGTTTGTTGGAATGATTCTGTCTAGTTTTGAAACGAAGATATTTCCTTTTCTGCCATTGACCTTAAAGCGCTTGAAATCTCCACTTGCCAATTGCACAAAAAGAGTGTTTCAAATCTGCTCTGTCTAAGGGAACGTTCAACTCTGTGAGTTGAATGTACACAACACAAGGAAGTTACTGAGAATTCTTCTGTCTAGCCTTACAGGAAAAAAACCCGTTTCCAACGAAGGCCTCTAAGTGGTCAAAATATCCACCTTCAGACTTTACAAACAGAGTGTTTCCACACTGCTGAATGAAAAGAAAAGTTAAACTCTGAGAGTTGAACGCACACATCGCAGAGCAGTTTCTGAGAATGATTCTGTCTAGTTTTGAAACGAAGATATTTCCTTTTCTACCATTGACCTCAACGCGGCTGAAATCTGCATTTGCAAATTCCACAAAAAGAGTGTTTCAAATCTGCTCTGTGTAAATGAAAGTTCAACTCTGTGAGTTGAACACACACAACACAAGGAAGTTACTGGGAATTCTTCTGTCTAGCCTTATATGAAAAAAACCCGTTTCCAACGAAGGCCTCAAAGAGGTCTGAATATCCACTTGAAGACTTTACAAACAGAGTGTTTCCTAACTGCTCTATGAAAAGAAAGGTTAAACTCTGTGAGTTGAACACACACATCACAAAGGAGTTTCTGAGAATCATTCTGTCTAGTTTCTATAGGAAGATATTTCCTATTCTACCATTGACCTCAAAGCGGCTGAAATCTCCACTTGCAAATTCCACAAAAAGAATGTTTCAATTCTGCTCTGTGTAAAGGATCGTTCAACTCTGTGAGTTGAATACACACAACACAAGGAAGTTACTGAGAATTCTTCTGTCTAGCAGAATATGAAGAGATCCCGTTTCCAACGAAGGCCACAAGATGTCAGAATATCCACTTACAGAATTTACAAACAGACTGTTTCCTAACTGCTCTATGAAAAGAAAGGTTAAACTCTGTGAGTTGAACGAACACATCACAACGCAGTTTGTGGGAATGATTCTGTCTAGTTTTGAAACGAAGATATTTCCTTTTCTGCCATTGACCTTAAAGCGCTTGAAATCTACACTTGCAAATTGCTCAAATAGAGTGTTTCAAATCTGCTCTGTCTAAGGGAACGTTCAACTCTGTGAGTTGAATGCACACAACACAAGGAAGTTACTGGGAATTCTTCTGTCTAGCCTTACATGAAAAAAACTCGTTTCCAACGAAGGCCTCTAAGTGGTCAAAATATCCACGTGCAGACTTTACAAACAGAGAGTTTCGAAACCGCTGAATGAAAAGAAAAGTTAAACTCTGAGAGTTGAACGCACACATCACGCAGCAGTTTCTGAGAATGATTCTGTCTAGTTTTGAAACGAAGATATTTCCTTTTCTGCCTTTGGCCTCAAAGCGCTTGAAATCTCCACTTGCAAATTCCACAAAAAGAGTGTTTCAAATCTGCTCTGTGTAAATGAAAGTTCAACTGTGTGAGTTGAACACACACAACACAAAGAAGTTACTGGGAATTCTTCTGTCTAGCATAATATGAAGAAATCCCTTTTCCAACGAAGGCCATCAAGGAGGTCTGAATATCCACTTGCAGACTTTACAAACAGAGTGTTTCCTAACTGCTCTATGAAAAGAAAGGTTAAACTCTGTGAGTTGAACGCACACATCACAAAGGAGTTTCTGAGAATCATTCTGTCTAGTTTCTATAGGAAGATATTTCCTGTTCTACCATTGACCTCAAAGCGGCTGAAATCTCCACTTGCAAATTCCACAAAAGGAGTGTTTCAAGTCTGCTCTGTGTAAAGGATCGTTCAACTCTGTGAGTTGAATACACACAACACAAGGAAGTTACTGAGAATTCTTCTGTCTAGCAGAATATGAAGAAATCCCGTTTCCAACGAAGGTCACAAGATGTCAGAATATCCACTTACAGAATTTACAAACAGACTGTTTCCTAACTGCTCTATGAAAAGAAAGGTTAAACTCTGTGAGTTGAACGAACACATCACAACGCAGTTTGTGGGAATGATTCTGTCTAGTTTTGAAACGAAGATATTTCCTTTTCTGCCATTGACCTTAAAGCGCTTGAAATCTCCACTTGCCAATTGCACAAAAAGAGTATTTCAAATCTGCTCTGTCTAAGGGAACGTTCAACTCTGTGAGTTGAATGTACACAAAACAAGGAAGTTACTGGGAATTCTTCTGTCTAGCCTTACATGAAAAAAAACCCGTTTCCAACGAAGGCCTCTAAGTGGTCAAAATATCCACGTGCAGACTTTACAAACAGAGGGTTTCCAAACCGCTGAATGAAAAGAAAAGTTAAACTCTGAGAGTTGAACGCACACATCACGCAGCAGTTTACTGAGAATGATTCTGTCTAGTTTTGAAACGAAGATATTTCCTTTTCTGCCTTTGGCCTCAAAGCGCTTGAAATCTCCATTTGCAAATTCCACAAAAAGAGTGTTTCAAATCTGCTCTGTGTAAATGAAAGTTCAACTCTGTGAGTTGAACACACACAACACAGGGAAGTTACTGGGAATTCTTCTGTCTAGCAGAACATGAAGAAACCCCGCTTCCAACGAAGGCCTCAAAGAAGTCTGAATATCCACTTGCAGACTTTACAAACAGAGTGTTTCCCAACTGCTCTATGAAAAGAAAGGTTGAACTCTGTGAGTTGAACGCACACATCACAAAGGAGTTTCTGAGAATCATTCTGTCTAGTTTCTATAGGAAGATATTTCCTATTCTACCATTGACCTCAAAGCGGCTGAAATCTCCAGTTGCAAATTCCACAAAAAGAGTGTTTCAAGTCTGCTCTGTGTAAAGGATCGTTCAACTCTGTGAGTTGAATACACACAACACAAGGAAGTTACTGAGAATTATTCTGTCTAGCAGAATATGAAGAAATCCCGTTTCCAACGAAGGCCACAAGATATCATTATAACCACTTACAGACTTTACAAACAGAGTGTTTCCTAACTGCTCTATGAACAGAAAGGATAAACTCTGTGAGTTGAACCAACACATCACAAAGCAGTTTGTGGGAATGATTCTGTCTAGTTTTTATAGCAAGATATTTCCTTTTCTACCTTTGACTTCAAAGCGGCTGAAATCTCCACTTGCAAATTCCACAAAAAGAGTGTTACAAGTCTGCTCTGTGTAAAGGATCGTTCAACTCTGTGAGTTGAATACACACAACACAAGGAAGTTACTGAGAATTCTTCTGTCTAGCCTTACATGAAAAAAACCCGTTTCCAACGAAGGCCTCTAAGTGGTCAAATTATGCACGTGCAGACTTTACAAACAGAGTGTTTCCAAACTGCTGAATGAAAAGAAAAGTTAAACTCTGAGAGTTGAACGCACACATCGCAGAGCAGTTTCTGAGAATGATTCTGTCTAGTTTCTATATGAAGATATTTCCTATTCTACCATTGAACTCAAAGCGGCTGAAATCTCCACTTGCAAATTCCACAAAAAGAGTGTTTCAAGTCTGCTCTGTGTAAAGGATCGTTCAACTCTGTGAGTTGAATACACACAACACAAGGAAGTTACTGAGAATTCTTCTGTCTAGCAGAATATGAAGAAATCCCGTTTCCAACGAATGCCTCAAGGAGGTCTGAATATCCACTTGCAGACTTTACAAACAGAGTGTTTCCTAACTGCTCTATGAAAAGAAAGGTTAAACTGTGTGAGTTGAACGCACACATCACAAAGGAGTTTCTGAGAATCATTCTGTCTAGTTTTTCTAGGAAGATATTTCCTTTTCTACTATTGACCTCAAAGCGGCTGAAACCTCCACTTGCAAATTCCACAAAAAGAGTGTTTCAAGTCTGCTCTGTGTAAAGGATCGTTCAACTCTGTGAGTTGAATACACACAACACAAGGAAGTTACTGAGAATTCTTCTGTCTAGCAGAATATGAAGAAATCCCGTTTCCAACGAAGGCCACAAGATGTCAGAATATCCACTTACAGAATTTACAAACAGACTGTTTCCTAACTGCTCTATGAAAAGAAAGGTTAAACTCTGTGAGTTGAACGAACACATCACAACGCAGTTTGTGGGAATGATTTCTGTCTAGTTTTGAAACGAAGATATTTCCTTTTCTGCCATTGACCTTAAAGCGCTTGAAATCTACTCTTGCAAATTGCACAAATAGAGTGTTTCAAATCTGCTCTGTCTAAGAGAACGTTCAACTCTGTGAGTTGAATGCACCCCACACAAGGAAGTTACTGGGAATTCTTCTGTCTAGCCTTACATGAAAAAAACCCGTTTCCAACGAAGGCCTCTAAGTGGTCAAAATATCCACGTGCAGACTTTACAAACAGAGTGTTTCCAAACCGCTGAATGAAAAGAAAAGTTAAACTCTGAGAGTTGAACGCACATATCACGCAGCAGTTTCTGAGAATGATTCTGTCTAGTTTTGAAACGAAGATATTTCCTTTTCTGCCTTTGGCCTCAAAGCGCTTGAAATCTCCACTTGCAAATTCCACAAAAAGAGTGTTTCAAATCTGCTCTGGGTAAATGAAAGTTCAACTCTGTGTGTTGAACACACACAACACAAGGAAGTTACTGGGAATTCTTCTGTCTAGCATAATATGAAGAAATCCCGTTTCCAACGAAGGCCTCAAGGAGGTCTGAATATCCACTTGCAGACTTTACAAACAGAGTGTTTCCTAACTGCTCTATGAAAAGAAAGGTTAAACTCTGTGAGTTGAACGCACACATCACAAAGGAGTTTCTGATAATCATTCTGTCTAGTTTTTATACGAAGATATTTCCTATTCTACCATTGACCTCAAAGCGGCTGAAATCTCCACCCTGCCAATTCCACAAAAAGGGTGTTTCAAGTCTACTCTGTGTAAAGGATCGTTGAACTCTGTGAGTTGAAAACACACAACACAACGAACTTTCTGAGAATTCTTCTGTCTAGCAGAATATGAAGAAATCCCTTTTCCAACGAAAGCCTGAAAGATTTCTGAATATCCACTTGCAGACTTTACAAACAGAGTGTTTCCTAACTGCTCTATGAAAAGAAAGGTTAAACTCTGTGAGTTGAACGCACACATCACAAAGGAGTTTCTGAGAATCATTCTGTCTAGTTTTGAAACGAAGATATTTCCTTTTCTGCCGTTGACCTTAAAGCGCTTGAAATCTACACTTGCAAATTGCACAAATAGAGTGTTTCAAATCTGCTCTGTCGAAGGGAACGTTCAACTCTGTGAGTTGAATGCACACAACACAAGGAAGTTACTGGGAATTCTTCTGTCTAGCCTTACATGAAAAAAACCCGTTTCCATCGAAGGCCTCTAACTGGTCAAGTTATCCACGTGCAGACTTTACAAACAGAGTGTTTCCAAACTGCTGAATGAAAAGAAAAGTTAAACTCTGAGAGTTGAACGCACACATCGCAGAGCAGTTTCTGAGAATGATTCTGTCCAGTTTTTATACGAAGATATTTCCTTTTCTGCCTTTGGCCTCAAAGCGCTTGAAATCTCCACTTGCAAATTCCACAAAAAGAGTGTTTCAAATCTGCTCTGTGTAAATCAAAGTTCAACTCTGTGAGTTGAACACACACAACACAAGGAAGTTACTGGGAATTCTTCTGTCTAGCATAATATGAAGAAATCCCGCTTCCAACGAAGGCCTCAAAGAGGTCTGAATATCCACCTGCAGACTTAACAAACAGAGTGTTTCCTAACTGCTCTATGAAAAGAAAGGTTAAACTCTGTGAGTTGAACGCACACAGCACAAAGGAGTTTCTGAGAATCATTCTGTCTAGTTTTTATAGGAAGATATTTCCTTTTCTACTTTGACTTCAAAGCGGCTGAAATCTCCACTTGCAAATTCCACAAAAAGAGTGTTACAAGTCTGCTCTCTGTAAAGGATCGTTCAACTGTGTGAGTTGAATACACACAACACAAGGAAGTTACTGAGAACTCTTCTGTCTAGCCTTACATGAAAAAAACCCGTTTCCAACGAAGGCCTCTAAGTGGTCAAATTATCCACGTGCAGACTTTACAAACAGAGTGTTTCCAAACTGCTGAATGAAAAGAAAAGTTTAACTCTGAGAGTTGAACGCACACATCACAGAGCAGTTTCTGAGAATGATTCTGTCTAGTTTTGAAACGAAGATATTTCCTTTTCTGCCATTGACCTTAAAGCGCTTGAAATCTACACTTGCAAATTGCACAAATAGAGTGTTTCAAGTCTGCTCTGTGTAAAAGATCGTTCAACTCTGTGAGTTGAATACACACAACACAAGGAAGTTACTGGGAATTCTTCTGTCTAGCCTTACATGCAAAAAACCCGTTTCCAACGAAGGCCTCTAAGTGGTCAAAATATCCACGTGCAGACTTCACAAACAGAGTGTTTCCAAACCGCTGACTGAAAAGAAAAGTTAAACTCTGAGAGTTGAACGCACACATCACGCAGCAGTTTCTGAGAATGATTCTGTCTAGTTTTTATACGAAGATATTTCCTTTTCTATCATTGACACCAAAGCCGCTGAAATCTCCACTTGCAAATACCACAAAAAGAGTGTTTCAAATCTGCTCTGTGTAAATGAAAGTTCAACTCTGTGAGTTCAATACACACAACTCAAGGAAGTTACTGGGAATTCTTCTGTCTAGCATAATATGAAGAAATCCCGTTTCCAACGAAGACCTCAAAGAGGTCTGAATATCCACTTGCAGACTTTACAAACAGAGTCTTTCCTAACTGCTCTATGAGAAGAAAAGTTAAACTCTGTGAGTTGAACGCACACATCACAAAAGATTTTCTGAGAATCATTCTGTCTAGTTTCTATAGGAAGATATTTCCTTTTCTGCCATTGACCTCAAAGCGGCTGAAATCTCCACTTGCAAATTCCACAAAAAGAGTGTTTCAAGTCTGCTCTGTGTAAAGGATCGTTCAACTCGGTGAGTTGAATACACACAACACAAGGAAGTTACTGAGAATTCTTCTGTCTAGCAGAATATGAAGAAATCCCGTTTCCAACGAAGGCCACAAGATGTCAGAATATCTACTTACAGAATTTACAAACAGACTGTTTCCTAACTGCTCTATGAAAAGAAAGGTTAAACTCTGTGAGTTGAAAGAACACATCACAACGCAGTTTGTGGGAATGATTCTGTCTAGTTTTGAAACGAAGATATTTCCTTTTCTGCCATTGACCTTAAAGCGCTTGAAATCTCCACTTGCCAATTGCACAAAAAGAGTGTTTCAAATCTGCTCTGTCTAAGGGAACTTTCAACTCTGTGAGTTGAATGTACACAACACAAGGAAGTTACTGGGAATTCTTCTGTCTAGCCTTACATGAAAAAATCCCGTTTCCAACGAAGGCCTCTAAGTGGTCAAAATATCCACGTGCAGACTTTACAAACAGAGTGTTTCCAAACCGCTGAATGTAAAGAAAAGTTAAACTCTGAGAGTTGAACGCACACATCACGCAGCAGTTTCTGAGAATGATTCTGTCTAGTTTTTCTGTAAAGATATTTCCTTTTCTACTATTGACCTCAAAGCGGCTGAAATCTCCACTTGCAAATTCCACAAAAAGAGTGTTTCAAGTCTGCTCTGTGGAAAGGATCGTTCAACTCTGTGAGTTGAATACACACAACACAAGGAAGTTACTGAGAATTCTTCTGTCTACCTGAACATGAAGAAATCCCGCTTCCAACGAAGGCCTCAAAGAGGTCTGAATATCCACTTGCAGACTTTACAAACAGAGTGTTTCCTAACTGCTCTATGAAAAGAAAGGTTAAACTCTGTGAGTTGAACGCACACATCACAAAGGAGTTTCTGAGAATCATTCTGTCTAGTTTTTATACGAAGATATTTCCTTTTCTACCATTGACCTCAAAGCGGCTGAAATCTCCACTTGCAAATTACACAAAAAGAGTGTTTCAAGTCTACTCTGTGTAAATCATCGTTCAACTCTGTGAGTTGAAAACACACAACACAAGGAAGTTTCTGAGAATTCTTCTGTCTAGCAGAACATGAAGAAATCCCGTTTCCAACTATAGCCTCAAAGATGTCTGAATATCCACTTGCAGACTTTACAAACAGAGTGTTTCCTAACTGCTCTATGAAAAGAAAGGTTAAACTCTGTGAGTTGAACGCACACATCACAAAGGAGTTTCTGAGAATCATTCTGTCTAGTTTTGAAACGAAGATATTTCCTTTTCTGCCATTGACCTTAAACGCTTGAAATCTACAGTTGCCAATTGCACAAATAGAGTGTTTCAAATCTGCTCTGTCTAAGGGAACGTTCAACTCTGTGAGTTGAATGCACACAACACAAGGAAGTTACTGGGAATTCTTCTGTCTAGCCTTAGATGAAAAAATCCCGTTTCCAACGAAGGCCTCTAAGTGGTCAAAATATCCACGTGCAGACTTTACAAACATAGTGTTTCCAAACCGCTGAATGAAAAGAAAAGGTAAACTCTGAGAGTTGAACGCACACATCACGCAGCAGTTGCTGAGAATGATTCTGTCTAGTTTTTATACGAAGATATTTCCTTTTCTGCCTTTGGCCTCAAAGCGCTTGAAATCTCCACTTGCAAATTCCACAAAAAGAGTGTTTCAAATCTGCTCTGTGTAAATGAAAGTTCAACTCTGTGAGTTGAACACACACAACACAAGGAAGTTACTGGGAATTTTCCTGTCTAGCATAATATGAAGAAATCCCGTTTCCAACGAAGGCCTCAAAGAGGTCTGAATATCCACTTGCAGACTTTACAAACAGAGTGTTTCCTAACTGCTCTATGAAAAGAAAAGTTAAACTCTGTGATTTGAACGCACACATCACAAAGGAGTTTCTGAGAATCATTCTGTCTAGTTTTTCTACGAAGATATTTCCTTTTCTACCATTGACCTCAAATCGGCTGAAATCTCCACTTGCAAATTCCACAAAAAGAGTGTTTCAAGTCTGCTCTGTGTAAAGGATCGTTCAACTCTGTGAGTTGAATACACACAACACAAGGAAGTTACTGAGAATTCTTCTGTCTAGCAGAATATGAAGAAATCCCGTTTCCAACGATGGCCACAAGATGTCAGAATATCCACTTACAGACTTTACAAACAGAGTGTTTCCTAACTGCTCTATGAACGGAAAGGTTAAACTCTGTGAGTTGAACGAACACATCACAACGCAGTTTGTGGGAATGATTCTGTCTAGTTTTGAAACGAAGATATTTCCTTTTCTGCCGTTGACCTTAAAGAGCTTGAAAACTACACTTGCAAATTGCACAAATAGAGTGTTTCAAATCTGCTCTGTCTAAGGGAACGTTCAACTCTGTGAGTTGAATGCACACAACACAAGGAAGTTACTGGGAATTCTTCTGTCTAGCCTTACATGACAAAAACCCGTTTCCAACGAAGGCCTCTAAGTGGTCAAAATATCCACGTGCAGACTTTACAAACAGAGTGTTTCCAAACTGCTGAATGAAAAGAAAAGTTAAACTCTGAGCGCTGAAGGCACACATCGCAGAGCAGTTTCGGAGAATGATTCTGTCTAGTTTTTATACGAAGGTATTTCCTTTTCTGCCTTTGGCCCCAAAGCACTTGAAGTCTCCACTTGCAAATTCCACAAAAACAGTGCTTCAAATCTGCTCTCTCTAAATGAAAGTTCAACTCTGTCAGTTGAATACACACAACACAAGGAAGTTACTGAGAATTCTTCTGTCTAGCATAATATGAAGAAATCCCGTTTCCAACGAAGGCCTCAAAGAGGTCTGAATATCCACTTGCAGACTTTACAAACAGAGTGTTTCCTAACTGCTCTATGAAAAGAAAAGTTAAACTCTGTGAGTTGAACGCACACATCACAAAGGATTTTCTGAGAATCATTCTGTCTACTCTTTATACGAACATAGTTTCCTTTTCTACCTTTGACCTCAAAGCGGCTGAAATCTCCACTTGCAAATTCCATAAAAAGTGTGTTTCAAGTCTGCTCTGTGTAAAGGATCGTTCAACTCTGTGAGTTGAATACACACAACACAAGGAAGTTACTGAGAATTCTTCTGTCTATCAGAATATGAAGAAATCCCGTTTCCAAAGAAGGCCTCAAGGAGGTCTGAATATCCACTTGCAGACTTTACAAACAGAGTGTTTCCTAACTGCTCTATGAAAAGAAAGGTTAAACTCTGTGAGTTGAACGCACACATCACAAAGGAGTTGATGAGAATCACTCTGTCTAGTTTTGAAACGAAGTACATTTCCTTTTCTGCCTTTGGCCTCAAAGCGCTTGAAATCTCCATTTGCAAATTCCACAAAAAGAGTGTTTCAAATCTGCTCTGTGTAAATGAAAGTTCAACTCTGTGAGTTGAACGCACACAACACAAGGAAAGTTACTGGGAATTCTTCTGTCTAGCCTTATATGAAAAAAACCCGTTTCCAACGAAGGCCTCAAAGAGGTCTGAATATCCACTTGCAGACTTTACAAACAGAGTGTTTCCTAACTGCTCTATGAAAAGAAAGGTTAAACTCTGTGAGTTGATCGCACACATCACAAAGGAGTTTCTGAGAATCATTCTGTCTAGTTTTTATACGAAGATATTTCCTTTTCTGCCTTTGGCCTCAAAGCGCTTGAAATCTCCACTTGCAAATTCCACAAAAAGAGTGTTTCAAATCTGCTCTGTGTAAATCAAAGTTCAACTCTGTGAGTTGAACACACACAACAAAAGGAAGTTACTGGGAATTCTTCTGTCTAGCATAATATGAAGAAATCCCGTTTCCAACGAAGGCCTCAAAGAGGTCTGAATATCCACTTGCAGACATTACAAACAGAGTGTTTCCTAACTGCTCTATGAAAAGAAAGGTTAAACTCTGTGAGTTGAACGCACACATCACAAAGGAGTTTCTGAGAGTCATTCTGTCTAGTTTCTATAGGAAGATATTACCTATTCTACCGTTGACCTCAAAGCGGCTGAAATCTCCACTTTAAAATTCCACAACAAGAGTGTTTCAAGTCTGTTCTGTGTAAAGCATCATTCAACTCTGTGAGTTGAATACACACAACACAAGGAAGTTACTGAGAATTCTTCTCTCTAGCAGAATATGAAGAAATCCCGTTTCCAACGAACGCCACAAGATGTCAGAATATCCACTTACAGACTTTACAAACAGAGTGTTTCCTAACTGCTCTATGAACAGAAAGGTTAAACTCTGTGAGTTGAACGAACACATCACAACGCAGTTTGTGGGAATGATTCTGTCTAGTTTTGAAACGAAGATATTTCCTTTTCTGCCATTGACCTTAAAGCGCTTGAAATCTACACTTGCAAATTGCACAAGTAGAGTGTTTCCAATCTGCTCTGTCTAAGGGAACGTTCAACTCTGTGAGTTGAATGCACACAACACAAGGAAGTTACTGGGAATTCTTCTGTCTAGCCTTACAGGAAAAAAACCCGTTTCCAACGAAGGCCTCTAAGTGGTCAAAATATCCACGTGCAGGCTTTACAAACAGAGTGTTTCCAAACTGCTGAATGAAAAGAAAAGTTAAACTCTGAGAGTTGAACGCACACATCGCAGAGCAGTTTCTGAGAATGATTCTGTCAAATTTTTATATGAAGATATTTCCTTTTCAACCATTGACCTCAAAGCGGCTGAAATCTCCATTTGCAAATTCCACAAAAAGAGTGTTTCAAGTCTGCTCTGTGTAAAGCGTCGCTCAACTCTGTGAGTTGAATACACACAACACGAGGAAGTTACTGAGAATTCTTCTGTCTAGCAAAATATGAAGAAATCCCGTTTCCAACGAAGGCCTCAAAGAGGTCTGATTATCCAGTTGCAGACTTTACAAACAGAGTGTTTCCTAACTGCTCTATGAAAAGAAAGGTTAAACTCTGTGAGTTGAACGCACACATCACAAAGGAGTTTCTGAGAATCATTCTGTCTAGTTTTTATAGGAAGATATTTCCTTTTCCACCTTTGACTTCAAAGCGGCTGAAATCTCCACTTGCAAATTCCACAAAAAGAGTGTTACAAGTCTGCTCTGTGTAAAGAATCGTTCAACTGTGTGAGTTGAATACACACAACACAAGGAAGTTACTGAGAATTCTTCTGTCTAGGAGAATATGAAGAAATCCCGTTTCCAACGAAGGCCACAAGATGTCAGAATATCCACTTACAGAATTGACAAACAGACTGTTTCCTAACTGCTCTATGAAAAGAAAGGTTAAACTCTGTGAGTTGAACGAACCATCACAACGCAGTTTGTGGGAATGATTCTGTCTAGTTTTGAAACGAAGATATTTCCTTTTCTGCCACTGACCTTAAAGCGCTTGAAATCTCCACTTGCCAATTTCACAAAAAGAGTGTTTCAAATCTGCTCTGTCTAAGGGAACGTTCAACTCTGTGAGTTGAATGTACACAACACAAAGAAGTTACTGGGAATTATTCTGTCTAGCCTTACATGAAAAAAACCCGTTTCCAACGAAGGCCTCTAAGTGGTCAAAATATCCACGTGCAGACTTTACAAACAGAGTGTTTCCAAACCGCTGAATGAAAAGAAAAGTTAAACTCTGTGAGGTGAACACACACATCACAAAGGAGTTTCTGAGAATCATTCTGTCTAGTTTTTATACGAAGATATTCCCTTTTCTGCCTTTTTCCTCAAAGCGCTTGAAATCTCCATTTGCAAATTCCACAAAAAGAGTGTTTCAAATCTGCTCTGTGTAAATGAAAGTTCAACTCTGTGAGTTCAACACACACAACACAAGGAAGTTACTGGGAATTCTTCTGTCTAGCAGAACATGAAGAAATCCCGTTTCCAACGAAAGCCTCAAGGATGTCTGAATATCCACTTGCAGACTTTACAAACAGAGTGTTTCCTAACTGCTCTATGAAAAGAAAGGTTAAACTCTGTGAGTTGAACGCACACATCACAAAGGAGTTTCTGAGAATCATTCTGTCTATGTCGTTTTATAGGAAGATATTTCCTTTTCTACCTTTGACTTCAAAGCGGCTGAAATCTCCACTTGCAAATTCCACAAAAAGAGTGTTACAAGTCTGCTCTGTGTAAAGGATCGTTCAACTCTGTGAGTTGAATACACACAACACAAGGAAAGTTACTGAGAATTCTTCTGTCTAGCATAGTATGAAGAAATCCCGTTTCCAACGAAGGCCTCAAAGAGGTCTGAATATCCACTTGCAGAGTTTACAGAGTGTTTCCTAACTGCTGTATGAAAAGAAAGGTTAAACTCTGTGAGTTGAACGCACACATCGCAAAGAACTTTCTGAGAATCATTCTGTCTAGTTTTGAAACGAAGATATTTCCTTTTCTGCCATTGACCTTAAAGCGCTTGAAATCTCCATTTCCCAATTGCACAAAAAGAGTATTTCAAATCTGCTCTGTCTAAGGGAACGTTCAACTCTGTGAGTTGAATGTACACAACACAAGGAAGTTACTGGGAATTCTTCTGTCTAGCCTTACAGGAATAAAACCCGTTTCCAACGAAGGCCTCTAAGTGGTCAAAATATCCACGTGCAGACTTTACAAAGAGAGTGTTTCCAAACTGCTGAATGAAAAGAAAAATTAAACTCTGAGAGTTGAATGCACACATCGCAGAGCAGTTTCTGAGAATGATTCTGTCTAGTTTTGAAACGAAGATATTTCCTTTTCTGCCTTTGGCCTCAAAGCGCTTGAAATCTCCACTTGCAAATTCCACAAAAAGAGTGTTTCAAATCTGCTCTGTGTAAATGAAAGTTCAACTCTTGTGAGTTGAACACACACAACACAAGGAAGTTAGTGGGAATTCTTCTGTCTAGCATAATATGAAGAAATCCCGTTTCCAACGAAGGCCTCAAAGGGGTCTGAGTATCCACTTGCAGACTTTATAAACAGAGTGTTTACTAACTGCTCTATGAAAAGAAAGGTTAAACTCTGTGAGTTGAACACACACATCACAAAGGAGTTTCTGAGAATCATTCTGTCTAGTTTCTATAGGAAGATATTTCCTATTCTACCATTGACCTCAAAGCGGCTGAAATCTCCACTTGCAAATTCCACAAAAAGAGTGTTTCAAGTCTGCTCTGTGTAAAGGATCATTCAACTCTGTGAGTTGAATACACACAACACAAGGAAGTTACTGAGAATTTTTCTGTGTAGCATAATAAGAAGATATCCCGTTTCCAAAGAAGGCCTCAAGGAGGTCCGAATATCCACTTGTAGACTTTACAAACAGAGTGTTTCCTAACTGCTCTATGAAAAGAAAGGTTAAACTCTGTGAGTTGAACGCACACATCACAAAGGAGTTTCTGAGAATCATTCTGTCTAGTTTTGAAACGAAGATATTTCCTTTTCTGCCATTGACCTTAAAGCGCTTGAAATCTCCACTTGCCAATTGCACAAAAAGACTGTTTCAAATCTGCTCTGTCTAAGGGAACGTTCAACTCTGTGAGTTGAATGTACACAACACAAGGAAGTTACTGCGAATTCTTCTGTCTAGCCTTACATGAAAAAATCCCGTTTCCAACGAAGGCCTCTAAGTGGTCAAAATTTCCACGTGCAGACTTTACAAACAGAGTGTTTCCAAACAGCTGAATGAAAAGAAAAGTTAAACTCTGAGAGTTGAACGCACACATCACGCAGCAGTTTCTGAGAATGATTCTGTCTAGTTTTTATACGAAGATATTTCCTTTTCTGCCTTTGGCCCCAAAGCGCTTGAAATCTCCACTTGCAAATTCCACAAAAACAGTGTTTCAAATCTGCTCTCTCTAAATGAAAGTTCAACTCTGTCAGTTGAATACACACAACACAAGGAAGTTACTGAGAATTCTTCTGTCTAGCAGAATATGAAGAAATCCCGTTTCCAACGAAGGCCTCAAAGAGGTCTGAATATCCACTTGAAGACTTTACAATCAGAGTGTTTCCTAATTGCTCTATGAAAAGAAAAGTTAAACTCTGTGAGTTGAACGCACACATCACAAAGGAGTTTCTGAGAATCATTCTGTCTAGTTTTAATAGGAAGATATTTCCTTTTCTACCTTTGACTTCAAAGCGGCTGAAATCTCCACTTGCAAATTCCACAAAAAGAGTGTTACAAGTCTGCTCTGTGTAAAGGATCGTTCAACTCTGTGAGTTGAATACACACAACACAAGGAAGTTACTGAGAATTCTTCTGTCTAGCATAGTATGAAGAAATCCCGTTTCCAACGAAGGCCTCAAGGAGGTCTGAATATCCACTTGCAGACTTTACAAACAGAGTGTTTCCTAACTGCTCTATGAAAAGAAAGGTTAAACTCTGTGAGTTGAACGCACACATCACAAAGGAGTTTCTGAGAATCATTCTGTCTAGTTTTGAAACGAAGATATTTCCTTTTCTGCCATTGACCTTAAAGCGCTTGAAATCTCCACTTGCCAATTGCACAAAAAGAGTGTTTCAAATCTGCTCTGTCTAAGGGAACGTTCAACTCTGTGAGTTGAATGTACACAACGCAAGGAAGTTACTGGGAATTCTTCTGTCTAGCCTTACAGGAAAAAAACCCGTTTCCAACGAAGGCCTCTAAGTGGTCAAAATATCCACGTGCAGACTTTACAAACAGAGTGTTTCCAAACTGCTGAATGAAAAGAAAAGTTAAACTCCTGAGAGTTGAACGCACACATCGCAGAGCAGTTTCTGAGAATGATTTCTGTCTAGTTTTGAAACGAAGATATTTCCTTTTCTGCCTTTGGCCTCAAAGCGATTGAAATCTCCACTTGCAAATTCCACAAAAAGAGTGTTTCAAATCTGCTCTGTGTAAATGAAAGTTCAACTCTGTGAGTTGAACACACACAACACAAGGAAGTTACTGGGAATTCTTCTGTCTAGCAGAATATGAAGAAATCCCGTTTTCCCCGAAGGCCTCAAGGAGGTCTGAATATCCACTTGCAGACTTTACAAACAGAGTGTTTCCTAACTGCTCTATGAGAAGAAAAGTTAAACTCTGTGAGTTCAACGCACACATCACAAAGGAGTTTCTGAGAATCATTCTGTCTAGTTTTTATCCGAAGATATTTCCTTTTCTACCATGGACCTCAAAGCGGCTGAAATCTCCACTTGCAAATTCCACAAAAAGAGTGTTTCAAGTCTGCTCTGTGTAAAGGATCGTTCAACTCTGTGAGTTGAATACACACAACACAAGGAAGATTCTGAGAATTCTTCTGTCTAGCATAATATGAAGAAATCCCATTTCCAACGAAGGCCTCAAAGAGGTCTGAATATCCACTTTCAGACTTTACAAACAGAGTGTTTCCTAACTGCTATATGAAAAGAAAAGTTAAACTCTGTGAGTTGAACGCACACATCACAAAGGAGTTTATGAGAATCATTCTGTCTAGCTTTGAAACGAAGATATTTCCTTTTCTGCCGTTGACCTTAAAGAGCTTGAAAACTACACTTGCAAATTGCACAAATAGAGTGTTTCAAATCTGCTCTGTCTAAGGGAACGTTCAACTCTGTGAGTTGAATGCACACAACACAAGGAAGTTACTGGGAATTCTTCTGTCTAGCCTTACATGAAAAAAACCCGTTTCCAACGAAGGCCTCTAAGTGGTCAAGTTATCCACGTGCAGACTTTACAAACAGAGTGTTTCCAAACTTCTGAATGAAAAGAAAAGTTAAACTCTGAGAGTTGAACGCACACATCGCAGAGCAGTTTCTGAGAATGATTCTGTGTAGTTTTTACACGAAGATATTTCCTTTTCTGCCTTTGGCCCCAAAGCGCTTGAAATCTCCACTTGCAAATTCCACAAAAACAGTGTTTCAAATCTGCTCTCTCTAAATGAAAGTTCAACTCTGTCAGTTGAATACACACAACACAAGGAAGTTACTGAGAATTCTTCTGTCTAGCATAATATGAAGAAATCCCGTTTCCAACGAAGACCTCAAGGAGGTCTGAATATCCACTTGCAGACTTTAGAGAGTGTTTCCTAACTGCTCTATAAAAAGAAAGGTTAAACTCTGTGAGTTGAACGCACACATCACAAAGGAGTTTCTGAGAATCATTCTGTCTAGTTTTTCTATGAAGATATTTCCTTTTCTACTATTGACCTCAAAGCGGCTGAAATCTCCACTTGCAAATTACACAAAAAGAGTGTTTCAAGTCTGCTCTGTGTAAAGGATCGTTCAACTCTGTGAGTTGAATACACACAACACAAGGAAGTTACTGAGAATTCTTCTGTCTAGCATAATATGAAGAAATCCCGTTTCCAACGAAGGCCACAAGATGTCAGAATATCCACTTACAGACTTTACAAACAGAGTGTTTCCTAACTGCTCTATGAACAGAAAGGTTAAACTCTGTGAGTTGAATGAACACATCACAACGCAGTTTGTGGGAATGATTCTGTCTAGTTTTGAAACCAAGATATTTCCTTTTCTGCCGTTGACCTTAAAGAGCTTGAAAACTACACTTGCAAATTGCACAAATAGAGTGTTTCAAATCTGCTCTGTCTAAGGGAACGTTCAACTCTGTGAGTTGAATGCACACAACACAAGGAAGTTACTGGGAATTCTTCTGTCTAGCCTTACAGGAAAGAAACCCGTTTCCAACGAAGGCCTCTAAGTGGTCAAAATATCCACGTGCAGACTTTACAAACAGAGTGTTTCCAAACTGCTGAATGAAAAGAAAAGTTAAACTCTGAGAGTTGAACGCACACATCGCAGAGCAGTTTCTGAGAATGATTCTGTCGAGTTTTTATACGAAGATATTTCCTTTTCTGCCTTTGGCCTCAAAGCGCTTGAAATCTCCACTTGCAAATTCCACAAAAAGAGTGTTTCAAATCTGCTCTGTGTAAATGAAAGTTCAACTCTGTGAGTTGAACACACACAACACAAGGAAGTTACTGGGAATTCTTCTGTCTAGCAGAATATGAAGAAATCCCGTTTCCAATGAATGCCTCAAAGAGGTCTGAATATCCACTTGCAGACTTTACAAACAGAGTGTTTCCTAACTGCTCTATGAAAAGAAAGGTTAAACTCGGTGAGTTGAACGCACACATCACAAAGGAGTTTATGAGAATCATTCTGTCTAGTTTTTATACGAAGATATTTCCTTTTCTATCATTCACATCAAAGCGACTGAAATCTCCACTTGCAAATACCACAAAAAGAGTGTTTCAAATCTGCTCTGTGTAAATGAAAGTTCAACTCTGTGAGTTGAATACACACAACACAAGGATGTTACTGGGAATTCTTCTGTCTAGCCTTATATGAAAAAAACCCGTTTCCAACGAAGGCCTCAAAGAGGTCTGAATATCTACTTGCAGACTTTACAAACAGAGTGTTTCCTAACTGCTCTATGAAAAGAAAGGTTAAACTCTGTGAGTTGAACGCACACATCACAAAGGAGTTTCTGAGAATCATTCTGTCTAGTTTTTATACGACGATATTTCCCTTTCTACCTTTGACTTCAAAGCGGCTGAAATCTCCATTTGCAAATTCCACAAAAAGAGTGTTTCAAGTCTGCTCTGTGTAAAAGATTGTTCAACTCTGTGAGTTGAATACACACAACACAAGGAAGTTACTGAGAATTCTTCTGTCTAGCCTTACAGGAAAAAAACCCGTTTCCAACGAAGGCCTCTAAGTGGTCAAAATATCCACGTGCAGACTTTACAAACAGAGTGTTTCCGAACTGCTGAATGAAAAGAAAAGTTAAACTCTGAGAGTTGAACGCACACATCGCAGAGCAGTTTCTGAGAATGATTCTGTCTAGTTTTGAAACGGAGATATTTCCTTTTCTGCCTTTGGCCTCAAAGCGCTTGAAATCTCCACTTGCAAATTCCACAAAAAGAGTGTTTCAAATCTGCTCTGTGTAAATGAAAGTTCAACTCTGTGAGTTGAACACACACAACACAAGGAAGTTACTGGGAATTCTTCTGTCTAGCATAATATGAAGAAATACCGTTTCCAACGAAGGCCTCAAAGGGGTCTGAATATCCACTTGCAGACTTTATAAACAGAGTGTTTACTAACTGCTCTATGAAAAGAAAGGTTAAACTCTGTGAGTTGAACACACACATCACAAAGGAGTTTCTGAGAATCATTCTGTCTAATTTCTATAGGAAGATATTTCCTATTCTACCATTGACCTCAAAGCGGCTGAAATCTCCACTTGCAAATTCCACAAAAAGAGTGTTTCAGGTCTGCTCTGTGTAAAGGATCGTTCAACTCTGTGAGTTGAATACACACAACACAAGGCAGTTACTGAGAATTCTTCTGTCTAGCTGAATATGAAGAAATCCCGCTTCCAACGAAGGCCTCAAAGAAGCCTGAATATCCACTTGCAGACTTTACAAACAGAGTGTTTCCCAACTGCTCTATGAAAAGAAAGGTTGAACTCTGTGAGTTGAACGCACACATCACAAAGGAGTTTCTGAGAATCATTCTGTCTAGTTTTGAAACGAAGATATTTCCTTTTCTGCCTGTTGACCTTAAAGCGCTTGAAATCTACACTTGCAAATTGCACAAATAGAGTTTTTCAAATCTGCTCTGTCTAAGGGAACGTTCAACTCTGTGAGTTGAATGCACACAACACAAGGAAGTTACTGGGAATTCTTCTGTCTAGCCTTACATGAAAAAAACCCGTTTCCAACGAAGGCCTCTAAGTGGTCAAGTTATCCACGTGCAGACTTTACAAACAGAGTGTTTCCAAACTACTGAATGAAAAGAAAAGTTAAACTCTGAGAGTTGAACGCACACATCGCAGAGCAGTTTCTGAGAATGATTCTGTCTAGTTTTTATACGAACATATTTCCTTTTCTGCCTTTGGCCTCAAAGCGCTTGAAATCTCCATTTGCAAATTCCACAAAAAGAGTGTTTCAAATCTGCTCTGTGTAAATGAAAGTTCAACTCTGTGAGTTGAACACACACAACACAAGGAAGTTACTGGGAATTCTTCTGTCTAGCAGAACATGAAGAAATCCCGTTTCAAACGAAGGCCTCAAAGATGTCTGAATATCCACTTGCAGACTTTACAAACAGAGTGTTTCCTAACTGCTCTATGAAAAGTAAGGTTAAACTCTGTGAGTTGAACGCACACATCACAAAGGAGTTTCTGAGAATCATTCTGTCTAGTCTTTATATGAAGATAGTTTCCTTTTCTACCATTGACCTCAAAGCGGCTGAAATCTCCACTTGCAAATTCCACAAAAAGAGTGTTTCAAGTCTGCTCTGTGTAAAGGATCGTTCAACTCTGTGAGTTAAATACACACAACACAAGGAAGTTACTGAGAATTCTTCTGTCTAGCAGAAGAGGAAGAAATACCGTTTCCAACGAAGGCCACAAGATGTCAGAATATCCACTTACAGACTTTACAAACAGAGTGTTTCCTAACTGCTCTATGAACAGAAAGGTTAAACTCTGTGAGTTGAACGAACACATCACAACGCAGTTTGTGGGAATGATTCTGTCTAGTTTTGAAACGAAGATATTTCCTTTTCTGCCATTGACCTTAAAGCCCTTGAAATCTCCATTTGCCAATTGCACAAAAAGAGTGTTTCAAATCTGCTCTGTCTAAGGGAACGTTCAACTCTGTGAGTTGAATGTACACAACACAAGGAAGTTACTGGGAATTCTTCTGTCTAGCCTTACAGGAAAAAAACCCGTTTCCAACGAAGGACTCTAAGAGGTCAAAATATCCACGTGCAGACTTTAAAAAAAGAGTGTTTCCAAACTGCTGAATGAAAAGAAAAGTTAAACTCTGAGAGTGGAAAGCACACATCGCCGAGCAGTTTCTGGGAATGATTCTGTCTAGTTTTGAAACGAAGATATTTCCTTTTCTGCCTTTGGCCTCAAAGCGCTTGAAATCTCCAATTGCAAATTCCACAAAAAGAGTGTTTCAAATCTGCTCTGTGTAAATGAAAGTTCAACTCTGTGAGTTGAACACACACAACACAAGGAAGTTACTGGGAATTCTTCTGTATAGCAGAATATGAAGAAATCCCGTTTCCAACGAAAGCCTCAAGGATGTCTGAATATCCACTTGCAGACTTTACAAACAGAGTGTTTCCCAACTGCTCTAGGAAAAGAAAGGTTGAACTCTGTGAGTTGAACGCACACATCACAAAGGAGTTTTTGAGAATCATTCTGTCTAGTTTTTATACGAAGATATTTCCTTTTCTAACGTTGACCTCAAAATGGCTGAAATCTCCACTTGCAAATTCCACAAAAAGAGTGTTTCAAGTCTGCTCTGTGTAAAGGATCGTTGAACTCTGTGAGTTGAAAACACACAACACAACGAAGTTTCTGAGAATTCTTCTGTCTAGCAGAATGTGAAGAAATCCCGTTTCCAACGAAAGCCTCAAAGATGTCTGAATATCCACTTGCAGACTTTACAAACAGAGTGTTTCCTAACTGCTCTATGAAAAGAAAGGTTAAACTCTGTGAGTTGAACGCACACATCACAAAGGAGTTTCTGAGAATCATTCTGTCTAGTTTTGAAACGAAGATATTTCCTTTTCTGCCATTGACCTTAAAGCGCTTGAAATCTACACTTGCAAATTGCACAAATAGAGTGTTTCAAATCTGCTCTGTCTAAGGGAACGTTCATCTCTGTGAGTTGAATGCACACAACACAAGGAAGTTACTGGGAATTCTTCTGTCTAGCCTTACATGAAAAAAACCCGTTTCCAACGAAGACCTCTAAGTGGTCAAAATATCCACTTGCAGACTTTACAACCAGAGTGTTTCCTAACTGCTCTATGAAAAGAAAGGTTAAACTCTGTGATTTGAAAGCAAACATCACAAAGGAGTTTCTGAGAATCATTCTGTCTAGTTTTTATACGAAGATATTTCCTTTTCAGCCTTTGGCCCCAAAGCGCTTGAAATCTCCACTTGCAAATTCCACAAAAACAGTGTTTCAAATCTGCTCTCTCTAAATGAAAGTTCAACGCTGTCAGTTGAATACACACAACACAAGGAAGTTACTGAGAATTCTTCTCTCTAGCCTTATATGAAAAAAACCCGTTTCCAACGAAGGCCTCAAAGAGGTCTGAATATCCACTTGCAGACTTTACAAACAGAGTGTTTCCTAACTGCTCTATGAAAAGAAAGGTTAAACTCTGTGAGTTGAACGCACACATCACAAAGGAGTTTCTGAGAATCTTTCTGTCTAGTTTTTATAGGAAGATATTTCCTATTCTAACATTGACCTCAAAGCGGCTGAAATCTCCACTTGCAAATTCCACAAAAAGAGTGTTTCAAGTCTGCTCTGTGTAAAGGATCGTTCAACTCTGTGAGTTGAATACACACAACACAAGGAAGTTACTGAGAATTCTTCTGTCTAGCAGAATATCAAGAAATCCCGTTTCCAACGAAGGCCACAAGATGTCAGAATATCCACTTACAGAATTTACAAACAGACTGTTTCTTAACTGCTCTATGAAAAGAAAGGTTAAACTCTGTGAGTTGAACGAACACCTCACAACGCAGTTTGTGGGAATGATTCTGTCTAGTTTTGAAACGAAGATATTTCCTTTTCTGCCATTGACCTTAAAGCGCTTGAAATCTCCACTTGCCAATTGCACAAAAAGAGTGTTTCAAATCTGCTCTATCTAAGGGAACGTTCAACTCTGTGAGTTGAATGTACACAACACAAGGAAGTTACTGGGAATTCTTCTGTCTAGCCTTACATGAAAAAAACCCGTTTCCAACGAAGGCCTCTAAGTGGTCAAATTATCCACGTGCAGACTTTACAAACAGAGTGTTTCCAAACTGCTGAATGAAAAGAAAAGTTGAACTCTGAGAGTTGAACGCACACATCGCAGAGCAGTTTCTGAGAATGATTCTGTCTAGTTTTTATACGAAGATATTTCCTTTTCTACCATTGACCTCAATGCGGCTGAAATCTCCACTTGCAAATTCCACAAAAAGAGTGTTTCAACTCCGCTCTGTGTAAAGGATCGTTCAACTCTGTGAGTTGAATACACACAACACAAGGAAGTTACTGAGAATTCTTCTGTCTAGCACAGTATGAAGAAATCCCGTTTCCAACGAAGGCCTCAAAGAGGTGTGAATATCCACTTGCAGAGTTTACAAACAGAGTGTTTCCTAACTGCTCTATGAAAAGAAAGGTTAAACTCTGTGAGTTGAACGCACACATCACAAAGGAGTTTCTGAGAATCATTCTTTCTAGTCTTTATACGAAGATAGTTTCCTTTTCTACCATTGACCTCAAAGCGGCTGAAATCTCCACTTGCAAATTCCACAAAAAGAGTGTTTCAAGTCTGCTCTGTGTAAAGGATCGTTGAACTCTGTGAGTTGAATACACACAACACAAGGAAGTTACTGAGAATTATTCTGTGTAGCAGAATATGAAGAAATCCCGTTTCCAACGAAGGCCACAAGATGTCAGAAAATCCACTTACAGACTTTACAAACAGAGTGTTTCCTAACTGCTCTATGAACAGAAAGGTTAAACTCTGTGAGTTGAACGAACACATCACAACGCAGTTTGTGGGAATGATTCTGTCTAGTTTTGAAACGAAGATATTTCCTTTTCTGCCATTGACCTTAAAGCGCTTGAAATCTACACTTGCAAATTGCACAAATAGAGTGTTTCAAATCTGCTCTGTCTAAGGGAAAGTTCAACTCTGTGAGTTGAATGCACACAACACAAGGAAGTTACTGGGAATTCTTCTGTCTAGCCTTACAGGAAAAAAACCCGTTTCCAACGAAGGCCTCTAAGTGGTCAAAATATCCACGTGCAGACTTTACAAACAGAGTGTTTCCAAACTGCTGAATGAAAAGAAAAGTTAAACTCCTGAGAGTTGAACGCACACATCGCAGAGCAGTTTCTGAGAATGATTTCTGTCTAGTTTTTATACGAAGATATTTACTTTTCTGCCTTTGGCCTCAAAGCGCTTGAAATCTCCACTTGCAAATTCCACAAAAAGAGTGTTTCAAATCTGCTCTGTGTAAATGAAAGTTCAACTCTGTGAGTTGAACACACACAACACAAGGAAGTTACTGGGAATTCTTCTGTCTAGCAGAATATGAAGAAATCCCGTTTCCAACGAAGGCCTCAAGGAGGTCTGAATATCCACTTGCAGACTTTACAAACAGAGTGTTTCCTAACTGCTCTATGAAAAGAAAGGTTAAACTCTGTTAGTTGAACGCACACATCACAAAGGAGTTCATGAAAATCATTCTGTCTAGTTTTTATACGAAGATATTTCCTTTTCTACCATTGACCTCAAAGCGGCTGAAATCTCCACTTCCAAATTCCACAAAAAGAGTGTTTCAAATCTGCTCTGTGTAAACCATCGTTCAACTGTGTGAGTTGAATACACACAACACAAGGAAGATTCTGAGAATTCTTCTGTCTAGCAGAAGATGAAGAAATCCCTTTTCCAACGAAGGCCACAAGATGTCAGAATATCCACTTACAGAATTTACAAACAGAGTGTTTCCTAACTGCTCTATGAAAAGAAAGGTTAAACTCTGTGAGATGAACGAACACATCACAACGCAGTTTGTGGGAATGATTCTGTCTAGTTTTGAAACGAAGATATTTCCTTTTCTGCCATTGACCTTAAAGCGCTTGAAATCTCCACTTGCCAATGGCACAAAAAGAGTGTTTCAAATCTGCTCTGTCTAAGGGAACTTTCAACTCTGTGAGTTGAATGTACACAACACAAGGAAGTTACTGGGAATTCTTCTGTCTAGCCTTACATGAAAAAAACCCGTTTCCAACGAAGGCCTCTTAGTGGTCAAAATATCCACGTGCAGACTTTACAAACAGAGTGTTTCCAAACCGCTGAATGAAAAGAAAAGTTAAACTCTTAGAGTTGAACGCACACATCACGCAGCAGTTTCTGAGAATGATTCTGTCTAGTTTTTATACGAAGATATTTCGTTTTCTGCCTTTGGCCCCAAAGCGCTTGAAATCTCCACTTGCAAATTCCACAAAAACAGTGTTTCAAATCTGCTGTCTCTAAATGAAAGTTCAACTCTGTCAGTTGAATAAACACAACACAAGGAAGTTACTGAGAATTCTTCTGTCTGGCATAATATGAAGAAATCCCGTTTCCAACGAAGGCCTCAAGGAGGTCTGAATATCCACTTGCAGACTTTACAAACAGAGTGTTTCCTAACTGCTCTATGAAAAGAAAGGTTAAACTCTGTGAGTTGAACACACACATCACAAAGGAGTTTCTGAGAATCATTCTGTCTAGTTTTTATACGAAGATATTTCCTTTTCTGCCTTTGGCCCCAAAGCGGCAGAAATCTCCACTTGCAAATTCCACAAAAAGAGTGTTTCAAGACTGCTCTGTGTAAAGGATCGTTCAACTCTGTGAGTTGAATACACACAACACAAGGAAGTTACTGAGAATTCTTCTGTCTAGCAGAATATGAAGAAATCCCGTTTCCAACGA